>NC_000001.11:123155299-123481326 GCF_000001405.40 Homo sapiens | reverse complement strand
AGGCCACAAGTACGTCAGAATATCCACTTACAGACTTTACAAACAGAGTGTTTCCTAACTGCTCTATGAACAGAAAGGTTAAACTCTGTGAGTTGAACGAACACATCACAACGCAGTTTCTGGGAATGATTCTGTCTAGTTTTGAAACCAAGATATTTCCTTTTCTGCCGTTGACCTTAAAGAGCTTGAAAACTACACTTGCAAATTGCACAAATAGAGTATTTCAAATCTGCTCTGTCTAAGGGAACGTTCAACTCTGTGAGTTGAATGCACACAACACAAGGAAGTTACTGGGAATTCTTCTGTCTAGCCTTACATGAAAAAAACCCGTTTCCAACGAAGGCCTCTAAGTGGTCAAATTATGCACGTGCAGACTTTACAAACAGAGTGTTTCCAAACTGCTGAATGAAAAGAAAAGTTAAAGTCTGAGAGTTGAACGCACACATCGCAGAGCAGTTTCTGAGAATGATTCTGTCTAGTTTCTATAGGAAGATATTTCCTATTCTACCATGGACCTCAAAGCGGCTGAAATCTCCACTTGCAAATTCCACAAAAAGAGTGTTTCAAGTCTGCTCTGTGTAAAGGATCGTTCAACTCTGTGAGTTGAATACACACAACACAAGGAAGTTTCTGAGAATTCTTCTGTCTAGCAGAATATGAAGAAATCCCGTTTCCAAAGAAGGCCTCAAGGAGGTCTGAATATCCACTTGCAGACTTTACAAACAGAGTGTTTCCTAACTGCTCTATTAACAGAAAGGTTAAACTCTTGTGAGTTGAACGCACACATCACAAAGGAGTTTCTGAGAATCATTCTGTCTAGTTTCCATAGGAAGATATTTCCTATTCTACCATTGAACTCAAAGCGGCTGAAATCTCCACTTGCAAATTCCACAAAAAGAGTGTTTCAAGTCTGCTCTGTGTAAAGGATCGTTCAACTCTGTGAGTTGAATACACACAACACAAGGAAGTTACTGAGAATTCTTCTGTCTAGGAGAATATGAAGAAATCCCGTTTCCAACGAAGGCCACAAGATGTCAGAATATCCACTTACAGAATTGACAAACAGACTGTTTCCTAACTGCTCTATGAAAAGAAAGGTTAAACTCTGTGAGTTGAACGAACACATCACAACCCAGTTTGTGGGAATGATTCTGTCTAGTTTTGAAACGAAGATATTTCCTTTTCTGCCATTGACCTTAAAGCGCTTGAAATCTACACTTGCAAATTGAACAAATAGAGTGTTTGAAATCTGCTCTGTCTAAGGGAACGTTCAACTCTGTGAGTTGAATGCACACAACACAAGGAAGTTACTGGGAATTCTTCTGTCTAGCCTTACATGCAAAAACCCGTTTCCAACGAAGGCCTCTAAGTGGTCAATATATCCACGTGCAGACTTTACAAACAGAGTGTTTCCAAACCGCTGAATGAAAAGAAAAGTTAAACTCTGAGAGTTGAACGCACACATCACGCAGCAGTTTCTGAGAATTATTCTGTCTAGTTTTTATACGAAGATATTTCCTTTTCTGCCTTTAGCCCCAAAGCGCTTGAAATCTCCACTTGCAAATTCCACAAAAACAGTGTTTCAAATCTGCTCTCTCGAAATGAAAGTTCAACTCTGTCAGTTGAATACACACAACACAAGGAAGTTACTGAGAATTCTTCTGTCTAGCAGAATATGAAGAAATCCCGCTTCCAACGAAGGCCTCAAGGAGGTCTGAATATCCACTTGCAGACTTTACAAACAGAGTGTTTCCTAACTGCTCTATGAAAAGAAAGGTTAAACTCTGTGAGTTGAACGCACACATCACAAAGGAGTTTCTGAGAATCATTCTGTCTAGTCTTTATACGAAGATATTTACTTTTCTGCCGTTGACCATAAAGCGCTTGAAATCTACACTTGCAAATTGCACAAATAGAGTGTTTCAAATCTGCTCTGTCTAAGGGAACGTTCAACTCTGTGAGTTGAATGCACACAACACAAGGAAGTTACTGGGAATTCTTCTGTCTAGCATAATATGAAGAAATCCCGTTTCCAACGAAGGCCACAAGATATCAGAATATCCACTTACAGACTTTACAAACAGAGTGTTTCCTAACTGCTCTATGAACAGAAAGCTTAAACTCTGTGAGTTGAACGAACACATCACAACGCATTTTGTGGGAATGATTCTGTCTAGTTTTGAAACGAAGATATTTCCTTTTCTGCCATTGACCTTAAAGCGCTTGAAATCTACACTTGCCAATTGCACAAATAGAGTGTTTCAAATCTGCTCTGTCTAAGGGAACGTTCAAATCTGTGAGTTGAATGCACACAACACAAGGAAGTTACTGGGAATTCTTCTGTCTACCCTTACAGGATAAAAACCCTTTTCCAACGAAGGCCTCTAAGTGGTCAAGTTATCCACGTGCAGACTTTACAAACAGAGTGTTTCCAAACTGCTGAATGAAAAGAAAAGTTAAACTCTGAGAGTTGAACGCACACATCGCAGAGCAGTTTCTGAGAATGATTCTGTCTAGTTTTTATACGAAGATATTTCCTTTTCTGCCTTTGGCCCCAAAGCGCTTGAAATCTCCACATGCAAATTCCACAAAAACAGTGTTTCAAATCTGCTCTCTCTAAATGAAAGTTCAACTCTGTCAGTTGAATACACACAACACAAGGAAGTTACTGAGAATTCTTCTGTCTAGCCTTATATGAAAAAAACCCGTTTCCAACGAAGGCCTCAAAGTAGGTCTGAATATCCACTTGCAGACTTTACAAACAGAGTGTTTCCTAACTGCTCTATGAAAAGAAAGGTTAAACTCTGTGAGTTGAACGCACACATCACAAAGGAGTTTCTGAGAATCATTCTGTCTAGTTTTTATACGAAGATATTTCCTTTTCTACCATTGACCTCAACGCGGCTGAAATCTCCACTTGCAAATTCCACAAAAAGAGTGATTCAAGTCTGCTCTGTGTAAAGGATCGTTCAACTCTGTGAGTTGAATACACACAAAACAAGGAAGTTACTGAGAATTCTTCTGTCTAGCATAGTATGAAGAAATCCAGTTTCCAACGAAGGCCACAAGATGTCAGAATATCCATTTACAGAATTTACAAACAGACTGTTTCCTAACTGCTCTATGAAAAGAAAGGTTAAACTCTGTGAGTTGAACGAACACATCACAACGCAGTTTGTGGGAATGATTCTGTCTAGTTTTTATACGAAGATATTCCCTTTTCTACCATTGACCTCAAAGCAGCTGAAATCACCACTTGCCAATTGCACAAAAAGAGTGTTTCAAATCTGCTCTGTCTAAGGGAACGTTCAACTCTGTGAGTTGAATGTACACAACACAAGTAAGTTACTGGGAATTCTTCTGTCTAGCCTTACAGGAAAAAAACCCGTTTCCAACGAAGGCCTCTAAGTGGTCAAGTTATCCACGTGCAGACTTTACAAACAGAGTGTTTCCAAACTGCTGAATGAAAAGAAAAGTTAAACTCTGAGAGTTGAACGCACACATCGCAGAGCAGTTTCTGAGAATGATTCTGTCTAGTCTTTATAGGAAGATATTTACTTTTCTACCATTGACCTCAAAGCGGCTGAAATCTCCACTTGCAAATTCCACAAAAAGAGTGTTTCAAGTCTGCTCTGTGTAAAGGATCATTCAACTCTGTGAGTTGAATACACACAACACAAGGAAGTTACTGAGAATTCTTCTGTCTAGCCTTATATGAAAAAAACCCGTTTCCAACGAAGGCCTCAAAGAGGTCTGAATATCCACTTGCAGACTTTACAAACAGAGTGTTTCCTAACTGCTCTATGAAAAGAAAGGTTAAACTCTGTGAGTTGAACGCACACATCTCAAAGGAGTTTCTGAGAATCATTCTGTCTAGTCTTTATACGAAGATATTTCCTTTTCTACCATTGACCTCAAAGCGGCTGAAATCTCCACTTGCAAATTCCACAAAAAGAGTGTTTAAAGTCTGCTCTCTGTAAAGGATCGTTCAACTCTGTGAGTTGAATACACAGAACACAAGGAAGTTACTGAGAATTATTCTGTCTAGCAGAATATGAAGAAATCCCGTTTCCAACGAATGCCTCAAGGAGGTCTGAATATCCAATTGCAGACTTTACAAACAGAGTGTTTCCTAACTGCTCTATGAACAGAAAAGTTAAACTCTGTGAGTTGAACGAACACATCACAACGCAGTTTGTGGGAATGTTTCTGTCTAGTTTTGAAACGAAGATATTTCCTTTTCTGCCATTGACCTTAAAGCGCTTGAAATCTACACTTGCAAATTGCACAAATAGAGTGTTTCAAATCTGCTCTGTCTAAGGGAACGTTCAACTCTGTGAGTGGAATGCACACAACACAAGGAAGTTACTGGGAATTCTTCTGTCTAGCCTTACATGAAAAAAACCCGTTTCCAACGAAGGCCTCTAAGTGGTCAAAATATCCACGTGCAGACTTTACAAACAGAGTGTTTCCAAACCGCTGAATGAAAAGAAAAGTTAAACTCTGAGAGTTGAACGCACACATCACGCATCAGTTTCTGAGAATGATTCTGTCTAGTTTTTATACGAAGATATTTCCTTTTCTGCCTTTGGCCCCAAAGCGCTTGAAATCTCCACTTGCAAATTCCACAAAAACAGTGTTATAAATCTGCTCTCTCTAAATGAAAGTTCAACTCTGTCAGTTGAATACACACAACACAAGGAAGTTACTGAGAATTCTTCTGTCTAGCAGAATATGAAGAAATCCCGTTTCCAACGAAGGCCTCAAGGAGGTCTGAATATCCTCTTGCAGACTTTACAAACAGAGTGTTTCCTAACTGCTCTATGAACAGAAAGGTTAAACTCTGTGAGTTGAACGCACACATCACAAAGGAGTTTCTGAGAATCATTCTGTCTAGTTTTTCTACGAAGATATTTCCTTTTCTACTGTTGACCTCAAAGCGGCTGAAATCTCCACTTGCAAATTCCACAAAAAGAGTGTTTCAAGTCTGCTCTGTGTAAAGGATCGTTCAACACTGTGAGTTCAATACACACAACACAAGGAAGTTACTGAGAATTCTTCAGTCTAGCAGAATATGAAGAAATCCCGTTTCCAACGAAGGCCACAAGATGTCAGAATATCCACTTACAGACTTCACAAACAGAGTGTTTCCTAACTGCTCTATGAAGAGAAAGGTTAAACTCTGTGAGTTGAACGAACACATCACAACGCAGTTTGTGGGAATGATTCTGTCTAGTTTTGAAACGAAGATATCTCCTTTTCTGCCATTGACCTTAAAGCGCTTGAAATCTACACTTGCAAATTGCACAAATAGAGTGTTTCAAATCTGCTCTGTCTAAGGGAACGTTCAACTCTGTGAGTTGAATGCACACAACACAAGGAAGTTACTGGGAATTCTTCTGTCTAGCCTTACATGAAAAAAACCCGTTTCCATCGAAGACCTCTAAGTGGTCAAATTATGCACGTGCAGACTTTACAAACAGAGTGTTTCCAAACTGCTGAATGAAAAGAAAAGTTAAACTCTGAGAGTTGAACGCACACATCACAGAGCAGTTTCTGAGAATGATTCTGTCTAGTTTTTATACGAAGATATTTCCTTTTCTGTCTTTGGCCTCAAAGCGCTTGAAATCTCCATTTGCAAATTCCACAAAAAGAGTGTTTCAAATCTGCTCTGTGTAAATGAAAGTTCAACTCTGTGAGTTGAACACACACAACACAAGGCAAGTTACTGGGAATTCTTCTGTCTAGCACAGTATGAAGAAATCCCGTTTCCAACGAAGGCCTCAAAGAGGTCTGAATATCCACTTGCAGACTTTACAAACAGAGTGTTTCCTAACTGCTCTATGAAAAGAAAGGTTAAACTCTGTGAGTTGAACGCACACATCAGAAAGAAGTTTCTGAGAATCATTCTGTCTAGTTTTTATGACGAAGATATTTCCTTTTCTACCATGGACCTCAAAGCGGCTGAAATCTCCACTTGCAAATTCCACAAAAAGAGTGTTTCAAGTCTGCTCTGTGTAAAGGATCGTTCAACTCTGTGAGTTGAATACACACAACACAAGCAAGATTCTGAGAATTCTTCTGTCTAGCAGAATATGAAGAAATGCCGTTTCCAACGAAGGCCACAAGATGTCAGAATATCCACTTACAGAATTTGCAAACAGACTGTTTCCTAACTGCTCTATGAAAAGAAAGGTTAAACTCTGTGAGTTGAACGAACACATGACAACGCAGTTTGTGGGAATGATTCTGTCTAGTTTTGAAACCAAGATATTTCCTTTTCTGCCGTTGACCTTAAAGAGCTTGAAAACTACACTTGCAAATTGCACAAATAGAGTGTTTCAAATCTGCTCTGTCTAAAGGAACGTTCAACTCTGTGAGTTGAATGCACACAACACAAGGAAGTTACTGGGAATTCTTCTGTCTAGCCTTACATGAAAAAAACCCGTTTCCATGAAGGCCTCTAAGTGGTCAAAATTTCCACGTGCAGACTTTACAAACAGAGTGTTTCCAAACCGCTGAATGAAAAGAAAAGTTAAACTCTGAGAGTTGAACGCACACATCACGCAGCAGTTTCTGAGAATGATTCTGTCTAGTTTTTATACGAAGATATTTCCTTTTCTGCCTTTGGCCCCAAAGCGCTTGAAATCTCCACTTGCAAATTCCACAAAAACAGTGTTTCAAATCTGCTCTCTCTAAATGAAAGTTCAACTCTGTCAGTTGAATACACACAACACAAGGGAAGTTACTGAGAATTCTTCTGTCTAGCATAATATGAAGAAATCCCGTTTCCAACGAAGGCCTCAAGGAGGTCTGAATATCCACTTGCAGACTTTACAAACAGAGTGTTTCCTAACTGCTCTATGAAAAGAAAGGTTAAACTCTGTGAGTTGAACGCACACATCACAAAGGAGTTTCAGAGAATCATTCTGTCTTGTTTCTATAGGAAGATATTTCCTATTCTACCATTGACCTCAAAGCGGCTGAAATCTCCACTTGCAAATTCCACAAAAAGAGTGTTTCAAGTATGCTCTCTGTAAAGGATCGTTCAACTCTGTGAGTTGAATACACACAACACAAGGAAGTTACTGAGAATTCTTCTGTGTAGCAGAATATGAAGAAATCCCGTTTCCAACGAAGGCCACAAGATGTCAGAATATCCACTTACAGACTTTAGAAACAGAGTGTTTCCTAACTGCTCTATGAACAGAAAGGTTAAACTCTATGAGTTGAAAGAGCACATCACAACGCAGTTTGTTGGAATGATTCTGTCTAGTTTTGAAGCGAAGATATTTCCTTTTCTGCCATTGACATTAAAGCGCTTGAAATCTACACTTGCAAATTGCACAGAGTGTTTCAAATCTGCTCTGTCTAAGGGAACGTTCATCTCTGTGAGTTGAATGCACACAACACTAGGAATTTACTGGGAATTCTTCTGTCTAGGCTTACAGGAAAAAAACACGTTTCCAACGAAGGCCTCTAAGTGGTCAAAATATCCACGTGCAGACTTTACAAACAGAGTGTTTCCAAACTGCTGAATGAAAAGAAAAGTTAAACTCTGAGAGTTGAACGCACACATCGCAGAGCAGTTTCTGAGAATGATTCTGTCTAGTTTTGAAACGAAGATATTTCCTTTTCTGCCTTTGGCCTCAAAGCGCTTGACATCTCCACTTGCAAATTCCACAAAAAGAGTGTTTCAAATCTGCTCTGTGTAAATGAAAGTTTAACTCTGTGAGTTGAACACACACAACACAAGGAAGTTACTGGGAATTCTTCTGTCTAGCAGAATATGAAGAAATCCCGTTTCCAACGAAGGCCTCAAAGAGGGCTGAATCTCCAGTTGCAGACTTTACAAACAGAGTGTTTCCTAACTGCTCTATGAAAAGAAAGGTTAAACTCTGTGACTTGAACGCACACATCACAAAGGAGTTTCTGAGAATCATTCTGTCTAGTTTTTATATGAAGATATTCCCTTTTCTACCTTTGACTTCAAAGCGGCTGAAATCTCCACTTGCAAATTCCACAAAAAGAGTGTTACAAGTCTGCTCTGTGTAAAGGATCGGTCAACTCTGTGAGTTGAATACACACAACACAAGGAAGTTACTGAGAATTCTTCTGTCTAGCATAATATGAAGAAATCCCGTTTCCAACGAAGGCCACAAGATGTCAGAATATCCACTTACAGACTTTACAAACAGAGTGTTTCCTAACTGCTCTATGAACAGAAAGGTTAAACTCTGTGAGTTGAACGAACACATCACAGCGCAGTTTGTGGGAATGATTCTGTCTAGTTTTTATAGGAAGTTATTTCCTTTTCTACCTTTGACTTCAAAGTGGCTGAAATCTCCACTTGAAAATTCCACAAAAAGAGTGTTACAAGTCTGCTCTGTCTAAGGGAACGTTCAACTCTGTGATTTGAATGTACACAACACAAGGAAGTTACTGGGAATTCTTCTGTCTAGCCTTACAGGAAAAAAACCCGTTTCCAACGAAGGCCTCTAAGTGGTCAAAATATCCACGTGCAGACTTTACAAACAGAGTGTTTCCAAACTTCTGAATGAAAAGAAAAGTTAAACTCTGAGAGTTGAACGCACACATCGCAGAGCAGTTTCTGAGAATGATTCTGTCTAGTTTTGAAACGAAGATATTTCCTTTTCTGCCTTTGGCCTCAAAGCGCTTGAAATCTCCACTTGCAAATTCCACAAAAAGAGTGTTTCAAATCTGCTCTGTGAAAATGAAAGTTCAACTCTGTGAGTTGAACACACACAACACAAGGAAGTTACTGGGAATTCTTCTGTCTAGCAGAATATGAAGAAATCCCGTTTCCAACGAAGGCCTCAAAGAGGTCTGAATATCCACGTGCAGACTTTACAAACAGAGTGTTTCCTAACTGCTCCAAGAAAAGAAAGGTTAAACTCTGCGACTTGAACGCACACATCACAAAGGAGTTTCTGAGAATCATTCTGTCTAGTTTCTATAGGAAGATATTTCCTATTCTACCATTGACCTCAAAGCGGCTGAAATCTGCACTTGCAAATTCCACAAAAAGAGTGTTTCAAGTCTGTTCTGTGTAAAGGATCGTTCAACTCTGTGAGTTGAATACACACAACACAAGGAAGTTACTGAGAATTCTTCTGTCTAGCAGAATATGAAGAAATCCCGTTTCCAACGAAGGCCTCAAAGAGGTCTGAATATCCACTTGCAGACTTTACAAACAGAGTGTTTCCTAACTGCTCTATGAAAAGAAAGGTTAAACTCTGTGAGTTGAACGCACACATTACAACGCAGTTTGTGGGAATGATTCTGTCTAGTTTTGAAACGAAGATATTTCCTTTTCTGCCATTGACCTCAAAGCGCTTGAAATCTCCACTTGCCAATTGCACAAAAAGAGTGTTTCAAATCTGCTCTGTCTAAGGGAACGTTCAACTCTGTGAGTTGAATGTACACAACACAAGGAAGTTACTGGGAATTCTTCTGTCTAGCCTTACATGAAAAAAACCCGTTTCCAACGAAGGCCTCTAAGTGGTCAAATTATCCACGTGCAGACTTTACAAACAGAGGGTTTCCAAACTGCTGAATGAAAAGAAAAGTTAAACTCTGAGAGTTGAACGCACACATCGCAGAGCAGTTTCTGAGAATGATTCTGTCTAGTTTTTATACGAAGATATTTCCTTTTCTGCCTTTGGCCTCAAAGCGCTTGAAATCTCCATTTGCAAATTCCACAAAAAGAGTGTTTCAAATCTGCTCTGTGTAAATGAAAGTTCAAACTCTGTGAGTTGAACACACACAACACAAGGAAGTTACTGGGAATTCTTCTGTATAGCAGAATATGAAGAAATCCCGTTTCCAACGAAGGCCTCAAGGAGGTCTGAATATCCTCTTGCAGACTTTACAAACAGAGTGTTTCCTAAATGCTCTATGAAAAGAAAGGTTAAACTCTGTGAGTTGAACGCAGACATCACAAAGGAGTTTCTGAGAATCACTCTGTCTAGTTTCTATAAGAAGATATTTCCTATTCTACCATTGACCTCAAAGCGGCTGAAATCTCCACTTGCAAATTCGACAAATAGAGTGTTTCAAGCCTGCTCTCTGTAAAGGATCGTTCAACTCTGTGAGTTGAATACACACAACACAAGGAAGTTACTGAGAATTATTCTGTCTAGCATAATATGAAGAAATCCCGTTTCTAACGAAGGCCTCAAAGAGGTCTGAATATCCACTTGCAGACTTTACAAACAGAGTCTTTCCTAACTGCTCTATGAGAAGAAAAGTTAAACTCTGTGAGTTGAACGCACACATCACAAAAGATTTTCTGAGAATCATTCTGTCTAGTTTTGAAACGAAGATATTTCCTTTTCTGCCATTGACCTTAAAGCGCTTGAAATCTACACTTGCAAATTGCACAACTAGAGTGTTTCAAATCTGCTCTGTCTAAGGGAACGTTCAACTCTGTGAGTTGAATGCACACAACACAAGGAAGTTACTGGAAATTCTTCTGTCTAGCCTTACATGAAAAAAACCCGTTTCCAACGAAGGCCTCTAAGTGTTCAAAATATCCACGTGCAGACTTTACAAACAGAGTGTTTCCAAACCGCTGAATGAAAGGAAAAGTTAAACTCTGAGAGTTGAACGCACACATCACGCAGCAGTTTCTGAGAATGATTCTGTCTAGTTTTTATACGAAGATATTTCCTTTTCTGCCTTTGGCTCCAAAACGCTTGAAATCTCCACTTGCAAATTCCACAAAAACAGTGTTTCAAATCTGCTCTCTCTAAATGAAAGTTCAACTCTGTCAGTTGAAAACACACAACACAGGGAAGTTACTGAGAATTCTTCTGTCTAGCCTTACATGAAAAAAAACCCGTTTCCAACGAAGGCCTCAAAGAGGTGAAAATATCCACTTGCAGACTTTACAAACAGAGTGTTTCCTAACTGCTCTATGAAAAGAAAGGTTAAACTCTGTGAGTTGAACGCACACATCATAAAGGAGTTTCTGAGAATCATTCTGTCTAGTTTTTATACGAAGATATTTCCCTTTTCTACCATTGACCTCAACGCGGCTGAAATCTCCACTTGCAAATTCCAGAAAAAGAGTGTTTCAAGTCCGCTCTGTGTAAAGGATCATTGAACTCTGTGAGTTTAATACACTCAACACAAGGAAGTTACTGAGAATTCTTCTGTCTAGCCTTATATGAAAAAAACCCGTTTCCAACGAAGGCCTCAAAGAGGTCTGAATATACACTTGTAGACTTTACAAACAGAGTGTTTCCTAACTGCTCTATGAAAAGAAAGGTTAAACTCTGTGAGTTAAACGCACACATCACAAAGCAGTTTCTGAGAATCATTCTGTCTAGTTTTTATACGAAGATATTTCCTTTTCTACCATTGACCTCAAAGCGGCTGAAATCTCGACTTGCAAATTCCACAAAAAGAGTGTTTCAAGTCTGCTCTGTGTAAAGGATCGTTCAACTCTGTGAGTTGAATACACACAACACAAGGAAGTTACTGAGAATTCTTCTGTCTAGCATAGTATGAAGAAATCCCGTTTCCAAAGAAGGCCTCAATGAGGTCTGAATATCCACTTGCAGAGTTTACAAACAGAGTGTTTCCTAACTGCTCTATGAAAAGAAAGGTTAAACTCTGTGAGTTGAACGCACACATCACAAGGAAGATTCTGAGAATCGTTCTGTCTAGTTTTTATACGAAGATATTCCCTTTTCTGCCATTGACCTCAAAGCAGCTGAAATCACCACTTGCCAATTGCACAAAAAGAGTGTTTCAAATCTGCTCTGTCTAAGGGAACGTTCAACTCTGTGAGTTGAATGTACACAACACAAGGAAGTTACTGGGAATTCTTCTGTCTAGCCTTACAAGAAAAAAACCCGTTTCCAACGAAGGCCTCTAAATGGTCAAAATATCCACGTGCAGACTTTACAAACAGAGTGTTTCCAAACTGCTGAATGAAAAGAAAAGTTAAACTCTGAGAGTTGAACGCACACATCGCAGAGCAGTTTCTGAGAATCATTCTGTCTAGTTTTGAAACGAAGATATTTCCTTTTCTGCCTTTGGCCTCAAAGCGCTTGAAATCTCCACTTGCAAATTCCACAAAAAGAGTGTTTCAAATCTGCTTTGTGTAAATGAAAGTTCAACTCTGTGAGTTGAACACACACAACACAAGGAAGTTACTGGGAATTCTTCTGTCTAGCATAATATTAAGAAATCCCGTTTCCAACGAAGGCCTCAAAGAGGTCTGAGTATCCACTTGCAGACTTTACAAACAGAGTGTTTCCTAACTGCTCTATGAAAAGAAAGGTTAAACTCTGTAAGTTGAATGCACACATCACAAAGGAGTTTCTGAGAATCATTCTGTCTAGTTTTTATACGAAGATATTTCCTTTTCTACCATGGACCTCAAAGCGGCTGAAATCTCCACTTGCAAATTCCACAAAAATAGTGTTTCAAGTCTGCTCTGTGTAAAGGATCGTTCAACTCTGTGAGTTGAATACACACAACACAAGGAAGATTCTGAGAATTCTTCTGTCTAGCAGAATATGAAGAAATCCCGTTTCCAACGAAGGCCACAAGATGTCAGAATATCCACTTACAGAATTGACAAACAGACTGTTTCCTAACTGCTCTATGAAAAGAAACGTTAAACTCTGTGAGTTGAACGAACACATCACAACGCAGTTTGTGGGAATGATTCTGTCTAGTTTTGAAACGAAGACATTTCCTTTTCTGCCATTGACCTTAAAGCGCTTGAAATCTCCATTTGCCAATTGCACAAAAAGAGTGTTTCAAATCTGCTCTGTCTAAGGGAACGTTCAACTCTGTGAGTTGAATGTACACAACACAAGGAAGTTACTGGGAATTCTACTGTCTAGCCTTACAGGAAAAAAACCCGTTTCCAACGAAGGCCTCTAAGTGGTCAAAATATCCACGTGCAGACTTTACAAACAGAGTGTTTCCAAACTGCTGAATGAAAAGAAAAGTTAAACTCTGAGAGTTGAACGCACACATCGCAGAGCAGTTTACTGAGAATGATTCTCTGTCTAGTTTTGAAACGGAGATATTTCCTTTTCTGCCTTTGGCCTCAAAGCGCTTGAAATCTCCACTTGCAAATTCCACAAAAAGAGTGTTTCAAATCTGCTCTGTGTAAATGAAAGTTCAACTCTGTGAGTTGAACACACACAACACAAGGAAGTTACTCGGAATTCTTCTGTCTAGCCTTATAGGAAAAAAAGCCCGTTTCCAATGAAGGCCTCAAAGAGGTCTGAATATCCACTTGCAGACTTTACAAACAGAGTGTTTCCTAACTGCTCTATGAAAAGAAAGGTTAAACTCTGTGAGTTGAACACACACATCACAAAGGAGTTTCTGAGAATCATTCTGTCTAATTTTTATAGGAAGATATTTCCTTTTCTACCTTTGACTTCAAAGCGGCTGAAATCTCCACTTGCAAATTCCACAAAAAGAGTGTTACAAGTCTGCTCTGTGTAAAGGATCGTTCAACTCTGTGAGTTGAATACACACAACACAAGGAAGTTAATGAGAATTCTTCTGTCTAGCATAATATGAAGAAATCCCGTTTCCAACGAAGGCCTCAAGGAGGTCTGAATATCCACTTGCAGACTTTACAAACAGAGTGTTTCCTAACTGCTCTCTGAAAAGAAAGGTTAAACTGTGTGAGTTGAACGCACACATCACAAAGGAGTTTCTGAGAATCATTCTGTCTAGTTTTTATACGAAGATATTTCCTTTTCTACCATTGACCTCAAAGCGGCTGAAATCACCACTTGCCAATTGCACAAAAAGAGTGTTTCAAATCTGCTCTGTCTAAGGGAACGTTCAACTCTGTGAGTTGAATGTACACAACACAAGGAAGTTACTGGGAATTCTTCTGTCTAGCCTTACATGAAAAAAACCCGTTTCCAACGAAGGCCTCTAAGTGGTCAAATTATCCACGTGCAGACTTTACAAACAGAGTGTTTCCAAACTGCTGAATGAAAAGCAAAGTTAAACTCTGAGAGTTGAACGCACACATCGCAGAGCACTTTCTGAGAATGATTCTGTCTAGTTTTCATACGAAGATGTTTCCTTTTCTGCCTTTGGCCCCAAAGCGCTTGAAATCTCCACTTGCAAATTCCACAAAAACAGTGTTTCAAAACTGCTCTCTCTAAATGAAAGTTCAACTCTGTCAGTTGAATACACACAACACAAGGAAGTTACTGAGAATTCTTCTGTCTAGCATAATATGAATAAATCCCGTTTCCAACGAAGGCCTCAAAGGGGTCTGAATATCCACTTGCAGACTTTATAAACAGAGTGTTTACTAACTGCTCTATGAAAAGAAAGGTTAAACTCTGTGAGTTGAACACACACATCACAAAGGAGTTTCTGAGAATCATTCTGTCTAGTTTTTCTACGAAGATATTTCCTTTTCTACTATTGACCCCAAAGCGGCTGAAATCTCCACTTGCAAATTCCACAAAAAGAGTGTTTCAAGTCTGCTCTGTGTAAAGGATCGTTCAACTCTGTGAGTTGAATACACAGAACACAAGGAAGTTACTGAGAATTCTTCTGTCTAGCAGAATATGAAGAAATCCCGTTTCCAACGAAGGCCACAAGATGTCAGAATATCCACTTACAGACTTTACAAACAGAGTGTTTCCTAACTGCTCTGTGAACAGAAAGGTTAAACTCTGTGAGTTGAACGAGCACATCACAACGCAGTTTGTGGGAATGATTCTGTCTAGTTTTGAAACGAAGATATTTCCTTTTCTGCCATTGACCTTAAAGCGCTTGAAATCTCCATTTGCCAATTGCACAAAAAGAGTGTTTCAAATCTGCTCTGTCTAAGGGAACGTTCAACTCTGTGAGTTTAATGTACACAACACAAGGAAGTTACTGGGAAATCTTCTGTCTAGCCTTACATGAAAAAAACCCGTTTCCAACGAAGGCCTCTAAGTGGTCAAAATATCCACGTGCAGACTTTACAAACAGAGTGTTTCCAAACCGCTGAATGAAAAGAAAAGTTAAATTCTGAGAGTTGAACGCACACATCACGCAGCAGTTTCTGATAATGATTCTGTCTAGTTTTTATACGAAGATATTTCCTTTTCTGCCTTTGGCCCCAAAGCGCTTGAAATCTCCACTTGCAAATTGCACAAAAATAGTGTTTCAAATCTGCTCTGTCTAAATGAAACTTCAACTCTGTCAGTTGAATACACACAACACAAGGAAGTTACTGAGATTTCTTCTGTCTAGCATAATATGAAGAAATCCCGTTTCCAACGAAGGCCTCAAAGGGGTCTGAATATCCACTTGCAGACTTTATAAACAGAGTGTTTACTAACTGCTCTATGAAAAGAAAGATTAAACTCTGTGAGTTGAACACACACATCACAAAGGAGTTTCTGAGAATCATTCTGTCTAGTTTCTATAAGAAGATATTTCCTATTCTACCATTGACCTCAAAGCGGCTGAAATCTCCACTTGCAAATTCGACAAAAAGAGTTTTTCTAGCCTGCTCTCTGTAAAGGATCCTTCAACTCTGTGAGTTGAATACACACAACACAAGGAAGTTACTGAGAATTCTTCTGTCTAGCAGAATATGAAGAAATCCCGTTTCCAACGAAGGGCCACAAGATGTCAGAATATCCACTTACAGACTTTACAAACAGAGTGTTTCCTAACTGCTCTATGAACAGAAAGGTTAAACTCTGTGAGTTGAACGAATACATCACAACGCAGTTTGTGGGAATGATTCTGTCTAATTTTGAAACGAAGATATTTCCTTTTCTGCCATTGACCTTAATGCGCTTGAAATCTACACTTGCAAATTGCACAAATAGAGTGTTTCAAATCTGCTCTGTCTAAGGGAACGTTCAACTCTGTGAGTTGAATGCACACAACACAAGGAAGTTACTGGGAATTCTTCTGTCTAGCCTTACATGCAAAAAACCCGTTTCCAACGAAGGCCTCTAAGTGGTCAAAATATCCACGTGCAGACGTTACAAACAGAGTGTTTCCAAACCGCTGAATGAAAAGAAAAGCTAAACTCTGAGAGTTGAACGCACACATCACGCAGCAGTTTCTGAGAATGATTCTGTCTAGTTTTTATACGAAGATATTTCCTTTTCTGCCTTTGGCCCCAAAGCGCTTGAAATCTCCACTTGCAAATTCCACAAAAACAGTGTTTCAAATCTTCTCTCTCTAAATGAAAGTTCAACTCTGTCAGTTGAATACACACAACACAAGGAAGTTACTGAGAATTCTTCTGTCTAGCATAATATGAAGAAATCCCGTTTCCAACGAAGGCCTCAAGGAGGTCTGAATATCCACTTGCAGACTTTACAAACAGAGTGTTTCCTATCTGCTCTATGAAAAGAAAGGTTAAACTCTGTGAGTTGAACGCACACATCACAAAGGAGTTTCTGAGAATCATTCTGTCTAGTTTTTATAGGAAGATATTTCCTTTTCTACCTTTGACTTCAAAGCGGCTGAAATCTCCACTTGCAAATTCCACAAAAAGAGTTTTACAAGTCTGCTCTGTGTAAAGGATCGTTCAACTCTGTGAGTTGAATACACACAACACAAGGAAGTTACTGAGAATTCTTCTGTCTAGCAGAATATGAAGAAATCCCGTTTCCAACGAAGGCCACAAGATGTCAGAATATCCACTTACAGAATTGACAAACAGACTGTTTCCTAACTGCTCTATGAAAAGAAAGGTTAAACTCTGTGAGTTGACCGAACACATCACAACGCAGTTTGTGGGAATGATTCTGTCTAGTTTTGAAACGAAGATATTTCCTTTTCTGCCATTGACCTTAATGCGCTTGAAATCTACACTTGCAAATTGCACAAATAGAGTGTTTCAAACCTGCTCTGTCCTAGGGAACGTTCAACTCTGTGAGTTGAATGCACACAACACAAGGAAGTTACTGGGAATACTTCTGTCTAGCCTTACATGCAAAAAACCATTTCCAACGAAGGCCTCTAAGTGGTCAAAATATCCACTTACAGACTTTACAAACAGAGTGTTTCCAAACCGCTGAATGAAAAGAAAAGTTAAACTCTGAGAGTTGAACGCACACATAACGCAGCAGTTTCTGAGAATGATTCTGTCTACTTTTGAAACGAAGATATTTCCTTTTCTGCCTTTGGCCTCAAAGCGCTTGAAATCTCCATTTGCAAATTCCACAAAAAGAGTGTTTCAAATCTGCTCTGTGTAAATGAAAGTTCAACTCTGTGAGTTGAATACACACAACACAAGGAAGTTACTGAGAATTCTTCTGTATAGCAGAATATGAAGAAATCCCGTTTCCAACTAAGGCCTCAAGGAGGTCTGAATATGCACCTGCAGACTTTACAAACAGAGTGTTTCCTAACTGCTCTATGAAAAGAAAGGTTAAACTCTGTGAGTTGAACGCAGACATCACAAAGGAGTTTCTGAGAATCACTCTGTCTAGTCTTTATACGAAGATATTTCCTTTTCTACCATTGACCTCAAAGCGGCTGAAATCTCCACTTGCAAATTCCACAAAAAGAGTGTTTCAAGTCTGCTCTGTGTAAAGGATCGTACAACTCTGTGAGTTGAATACACACAACACAAGGAAGTTACTGAGAATTCTTCTGTCTAGCAGAATATGAAGAAATCCCGTTTCCAACGAAGGCCACAAGATGTCAGAATATCCACTTACAGAATTGACAAACAGACTGTTTCCTAACTGCTCTATGAAAAGAAAGTTTAAACTCTGTGAGTTGAACGAACACATCACAACGCAGTTTGTGGGAATGATTCTGTCTAGTTTTGAAACGAAGATATTTCCTTTTCTGCCATTGACCTTAAAGCGCTTGAAATCTACACTTGCAAATTGCACAAATAGCGTGTTTCAATTCAGCTCTGTCTAAGGAAACGTTCAACTATGTGAGTTTAATGCACACAACACAAGGAAGTTACTGGGAATTCTTCTGTCTAGCCTTACAAGAAAAAAACCCGTTTCCAACGAAAGCCTCTAAATGGTCAAAATATCCACGTGCAGACTTTACAAACAGAGTGTTTCCAAACTGCTGAATGAAAAGAAAAGTTAAACTCTGGAGAGTTGAACGCACACATCGCAGAGCAGTTTCTGAGAATGATTCTGTCTACTTTTTATACGAAGATATTTCGTTTTCTGCCTTTGGCCCCAAAGCGCTTGAAATCTCCACTTGCAAATTCCACAAAAACAGTGTTTCAAATCTGCTCTCTCTAAATGAAAGTTCAACTCTGTCAGTTGAATACACACAACACAAGGAAGTTACTGAGAATTCTTCTGTCTAGCATAATATGAAGAAATCCCGTTTCCAACGAAGGCCTCAAAGAAGTCTGAATATCCACTTGCAGACTTTACAAACAGAGTGTTTCCTAACTGCTCTATGAGAAGAAATGTTAAACTCTGTGAGTTGAACGCACACATCACAAAAGATTTTCTGAGAATCATTCTGTCTAGTCTTTATACGAAGATATTTCCTTTTCTAACATTGACCTCAAAGCGGCTGAAATCTCCACTTGCAAATTCCACAAAAAGAGTGTTTCAAGTCTGCTCTGTGTAAAGGATCGTTCAACTCTGTGACTTGAATACACACAACACAAGGAAGTTTCTGAGAATTCTTCTGTCTAGCAGAATATGAAGAAATCCCGTTTCCAACGAAGGCCACAAGATGTCAAAATATCCACTTACAGACTTTACAAACAGAGTGTTTCCTAACTGCTCTATGAACAGAAAGGTTAAACTCTGTGAGTTGAACGAACACATCACAACGCAGTTTGTGGGAATGATTCTGTCTAGTTTTGAAAGGAAGATATTTCCTTTTCAGCCGTTGACCTTAAAGCGCTTGAAATCTACACTTGCAAATTGCACAAATAGGCTGTTTCAAATCTGCTCTGTCTAAGGGAACGTTCAACTCTGTGAGTTGAATGCACACAACACAAGGAAGTTACTGGGAATTCTTCTGTCTAGCCTTACATGAAAAAAACCCGTTTCCAACGAAGGACTCTAAGTGGTCAAAATATCCACGTGCAGACTTTACAAACAGAGTGTTTCCAAACCGCTGAATGAAAAGAAAAGTTAAACTCTGAGAGTTGAACGCACATATCGCGCAGCAGGTTCTGAGAATGATTCTGTCTAGTTTTTATACGAAGATATTTCCTTTTCTGCCTTTGGCCTCAAAGCGCTTGAAATCTCCACTTGCAAATTCCACAAAAGGAGTGTTTCAAATCTGCTCTGTGTAAATCAAAGTTCAACTCTGTGAGTTGAACACACACAACACAAGGAAGTTACTGGGAATTCTTCTGTCTAGCAGAACATGAAGAAATCCCGCTTCCAACGAAGGCCTCAAAGAAGTCTGAATATCCACTTGCAGACTTTACAAACAGAGTGTTTCCCAACTGCTCTATGAAAAGAAAGGTTAAACTCTGTGAGTTGAACGCACACATCACAAAGGAGTTTCTGAGAATCATTCTGTCTAGTTTCTATAGGAAGATATTTCCTATTCTACCATTGACCTCAAAGCGGCTGAAATCTCCAATTGCAAATTCCACAAAAAGAGTGTGTCAAGTCTGCTCTCTGTAAAGTATCGTTCAACTCTGTGAGTTGAATACACACAACACAAGGAAGTTACTGAGAATTCTTCTGTCTAGCAGAATATAAAGAAATCCCGTTTCCAACGAAGGCCACAAGATGTCAGAATATCCACTTACAGACTTTACAAACAGAGTGTTTCCTAACTGCTCTATGAACAGAAAGGTTAAACTCTGTGAGTTGAACGAACACATCACAACGCAGTTTGTGGGAATGATTCTGTCTAGTTTTGAAACGAAGATATTTCCTTTTCTGCCATTGACCTTAAAGCGCTTGAAATCTACACTTGCAAATTGCACAAATAGAGTGTTTCAAATCTGCTCTGTCTAAGGGAACGTTCAACTCTGTGAGTTGAATGCACACAACACAAGGAAGTTACTGGGAAATTCTTCCGTCTAGCCTTACATGAAAAAAACCCGTTTCCAACGAAGGCCTCTAAGTGGTCAAAATATCCACGTGCAGACTTTACAAACAGAGTGTTTCCAAACCGCTGAATGAAAAGAAAAGTTAAATTCTGAGAGTTGAGCGCACACATCACGCAGCAGTTTCTGAGAATGATTCTGTCTAGTTTTTATACGAAGATATTTCGTTTTCTGCCTTTGGCCGCAAAGCGCTTGAAATCTCCACTTGCAAATTCCACAAAAACAGTGTTTCAAATCTGCTCTCTCTAAATGAAAGTTCAACTCTGTGAGTTGAATACACACAACACAAGGAAGTTACTGAGAATTCTTCTGTCTAGCATAATATGAAGAAATCCCATTTCCAACGAAGGCCTCAAGGAGGTCTGAATATCCACTTGCAGACTTTACAAACAGAGTGTTTCCTAACTGCTCTATGAAAAGAAAGGTTAAACTCTGTGAGTTGAACGCAGACATCACAAAGGAGTTTCTGAGAATCACTCTGTCTAGTTTCTATAGGAAGATATTTCCTATTCTACCATTGACCTCAAAGCGGCTGAAATCTCCACTTGCAAATTCCACAAAAAGAGTGTTTCAAGTCTGCTCTGTGTAAAGCATCGTTCAACTCTGTGAGTTGAATACACACCACACAAGGAAGTTACTGGGAATTCTTCTGTCTAGCAGAATATGAAGAAATCCCGTTTCCAACGAAGGCCACAAGATGTCAGAATATCCACTTACAGAATTGACAAACAGACTGTTTCCTAACTGCTCTATGAAAAGAAAGGTTAAACTCTGTGAGTTGAACGCACACGTCACAATGAAGTTTCTGAGAATCATTCTCTCTAGTTTTGAAACGAAGATATTTCCTTTTCTGCCATTGACCTTAAAGCGCTTGAAATCTCCACTTGCCAATTGCACAAAAAGAGTGTTTCAAATCTGCTCTGTCTAAGGGAACGTTCAACTCTGTGAGTTGAATGTACACAACACAAGGAAGTTACTGGGAATTCTTCGGTCTAGCCTTACATGAAAAAATCCCGTTTCCAACGAAGGCCTCTAAGTGGTCAAAATATCCACGTGCAGACTTTATAAACAGAGTGTTTCCAAACTGCTGAATGAAAAGAAAAGTTACACTCTGAGAGTTGAACGCACACATCGCAGAGCAGTTTCTGAGAATCATTCTGTCTAGTTTTTATACGAAGATATTTCCTTTTCTGCCTTTGGCCTCAAAGCGCTTGAAATCTCCATTTGCAAATTCCACAAAAAGAGTGTTTCAAATCTGCTCTGTCTAAATGAAAGTTCAACTCTGTCAGTTGAATACACACAACACAAGGAAGTTACTGAGAATTCTTCTGTCTAGCAGAATATGAAGAAATCCCGTTTCCAACGAAGGCCTCAAGGAGGTCTGAATATCCACTTGCAGACTTTATAAACAGAGTGTTTCCTAACTGCTCTATGAAAAGAAAGGTTAAACTCTGTGAGTTGAACGCACACATCACAAAGGGAGTTTATGAGAATCATTCTGTCTAGTTTTCATACGAAGATATTTCCTTTTCTACCATTGACCTCAAAGCGGCTGAAATCTCCACTTGCAAATTCCACAAAAAGAGTGTTTCAAATCTGCTCTGTGTAAAGGATCGTTCAACTCTGTGAGTTGAATACACACAACACAAGGAAGTTATTGAGAATTCTTCTGTCTAGCAGAATATGAAGTAATCCCGTTTCCAGCGAGGCCACAAGATGTCAGAATATCCACTTACAGAATTTACAAACAGACTGTTTCCTAACTGCTCTATGAAAAGAAAGGTTAAATTCTGTGAGTTGAACAAACGCATCACAACGCAGTTTGTGGGAATGATTCTGTCTAGTTTTGAAACGAAGATATTTCCTTTTCTGCCATTGACCTTAAAGCGCTTGAAATCTCCACTTGCCAATTGCACAAAAAGAGTGTTTCAAATCTGCTCTGTCTAAGGGAACCTTCAACTCTGTGAGTTGAATGTACACAACACAAGGAAGTTACTGGGAATTCTTCTGTCTAGCCTTACAGGAAAAAAACCCGATTCCAAAGAAGGCCTCTAAGTGGTCAAAATATCCACGTGCAGACTTTACAAACAGAGTGTTTCCAAACTGCTGAATGAAAAGAAAAGTTAAACTCTGAGAGTTGAAGGCACACATCGCAGAGCAGTTTCTGAGAATGATTATGTCTAGTTTTTATACGAAGATATTTCCTTTTCTGCCTTTGGCCCCAAAGCGCTTGAAATCTCCACTTGCAAATTCCACAAAAACAGTGTTTCAAATCTGCTCTCTCTAAATGATAGTTCAACTCTGTCAGTTGAATACACACAACACAAGGAAGTTACTGAGAATTCTTCTGTCTAGCAGAATATGAAGAAATCCCGTTTCCAACGAAGGCCTCAAAGAGGTCTGAATATCCACTTGCAGACTTTAACAAACAGAGTGTTTCCTAACTGCTCTATGAAAAGAAAGGTTAAATTCTGTGAGTTAAACGCACACATCACAAAGGAGTTTCTGAGAATCATTCTGTCTAGTTTTTCTACGAAGATATTTCCTTTTCGACTATTGACCTCAAAGCGGCTGAAATCTCCACTTGCAAATTCCACAAAAAGAGTGTTTCAAGTCTGCTCTGTGTAAAGGATCGTTCAACTGCTGTGAGTTGAATACACACAACACAAGGAAGTTACTGAGAATTCTTTCTATCTAGCATAGTATGAAGAAATCCCGTTTCCAACGAAGGCCACAAGTTGTCAGAATATCCACTTACAGAATTTACAAACAGAGTGTTTCCTAACTGCTCTATGAAAAGAAAGGTTAAACTCTGTGAGTTGAACGAACACATAACAACGCAGTTTGTGGGAATGATTCTGTCTAGTTTTGAAACGAAGATATTTCCTTTTCTGCCATTGACCTTAAAGCGCTTGAAATCTACACTTGCAAATTGCACAAATAGAGTGTTTCAAATCTGCTCTGTCTAAGGGAACGTTCAACTCTGTGAGTTTAATGCACCCAACACAAGGAAGTTACTGGGAATTATTCTGTCTAGCCTTACATGAAAAAAACCCGTTTCCAACGAAGGCCTCAAAGAAGTCCAAATATCCACGTGCAGACTTTACAAACAGAGTGTTTCCTAACTGCTCTATGAAAAGAAAGGTGAGTTGAACGCACACATCACAAAGGAGTTTCTGAGAATCATTCTGTCTAGTTTTTATACGAAGATATTTCCTTTTCTGCCTTTGGCCTCAAAGCGCTTGAAATCTCCACTTGCAAATTCCACAAAAAGAGTGTTTCAAATCTGCTATTTGTAAAAGAAAGTTCAACTCTGTGAGTTGAACACACACAACACAAGGAAGTTACTGGGAATCCTTCTGTCTAGCATAATATGGAGAAATCCCGTTTCCAACGAAGGCCTCAAAGGGGTCTGAATATCCACTTGCAGACTTTATAAACAGAGTGTTTACTAACTGCTCTATGAAAAGAAAGGTTAAACTCTGTGAGTTGAACACACACATCACAAAGGAGTTTCTGAGAATCATTCTGTCTAGTTTTTATAGGAAGATATTTCCTTTTCTACCTTTGACTTCAAAGCGGCTGAAATCTCCACTTGCAAATTCCACAAAAAGAGTGATACAAGTCTGCTCTGTGTAAAGGATCGTTCAACTCTGTGAGTTGAATACACACAACACAAGGAAGTTACTGAGAATTCTTCTGTCTAGCAGAATATGAAGAAATCCCGTTTCCAACGAAGGCCACAAGATGTCAGAATATCCACTTACAGACTTTACAAACAGAGTGTTTCCTAACTTCTCTATGAACAGAAAGGTTAAACTCTGTGAGTTGAACGAACACATCACAACGCAGTTTGTGGGAATGATTCTGTCTAGTTTTGAAACGAAGATATTTCCTTTTCTGCCGTTGACCTTAAAGCGCTTGAAATCTACACTTGCAAATTGGACAAATAGAGTGTTTCAAATCTGCTCTGTCTAAGGGAACGTTCAACTCTGTGAGTTGAATGCACACAACACAAGGAAGTTACTGGGAATTCTTCTGTCTAGCCTTACATGAAAAAAACCCGTTTCCAACGAAAGCCTCTAAGTCGTCAAAATATCCACGTGCAGATTTACAAACAGAGTGTTTCCAAACTACTGAATGAAAAGAAAAGTTAAACTCTGAGAGTTGAACGCACACATCACAGAGTAGTTTCTGAGAATGATTCTGTCTAGTTTTTATACGAAGATATTTCCTTTTCTGCCTTTGGCCTCAAAGCGCTTGAAATCGCCACTTGCAAATTGCACAAAAAGAGTGTTTCAAATCTGCTCTGTGTAAATGAAAGTTCAACTCTGTGAGTTGAACACACACAACACAAGGAAGTTACTGGGAATTCTTCTGTCTAGCATAATATGAAGAAATCCCGTTTCCAACGAAGGCCACAAAGAGGTCTGAATATCCACTTGCAGACTTTACAAACAGAGTGTTTCCTCACTGCTCTATGAAAAGAAAGGTTAAACTCTGTGAGTTGAACGCACACATCACAAAGGAGTTTCTGAGAATCATTCTGTCTAGTTTTTATACGAAGATATTTCCTTTTCTACCACTGACCTCAAAGCGGCTGAAATCTCCACTTGCAAATTCCACAAAAAGTGTGTTTCAAGTCTGCTCTGTGTAAAGGATCGTTGAACTCTGTGAGTTGAATACACGCAACACAAGGAAGTTACTGAGAATCTCTCTGTCTAGCAGAATATGAAGAAATCCCGTTTCCAACGAAGGCCACAAGTATGTCAGCAATATCCACTTACAGACTTTACAAACAGAGTGTTTCCTAACTGCTCTATGAACAGAAAGGTTAAACTCTGTGAGTTGAACGAACACATCACAACGCAGTTTGTGGGAATGATTCTGTCTAGTTTTGAAACGAAGATATTTCCTTTTCTGCCATTGACCTTAAAGCGCTTGAATTCTACACTTGCAAATTGCACAAATAGAGTGTTTCAAATCTGCTCTGTCTAAGGGAACGTTCAACTCTGTGAGTTGAATGCACACAACACAAGGAAGTTACTGGGAATTCTTCTGTCTACCCTTACATGAAAAAAACCCGTTTCCAAAGAAGGCCTCTAAGTGGTCAAAATATCCACGTGCAGACTTTACAAACAGAGTATTTCCAAACTGCTGAATGAAAACAAAAGTTAAACTCTGAGAGTTCAACGCACACATCACAGAGCATTTTCTGAGAATGATTCTGTCTAGTTTTTATACGAAGATATTTCCTTTTCTGCCTTTGGCCTCAAAGCGCTTGAAATCTCCACCTGCAAATTCCACAAAAAGAGTGTTTCAAATCTGCTCTGTGTAAATGAAAGTTCAACTCTGTGAGTTGAACACACACAACACAAGGAAGTTACTGGGAATTCCTCTGTCTAGCATAATATGAAGAAATACCGTTTCCAACGAAGGCCTCAAAGGGGTCTGAATATCCACTTGCAGACTTTATAAACAGAGTGTTTACTAACTGCTCTATGAAAAGAAAGGTTAAACTCTGTGAGGTGAACACACACATCACAAAGGAGTTTCTGAGAATCATTCTGTCTAGTCTTTATATGAAGATAGTTTCCTTTTCTACCATTGACCTCAAAGCGGCTGAAATCTCCACTTGCAAATTCCACAAAAAGAGTGTTTCAAGTTTGCTCTGTGTAAAGGATCGTTCAACTCTGTGAGTTGAATACACACAACACAAGGAAGTTACTGAGAATTCTTCTGTCTAGCAGAATATGAAGAAATCCCGTTTCCAACGAAGGCCACAAGATGTCAGAATATCCACTTACAGACTTTACAAACAGAGTGTTTCCTAACTGCTCTATGAACAGAAAGGTTAAACTCTGTGAGTTGAACGAACACATCACAACGCAGTTTCTGGGAATGATTCTGTCTAGTTTTTATAGGAAGATATTTCCTTTTCTACCTTTGACTTCAAAGCGGCTGAAATCTCCACTTGCAAATTCCACAAAAAGAGTGTTACAAGTCTGCTCTGTGTAAAGGATCGTTCAACTCTGTGAGTTGAATACACACAACACAAGGAAGTTACTGAGAATTCCTCTGTCTAGCCTTACATGAAAAAAACCCGTTTCCAACGAAGGCCTCTAAGTGGTCAAATTATCCACGTGCAGACTTTACAAACAGAGTGTTTCCAAACTGCTGAAAGAAAAGAAAAGTTAAACTCTGAGAGTTGAACGCACACATCGCAGAGCAGTTTCTGAGAATGATTCTGTCTAGTTTTGAAACGAAGATATTTCCTTTTCTGCCTTTGGCCTCAAAGCGCTTGAAATCTCCACTTGCAAATTCCACAAAAAGAGTGTTTCAAATCTGCTCTGTGTAAATGAAAGTTCAATTCTGTGAGTTGAACACACACAACACAAGGAAGTTACTGGGAATTCTTCTGTCTAGCATAGTATGAAGAAATCCCGTTTCCAACGAAGGCCTCAAAGAGGTCTGTATATCCACTTGCAGAGTTTACAAACAGAGTGTTTCCTAACTGCTCTACGAAAAGAAAGGTTAAACTCTGTGAGTTGAACGCACACATCACAAAGGAGTTTCTGAGAATCATTCTGTCTAGTTTTTATACGAAGATATTTCCTTTTCTACCATTGACCTCAAAGCGGCTGAAATCTCCACTTGCAAATTCCACAAAAAGAGTGTTTCAAATCTGCTCTGTGTAAACCAGAGTTCAACTCTGTGAGTTGAATACACACAACACAAGGAAGTTACTGAGAATTCTTCTGTCTAGCAGAATATGAAGAAATCCCGTTTCCAACGAAGGCCACAAGATGTCAGAATATCCACTTACAGAATTTACAAACAGACTGTTTCGTAACTGCTCTATGAAAAGAAAGGTTAAACTCTGTGAGTTGAACGAACACATCACAACGCAGTTTGTGGGAATGATTCTGTCTAGTTTTAATACGAAGATATTTCCTTTTATACCATTGACCGCAAAGCGGCTGAAATCACCACTTGCCAATTGCACAAAAAGAGTGTTTCAAATCTGCTCTGTCTAAGGGAACGTTCAACTCTGTGAGTTGAATGTACACAACCCAAGGGAAGTTACTAGGAATTCTTCTGTCTAGCCTTACATGAAAAAATCCCGTTTCCAACGAAGACCTCTAAGTGGTGAAATTATCCACGTGCAGACTTTACAAACAGAGTGTTTCCAAACTGCTGAATGAAAAGAAAAGTTAAACTCTGAGAGTTGAACGCACACATCGCAGAGCTGTTTCTGAGAATGATTCTGTCTAGTTTTTATACGAAGATATTTCCTTTTCTGCCTTTGGCCTCAAAGCGCTTGAAATCTCCACTTGCAAATTCCACAAAAAGAGTGTTTCAAATCTGCTCAGTGTAAATCAAAGTTCAACTCTGTGAGTTGAACACACACAACACAAGGAAGTTACTGGGAATTCTTCTGTCTAGCAGAATATGAAGAAATCCCGTTTCCAACGAAGGCCTCAAAGAGGTCTGAATATCCACGTGCAGACTTTACAAACAGAGTGTTTCCTAACTGCTCTATGAAAAGAAAGGTTAAACTCTGTGAGTTGAACGCACACATCACAAAGGAGTTTCTGAGAATCATTCTGTCTAGCAGAATATGAAGAAATCCCGTTTCCAACGAAGGCCTCAAGGAGGTCTGAATATCCACTTGCAGACTTTACAAACAGAGTGTTTCCTAACTGCTCTATGAAAAGAAAGGTTAAACTCTTTGACTTGAACGCACACATCACAACGCAGTTTGTGGGAGTGATTCTGTCTAGTTTTGAAACGAAGATATTTCCTTTTCTGCCATTGACCTTAAAGCGCTTGAAATCTACACTTGCAAATTGCACAAATAGAGTGTTTCAAATCTGCTCTGTCTAAGGGAACGTTCAACTCTGTGAGTTGAATGCACAAAACACAAGGAAGTTACTGGGAATTCTTCTGTCTAGCCTTACATGAAAAAAACCCGTTTCCAACGAAGGCCTCTAAGTGGTCAAATTATCCACGTGCAGACTTTACAAACAGAGTGTTTCCAAACTGCTGAATGAAAAGAAAAGTTAAACTCTGAGAGTTGAATGCACACATCGCAGAGCAGTTTCTGAGAATGATTCTGTCTAGTTTTGAAACGAAGATATTTCCTTTTCTGCCTTTGGCTTCAAAGCGCTTGAAATCTCCACTTGCAAATTCCACAAAAAGAGTGTTTCAAATCTGCTCTGTGTAAATGAAAGTTCAACTCTGTGGGTTGAACACACACAACACAAGGAAGTTACTGGGAATTCTTCTGTCTAGCATAATATGAAGAAATCCCGTTTCCAACGAAGCCCTCAAGGAGGTCGGAATATCCACTTGCAGACTTTACAAACAGAGTGTTTCCTAACTGCTCTATGAAAAGAAAGGTTAAACTCTGTGAGTTGAACGCAGACATCACAAAGGAGTTTCTGAGAATCACTCTGTCTAGTTTTTATACGAAGATATTTCCTTTTCTACCATTGACCTCAAAGCGGCTGAAATCTCCACCCTGCCAATTCCACAAAAAGAGTGTTTCAAGTCTACTCTGTGTAAATGATCCTTTAACTCTGTGAGTTGAAAACACACAACACAACGAAGTTACTGAGAATTCTTCTGTCTAGCAGAATATGAAGCAAATCCCGTTTCCAACGAAGGCCACAAGCATGTCAGAATATCCACTTACAGAATTTACAAACAGACTGTTTCCTAACTGCTCTACGAAAAGAAAGGTTAAACTCTGTGAGATGAACGAACACATCACAACGCAGTTTGTGGGAATGATTCTGTCTAGTTTTGAAACGAAGATATTTCCTTTTCTGCCATTGACCTCAAAGCGCTTGAAATCTCCACTTGCCAATTGCACAAAAAGAGTGTTTCAAATCTGCTCTGTCTAAGGGAACGTTCAACTCTGTGAGTTGAATGTACACAACACAAGGAAGTTACTGGGAATTCTTCTGTCTAGCCTTACAGGAAAAAAACCCGTTTCCAACGAAGGCCTCTAAGTGGTCAAAATATCCACGTGCAGACTTTACAAACAGAGTGTTTCCAAACTGCTGAATGAAAAGAAAAGTTAAATTCTGAGAGTTGAACGCACACATCGCAGAGCAGTTTCTGAGAATGATCCTGTCTAGTTTTTATACGAAGATATTTCCTTTTCTGCCTTTGGCCGCAAATCGCTTGAAATCTACACTTGCAAATTCCACAAATACAGTGTTACAAATCTGCTCTCTCTAAATGAAAGTTCAACTCTGTCAGTTGAATACACACAACACAAGGAAGTTACTGAGAATTCTTCTGTCTAGCCTTATATGAAAAAAACCCGTTTCCAACGAAGGCCTCAAAGAGGTCTGAATATCCACTTGCAGACTTTACAAACAGAGTGTTTCCTAACTGCTCTATGAAAAGAAAGGTTAAACTTTGTGAGTTGAACGCACACATCACAAAGCAGTTTCTGAGAATCATTCTGTCTAGTTTTTCTACGAAGATATTTCCTTTTCTACTATTGACCTCAAAGCGGCTGAAATCTCCACTTGCAAATTCCACAAAAAGAGTGTTTCAAGTCTGCTCTGTGTAAAGGATCGTTCAACTCTGTGAGTTGAATATACACTACACAAGGAAGTTACTGAGAATTCTTCTGTCTAGCAGAATATGAAGAAATCCCGTTTCCAACGAAGGCCTCAAAGAGGTCTGAATATCCACTTGCAGACTTTACAAACAGAGTGTTTCCTAACTGCTCTATGAAAAGAAAGGTTAAACTCTGTGAGTTGAACGCACACATCACAAA
This sequence comes from Homo sapiens, assembly GCF_000001405.40. Lineage (NCBI taxonomy): Eukaryota > Metazoa > Chordata > Mammalia > Primates > Hominidae > Homo > Homo sapiens. Next base: position 123,451,480 of record NC_000001.11, on the reverse strand, counting down.
GGATTTTCTGAGAATCATTCTGTCTAGTTTTAAAACGAAGATATTTCCTTTTCTGCCATTGACCTTAAAGCGCTTGAAATCTACACTTGCAAATTGCACAAATAGAGTGTTTCAAATCTGCTCTGTCTAAGGGAACGTTCAACTCTGTGAGTTGAATGCACACAACACAAGGAAGTTACTGGGAATTCTTCTGTCTAGCCTTACATGAAAAAAACCCGTTTCTAACGAAGGCCTCTAAGTGGTCAAAATTTCCACGTGCAGACTTTACAAACAGAGTGTTTCCAAACCGCTGAATGAAAAGAAAAGTTAAACTCTGAGAGTTGAACGCACACATCACGCAGCAGTTTCTGACAATTATTCTGTCTAGTTTTTATACGAAGATATTTCCTTTTCTGCCTTTGGCCCCAAAGCGCTTGAAATCTCCACTTGCAAATTCCACAAAAACAGTGTTTCAAATCTGCTCTCTCTAAATGATAGTTCAACTCTGTCAGTTGAATACACACAACACAAGGAAAGTTACTGAGAATTCTTCTGTCTAGCATAATATGAAGAAATCCCGTTTCCAACGAAGGCCTCAAGGAGGTCTGAATATCCACTTGCAGACTTTACCAACAGAGTGTTTCCTAACTGCTCTATGAAAAGAAAGGTTAAACTCTGTGCGTTGAAAGCACACATCACAAAGGAGTTTCTGAGAATCATTCTGTCTAGTTTTTATACGAAGATATTTCCTTTTCTACCATGGTCCTCAAAGCGGCTGAAATCTCCACTTGCAAATTCCACAAAAAGAGTGTTTCAAGTCTGCTCTGTGTAAAGGATCGTTCAACTCTGTGAGTTGAATACACACAACACAAGGAAGATTCTGAGAATTCTTCTGTCTAGCAGAATATGAAGAAATCCCGTTTCCAACGAATGCCACAAGATGTCAGAATATCCACTTACAGAATTGACAAACAGACTGTTTCCTAACTGCTCTATGAAAAGAAAGGTTAAACTCTGTGAGTTGAGCGAACACATCACAACGCTGTTTGTGGGAATGATTCTGTCTAGTTTTGAAACGAAGATATTTCCTTTTCTGCCATTGACCTTAAAGCGCTTGAAATCTACACTTGCAAATTGCACAAATAGAGTGTTTCAAATCTGCTCTGTCTAAGGGAACGTTCAAGTCTGTGAGTTGAATGCACACAACACAAGGAAGTTACTGGGAATTCTTCTGTCTAGCCTTACAAGAAAAAAACCCGTTTCCAAAGAAGGCATCTAAGTGGTCAAAATATCCACGTGCAGACTTTACAAACAGAGTGTTTCCGAACTGCTGAATGAAAAGAAAAGTTAAACTCTGAGAGTTGAACGCACACATCGCAGAGCAGTTTCTGAGAATGATTCTGTCTAGTTTTTATACGAAGATATTTCCTTTTCTACCATTGACCTCAACGCACCTGAAATCTCCGCTTGCAAATTCCACAAAAAGAGTGTTTCCAGTCCGCTCTGTGTAAAGGATCGTTCAACTCTGTGAGTTGAATACACACAACACAAGGAAGTTACTGAGAATTCTTCTGTCTAGCACAGTATGAAGAAATCCCGTTTCCAACGAAGGCCTCAAAGAGGTCTGAATATCCACTTGCAGACTTTACAAACAGAGTGTTTCCTAACTGCTCTATGAAAAGAAAGGTTAAACTCTGTGAGTTGAACGCACACATCACAAAGAAGTTTCTGAGAAACATTCTGTCTAGTTTTTATAGGAAGATATTTCCTTTTCTACCTTTGACTTCAAAGCGGCTGAAATCTCCACTTGCGAATTCCACAAAAAGAGTGTTACAAGTCTGCTCTGTGTAAAGGATCGTTCAACTCTGTGAGTTGAATACACACAACACAAGGAAGTTACTGAGAATTCTTCTGTCTAGCAGAATATGAAGAAATCCCGTTTCCAACGAAGGCCACAAGATGTCAGAATATCCACTTACAGACTTTACAAACAGTGTGTTTCCTAACTGCTCTATGAACGGAAAGGTTAAACTCTGTGAGTTGAACGAACACATCACAACGCAGTTTGTGGGAATGATTCTGTCTAGTTTTGAAACGAAGATATTTCCTTTTCTGCCATTGACCTTAAAGCGCTTGAAATCTACACTTGCAAATTGCACAAATAGAGTGTTTCAAATCTGCTCTGTCTAAGGGAACGTTCAACACTGTGAGTTGAATGCACACAACACAAGGAAGTTACTGGGAATTCTTCTGTCTAGCCTTACAGGAAAAAAACCCGTTTCCAACGAAGGCCTCTAAGTGGTCAAAATATCCACGTGCAGACTTTACAACCAGAGTGTTTCCAAACTGCTGAATGAAAAGAAAAGTTAAACTCTGAGAGTTGAACGCACACATCGCAGAGCAGTTTCTGAGAATGATTCTGTCTAGTTTTGAAATGAAGATATTTCCTTTTCTGCCTTTGGCCTCAAAGCGCTTGAAATCTCCACTTGCAAGTTCCACAAAAAGAGTGTTTCAAATCTGCTCTGTGTAAATGAAAGTTCAACTCTGTGAGTTGGACACACACAACACAAGGAAGTTACTGGGAATTCTTCTGTCTAGCAGAATATGAAGAAATCCCGTTTCCAACGAAAGCCTCAAAGATGTCTGAATATCCACTTGCAGACTTTACAAACAGAGTGTTTCCTAACTGCTCTATGAAAAGAAAGGTTGAACTCTGTGAGTTGAACGCACACATCACAAAGGAGTTTCTGAGAATCATTCTGTCTAGTTTCTATAGGAAGATATTTCCTATTCTACCATTGACCTCAAAGCGGCTGAAATCTCCACTTGCAAATTCCACAAAAAGAGTGTTTCAAGACTGTTCTGTGTAAAGGATCATTCAATTCTGTGAGTTGAATACACACAACACAAGGAAGTTACTGAGAATTCTTCTGTCTAGCAGAATGTGAAGAAATCCCGTTTCCAACGAAGGCCACAAGATGTCAGAATATCCACTTACAGAATTTACAAACAGACTGTTTCCTAACTGCTCTATGAAAAGAAAGGTTAAACTCTGTGAGTTGAACGAATACATCACAACGCAGTTTGTGGGAATGATTCTGTCTAGTTTTGAAACGAAGATATTTCCTTTTCTGCCATTGACCTTAAAGCGCTTGAAATCTCCACTTGCCAATTGCACAAAAAGAGTGTTTCAAATCTGCTCTGTCTAAGGGAACGTTCAACTCTGTGAGTTGAATGTACACAACACAAGGAATTTACTGGGAAATCTTCTGTCTAGCCTTACAGGAAAAAAACCCGTTTCCAACGAAGGCCTCTAAGTGGTCAAAATATCCACGTGCAGACTTTACAAACAGAGTGTTTCCAAACTGCTGAATGAAAAGAAAAGTTAAACTCTAAGAGTTGAACGCACACATCGCAGAGCAGTTTCTGAGAATGATTCTGTCTAGTTTTTATACGAAGATATTTCCTTTTCTGCCTTTGGCCTCAAAGCGCTTGAAATCTCCACTTGCAAATTCCACAAAAAGAGTGTTTCAAATCTGCTCTGTGTAAATCAAAGTTCAACTGTGTGAGTTGAACACACACAACACAAGGAAGTTACTGGGAATACTTGTGTCTAGCATAATATGAAGAAATCCCGTTTCCAAAGAAGGCCTCAAGGAGGTCTGAATATCCACTTGCAGACTTTACAAACAGAGTGTTTCCTAACTGCTCTATGAAAAGAAAGGTTAAACTCTGTGAGATGAACGCACACATCACAAAGGAGTTTCTCAGAATCATTCTGTCTAGTTTGTATAAGAAGATATTTCCTATTCTACCATTGACCTCAAAGCGGCTGAAATCTCCACTTGCAAATTCGACAAAAAGAGTCTTTCAAGCCTGCTCTCTGTAAAGGATCCTTCAACTCTGTGAGTTGAATACACACAACACAAGGAAGTTACTGAGAATTATTCTGTCTAGCATAATATGAAGAAATCCCGTTTCCAACGAAGGCCTCAAAGAGGTCTGAATATCCACTTGCAGACTTTACAAACAGAGTGTTTCCTAACTGCTCTATGAGAAGAAAAGTTAAACTCTGTGAGTTGAACGCACACATCACAAAAGATTTTCTTAGAATCATTCTGTCTAGTTTTGAAACGAAGATATTTCCTTTTCTGCCATTGACCTTAAAGCGCTTGAAATCTACACTTGCCAATTGCACAAATAGAGTGTTTCAAATCTGCTCTGTCTAAGGGAACGTTCAACTCTGTGAGTTGAATGCACACAACACAAGGAAGTTACTGGGAATTCTTCTGTCTAGACCTTACATGAAAAAAACCCGTTTCCAACGAAGGCCTCTAAGTGGTCAAATTATCCACGTGCAGACTTTACAAACAGAGTGTTTCCAAACTGCTGAAGGAAAAGAAAAGTTAAACTCTGAGAGTTGAACGCACACATCGCAGAGCAGTTTCTGAGAATGATTCTGTCTAGTTTTTATACGAAGATATTTCCTTTTCTGCCTTTGGCCTCAAAGCGCTTGAAATCTCCATTTGCAAATTCCACAAAAAGAGTGTTTCAAATCTGCTCTGTGTAAATGAAAGTTCAACTCTGTCAGTTGAATACACACAACACAAGGTAAGTTACTGAGAATTCTTCTGTCTAGCATAGTATGAAGAAATCCCGTTTCCAACGAAGGCCTCAAAGAGGTCTGAATATCCACTTGCAGAGTTTACAAACAGAGTGTTTCCTAACTGCTCTATGAAAAGAAAGGTTAAACTCTGTGAGTTGAACGCACACATCACAAGGAAGTTTCTGAGAATCATTCTGTCTAGTTTTTATACGAAGATATTTCCTTTTCTACCTTTGACTTCAAAGCGGCTGAAATCTCCACTTGCAAATTCCACAAAAAGAGTGTTACAAGTCTGCTCTGTGTAAAGGATCGTTCAACTCTGTGAGTTGAATACACACAACACAAGGAAGTTACTGAGAATTCTTCTGTCTAGCATAGTATGAAGAAATCCCGTTTCCAACGAAGGCCACAAAGAGGTCTGAATATCCACTTGCAGAGTTTACAAACAGAGTGTTTCCTAACTGCTCTATGAAAAGAAAGGTTAAACTCTGTGAGTTGAACGCACACATCACAAAGAAGTTTCTGAGAATCATTCTGTCTAGTTTTGAAACGAAGATATTTCCTTTTCTGCCATTGAACTTAAAGCGCTTGAAATCTCCATTTGCCAATTGCACAAAAAGAGTGTTTCAAATCTGCTCTGTCTAAGGGAACGTTCAACTCTGTGAGTTGAATGTACACAACACAAGGAAGTTACTGGGAATTCTTCTGTCTAGCATAATATGAAGAAATCCCGTTTCCAACGAAGACCTCAAAGAGGTCTGAATATCCACTGGCAGACTTTACAAACAGAGTGTTTCCTAACTGCTCTATGAGAAGAAAAGTTAAACTCCTGTGAGTTGAACGCACACATCACAAAAGATTTTCTGAGAATCATTCTGTCTAGTTTCTATAGGAAGATATTTCCTATTCTAACATTGACCTCAAAGCGGCTGAAATCTCCACTTGCAAATTCCACAAAAAGAGTGTTTCAAGTCTGCTCTGTGTAAAGGATCGTTCAACTCTGTGATTTGAATACACACAACACAAGGAAGTTACTGAGAATTCTTCTGTCTAGCATAATATGAAGAAATCCCGTTTCCAACGAATGCCTCAAGGAGGTCTGAATATCCACTTGCAGACTTTACAAACAGAGTGTTTCCTAACTGCTCTATGAAAAGAAAGGTTAAACTGTGTGAGTTGAACGCACACATCACAAAGGAGTTTCTGAGAATCATTCTGTCTAGTTTCTATAGGAAGATATTTCCTATTCTACCATTGATCTCAAAGAGGCTGAAATCTCCACTTGCAAATTCCACAAAAAGAGTGTTTCAAGTCTGCTCTGTGTAAAGGATCGTTGAACTCTGTGAGTTGAAAACACACAACACAAGGAAGTTTCTGAGAATTCTTCTGTCTAGCAGAATATGAAGAAATCCCGTTTCCAACGATGGCCTCAAAGAGGTCTGAATATCCACTTGCAGACTTTACAAACACAGTGTTTCCTAACTGCTCTATGAACAGAAAGTTTAAACTCTGTGAGTTGAACGAACACATCACAACGCAGTTTGTGGGAATGATTCTGTCTAGTTTTGAAACGATGATATTTCCTTTTCTGCCATTGACCTTAAAGCGCTTGAAATCTACACTTGCAAATTCCACAAAAAGAGTGTTTCAAGTCTGCTCTGTGTAAAGGATCGTTCAACTCTGTGAGTTGAATACACACAACACAAGGAAGTTACTGAGAATTCTTCTGTCTAGCAGAATATGAAGAAATCCCGTTTCCAACGAAGGCCTCAAACAGGTCTGAATATCCACTTGCAGACTTTACAAACAGAGTGTTTCCTAACTGCTCTATGAAAAGAAAGGTTAAACTCTGTGAGTTGAACGCACACATCACAAAGGAGTTTATGAGAATCATTCTGTCTAGTTTTCAAACGAAGATATTTCCTTTTCTGCCTTTGGCCTCAAACCGCTTGAAATCTCCACTTGCAAATTCCACAAAAAGAGTGTTTCAAATCTGCTCTGTGTAAATGAAAGTTCAACTCTGTGAGTTGAACACACACAACACAAGGAAGTTACTGGGAATTCTTCTGTCTAGCCTTATATGAAAAAAAACCCGTTTCCAACGAAGGCCTCAAAGAGGTCTGAATATCCACTTGCAGACTTTACAAACAGAGTGTTTCCTAACTGCTCTATGAAAAGAAAGGTTAAACTCTGTGAGTTGAACGCACACATCACAAAGGAGTTTCTGAGAATCATTCTGTCTAGTCTTTATACGAAGATATTTCCTTTTCTACCATTGACCTCAAAGCGGCTGAAATCTCCACTTGCAAATTCCACAAAAAGAGTGTTTCAAGTTTGCTCTGTGTAAAGGATCGTTCAACTCTGTGAGTTGAATACACACAACACAAGGAAGTTACTGAGAATTCTTCTGTCTAGCAGAATATGAAGAAATCCCGTTTCCAACGAAGGCCCCAAGATGTCAGAATATCCACTTACAGAATTTACAACAGAGTGTTTCCTAACTGCTCTATGAAAAGAAAGGTTAAACTCTGTGAGTTGAACGAACACATCACAACGCAGTTTGTGGGAATGATTCTGTCTAGTTCTGAAACGAAGATATTTCCTTTTCTGCCGTTGACCTTAAAGAGCTTGAAAACTACACTTGCAAATTGCACAAATAGAGTGTTTCAAATCTGCTCTGTCTAAGGGAACGTTCAACTTTGTGAGTTGAATGCACACAACACAAGGAAGTTCCTGGGAATTCTTCTGTCTAGCCTTACAGGAAAAAAACCCGTTTCCAACGAAGGCCTCTAAGGGGTCAAAATATCCACGTGCAGACTTTACAAACAGAGTGTTTCCAAACTGCTGAATGAAAAGAAAAGTTAAACTCTGAGAGTTGAACGCACACATCGCAGAGCAGTTTCTGAGAATGATTCTGTCTAGTCTTTTATACGAAGATATTTCCTTTTCTACCATTGACCTCAAAGCGGCTGAAATCTCCACTTGCAAATTCCACAAAAAGAGTGTTTCAAGTCTGCTCTGTGTAAAGGATCGTTCAACTCTGTGAGTTGAATACACACAACACAAGGAAGTTACTGAGAATTCTTCTGTCTAGCAGAATAGGAAGAAATCCCGTTTCCAACGAAGGCCTCAAAGAGGTCTGAATATCCACTTGCAGACTTTACAAACAGAGTGTTTCCTAACGGCTCTATGAAAAGAAAAGTTAAACTCTGTGAGTTGAACGCACACATCACAAAGGAGTTTCTGAGAATCGTTCTGTCTACTCTTTATACGAAGATATTTCCTTTTCTACCATTGACCTCAAAGCAGCTGAAATCTCCACAAGCAAATTCCACATAAAGAGTGTTTCAAGTCTGCTCTGTGTAAAGGATCGTTCAACTCTGTGAGTTGAATACACACAACACAAGGAAGTTACTGAGAATTCTTCTTTCTAGCAGAATATGAAGAAATCCCGTTTCCAACGAAGGCCTCAAGGAGGTCTGAATATCCACTTGCAGACTTTACAAACAGAGTGTTTCCTAACTGCTCTATGAAAAGAAAGGTTAAACTCTGTGAGTTGAACGCATACATCACAAAGGAGTTTATGAGAATCATTCTGTCTAGTTTTTATACGAAGATATTTCCTTTTCTACCATTGACCTCAAAGCGGCTGAAATCACCACTTGCCAATTGCACAAAAAGACTGTTTCAAATCTGCTCTGTCTAAGGGAACGTTCAACTCTGTGAGTTGAATGTACACAACACAAGGAAGTTCCTGGGAATTCTTCTGTCTAGCCTTACATGAAAAAAACCCGTTTCCAACGAAGGCCTCTAAGTGGTCAAATTATCCACGTGCAGACGTTACAAACAGAGTGTTTCCAAACTGCTGAATGAAAAGAAAAGTTAAACTCTGAGAGTTGAACGCACACATCGCAGAGCAGTTTCTGAGAATGATTCTGTCTAGTTTTTATACGAAGATATTTCCTTTTCTGCCTTTGGCCTCAAAGCGCTTGAAATCTCCACCTGTAAATTCCACAAAAAGAGTGTTTCAAATCTGCTCTGTGTAAATGAAAGTTCAACTCTGTGAGTTGAACACACACAACACAAGGAAGTTACTGGGAATTCTTCTGTCTAGCATAATATGAAGAAATCCCGTTTCCAATGAACGCCTGAAAGATGTCTGAATATCCACTTGCAGACTTTACAAACAGAGTGTTTCCTAACTGCTCTATGAAAAGAAAGGTTAAACTCTGTGAGTTGAACGCACACATCACAAAGGAGTTTCTGAGAATCATTCTGTCTAGTTTTTATACGAAGATATTTCCTTTTCTACCATTGACCTCAAAGCGGCTGAAATCTCCACTTGCCAATTCCACAAAAAGAGTGCTTTACGTCTGCTCTGTGTAAAGGATCGTTCAACTCTGTGAGTTGAATACACACAACACAAGGAAGTTACTGACAATTCTTCTGTCTAGGAGAATATGAAGAAATCCCGTTTCCAACGAAGGCCACAAGATGTCAGAATATCCACTTACAGAATTGACAAACAGACTGTTTCCTAACTGCTCTATGAAAAGAAAGGTTAAACTCTGTGAGTTGAACGAACACATCACAACGCAGTTTGTGGGAATGATTCTGTCTAGTTTTGAAACGAAGATATTTCCTTTTCTGCCGTTGACCTTAAAGCGCTTGAAATCTACACTTGCAAATTGGACAAATAGAGTGTTTCAAATCTGCTCTGTCTAAGGGAACGTTCAACTCTGTGAGTTGAATGCACACAACACAAGGAAGTTACTGGGAATTCTTCTGTCTAGCCTTACATGAAAAAAACTCGTTTCCAACGAAGGCCTCTAAGTGGTCAAATTATCCACGTGCAGACTTTACAAACAGAGTGTTTCCAAACTGCTGAATGAAAAGAAAAGTTAAACTCTGAGAGTTGAACGCACACATCGCAGAGCAGTTTCTGAGAATGATTCTGTCTAGTTTTGAAACGAAGATATTTCCTTTTCTGCCTTTGGCCTCAAAGCGCTTGAAATCTCCACTTTCAAATTCCACAAAAAGAGTGTTTCAAATCTGCTCTGTGTAAATGAAAGTTCAACTCTGTGAGTTGAACACACACAACACAAGGAAGTTAGTGGGAATTCTTCTGTCTAGCAGAATATGAAGAAATCCCGTTTCCAACGAAGGCCTCAAAGAGGTCTGAATATCCACTTGCAGACTTTACAAACAGAGTGTTTCCTAACTGCTCTATGAAAAGAAATGTTAAACTCTGTGAGTTGAACGCACACATCAGAAAGGAGTTTCTGAGAATCATTCTGTCTAGTTTGTATAGGAAGATATTTCCTATTCTACCATTGACCTCAAAGCGGCTGAAATCTCCACTTGCAAATTCCATAAAAAGAATGTTTCAAGTCTGCTCTGTGTAAAGGATCGTTCAACTCTGTGAGTTGAATACACACAACACAAGGAAGTTACTGAGAATTCTTCTGTCTAGCAGAATATGAAGAAATCCCGTTTCCAACGAAGGCCACAAGATGTCAGAATATCCACTTTCATACTTTACAAACAGAGTGTTTCCTAACTGCTCTATGAAAAGAAAGGTTAAACTCTGTGGGTTGAACGAACACATCACAACGCAGTTTGTGGGAATGATTCTGTCTAGTTTTGAAACGAAGATATTTCCTTTTCTGCCATTGAACTTAAAGCGCTTGAAATCTCCATTTGCCAATTGCACAAAAAGAGTGTTTCAAATCTGCTCTGTCTAACGGAACGTTCAACTCTGTGAGTTGAATGTACACAACACAAGGAAGTTACTGGGAATTCTTCTGTCTAGCCTTACAGAAAAAAAACCCGTTTCCAACGAAGGCCTCTAAGTGGTCAAAATATCCACGTGCAGACTTTACAAACAGAGTGTTTCCAAACTGCTGAATGAAAAGAAAAGTTAAACTCTGAGAGTTGAACGCACACATCGCAGAGCAGTTTCTGAGAATGATTCTGTCTAGTTTTTATACGAAGATATTTCCTTTTCTGCCTTTGGCCCCAAAGCGCTTGAAATCTCCACTTGCAAATTCCACAAAAACAGTGTTTCAAATCTGCTCTCTCTAAATGAAAGTTCAACTCTGTCATTTGAATACACACAACACCAAGGAAGTTACTGAGAATTCTTCTGTCTAGCATAATATGAAGAAATCCCGTTTCCAACGAAGACCTCAAGGAGGTCTGAATATCCACTTGCAGACTTTACAAACAGAGTGTTTCCTAACTGCTCTATGAAAAGAAAGGTTAAACTCTGTGAGTTGAACGCACACATCACAAAGGAGTTTCTGAGAATCACTCTGTCTAGTCTTTATACGAAGATATTTCCTTTTCTACCATTGACCTCAAAGCGGCTGAAATCTCCACTTGCAAATTCCACAAAAAGAGTGTTTCAAGTCTGCTCTGTGTAAAGGATCGTTCAACTTCTGTGAGTTGAATACACACAACACAAGGAAGTTACTGAGAATTCTTCTGTCTAGCAGAATATGAAGAAATCCCGTTTCCAACGAAGGCCACAAGATGTCAGAATATTCACTTACAGACTTTACAAACAGAGTGTTTCCTAACTGCTCTATGAACAGAAAGGTTAAACTCTGTGAGTTGAACGAACACATCACAACGCAGTTTGTGGGAATGATTCTGTCTAGTTTTGAAACGAAGAAATTTCCTTTTCTGCCATTGACCTTAAAGCGCTTGAAATCTACACTTGCAAATTGCACAAATAGAGTGTTTCAAATCTGCTCTGTCTAAGTGAACGTTCAACTCTGTGAGTTGAATGCACACAACACAAGGGAAGTTACTGGGAATTCTTCTGTCTAGCCTTACATGAAAAAAACCCGTTTCCAACGAAGGCCTCTAAGTGGTCAAAATATCCACGTGCAGACTTTACAAACAGAGTGTTTCCAAACCGCTGAATGAAAAAAAAAGTTAAACTCTGAGAGTTGAACGCACACATCACGCAGCAGTTTCTGAGAATGATTCTGTCTAGTTTTGAAATGAAGATATTTCCTTTTCTGCCTTTGGCCTCAAAGCGCTTGAAATCTCCACTTGCAAATTCCACAAAAAGAGTGTTTCAAATCTGCTCTGTGTAAATGGAAGTTCAACTCTGTGAGTTGAACACACACAACACAAGGAAGTTACTGGGAATTCTTCTGTCTAGCACAGTATGAAGAAATCCCGTTTCCAACGAAGGCCTCACAGAGGTCTGAATATCCACTTGCAGAGTTTACAAACAGAGTGTTTCCTAACTGCTCTATGAAAAGAAAGGTTAAACTCTGTGAGTTGAACGCACACATCACAAAGAAGTTTCTGAGAATCATTCTGTCTAGTTTTTATACGAATATATTTCCTTTTCTACCATTGACCTCAAAGCGGCTGAAATCTCCACTTGCAAATTCCACAAAAAGAGTGTTTCATATCTGCTCTGTGTAAACCATCGTTCAACTGTGTGAGTTGAATACACACAACACAAGGAAGATTCTGAGAATTCTTCTGTCTAGCAGAATATGAAGAAATCCCGTTTCCAACGAAGGCCACAAGATGTCAGAATATCCACTTACAGACGTTACAGAGTGTTTCCTAACTGCTCTATGAACAGAAAGGTTAAACTCTGTGAGTTGAACGAACACATCACAAGGCAGTTTGTGGGAATGATTCTGTCTAGTTTTGAAACGAAGATATTTCCTTTTCTGCCATTGAACTTAAAGCGCTTGAAATCTCCATTTGCCAATTGCACAAAAAGAGTGTTTCAAATCTGCTCTGTCTAAGGGAACGTTCAACTCTGTGAGTTGAATGTACACAACACAAGGAAGTTACTGGGAATTCTTCTGTCTAACCTTAGATGAAAAAAACCCGTTTCCAACGAAGGCCTCTAAGTGGTCAAAATATCCACGTGCAGACTTTACAAACAGAGTGTTTCCAAACCGCTGAATGAAAAGAAAAGTTAAACTCTGAGAGTTAAACGTACACATCACGCAGCAGTTTCTGAGAATGATTCTGTCTAGTTTTTATACGAAGATATTTCCTTTTCTGCCTTTGGCCCCAAAGCGCTTGAAATCTCCACTTGGAAATTCCACAGAAACAGTGTTTCAAATCTGCTCTCTCTAAATGAAAGTTCAACTCTGTGAGTTGAATACACACAACACAAGGAAGTTACTGAGAATTCTTCTGTCTAGCATAATATGAAGAAATCCCGTTTCCAACGAAGGCCTCAAAGGGGACTGAATATCCACTTGCAGACTTTATAAACAGAGTGTTTACTAACTGCTCTATGAAAAGAAAGGTTAAACTCTGTGAGTTGAACACAAACATCACAAAGGAGTTTCTGAGAATCATTCTGCCTAGTTTTTCTACGAAGATATTTCCTTTTCTACTATTGACCTCAAAGCGGCTGAAATCTCCACTTGCAAATTCCACAAAAAGAGTGTTTCAAGTCTGCTCTGTGTAAAGGATCGTTCAACTCTGTGAGTTGAATACACACAACACAAGGAAGTTACTGAGAATTCTCTGTCTAGCACAATGTGAAGAAATCCCGTTTCCAACGAAGGCCTCAAGGGGTCTGAATATCCACTTGCAGACTTTATAAACAGAGTGTTTACTAACTGCTCTATGAAAAGAAAGGTTAAACTCTGTGAGTTGAACACACACATCACAAAGGAGTTTCTGAGAATCATTCTGTCTAGTTTTTATAGGAAGATATTTCCTTTTCTACCTTTGACTTCAAAGCGGCTGAAATCTCCACTTGCACATTCCACAAAAAGAGTGTTACAAGTCTGCTCTGTGTAAAGGATCGTTCAACTCTGTGAGTTGAATACACACAACACAAGGAAGTTACTGAGAATTCTTCTGTCTAGCCTTACATGAAAAAAACCCGTTTCCAACGAAGGCCTCTCAGAGGTCAAAATATCCACGTGCAGACTTTACAAACATAGTGTTTCCAAACTGCTGAATGAAAAGAAAAGTTAAACTCTGAGAGTTGAACGCACACATCACCGAGCAGTTTCTGAGAATGATTTTGTCTAGTTTCTATAAGAAGATATTTCCTATTCTACCATTGACCTCAAAGCGGCTGAAATCTCCACTTGCAAATTCGACAAAAAGAGTGTTTCAAGCCTGCTCGCTGTAAAGGATCCTTCAACTCTGTGAGTTGAATACACACAACACAAGGAAGTTACTGAGAATTATTCTGTCTGGCAGAATATGAAGAAATCCCGTTTCCAACGAAGGCCTCAAAGACGTCTGAATATCCACTTGCAGACTTTACAAACAGAGTGTTTCCTAACTGCTCTATGAAAAGAAAAGTTAAACTCTGTGAGTTGAACGCACACATCACACAGGATTTTCTGAGAATCATTCTGTGTAGTTTCTATAGGAAGATATTTCCTATTCTACCATTGAACTCAAAGCGGCTGAAATCTCCACTTGCAAATTCCACAAAAAGAGTGTTTCAAGTCTGCTCTGTTTAAAGGATCGTTCAACTCTGTGAGTTGAATACACACAACACAAGGAAGTTACTGAGAATTCCTCTGTCTAGCAGAATATGAAGAAATCCCGTTTCCAACGAAGGCCACAAGATGTCAGAATATCCACTTACAGAATTTACAAACAGAGTGTTTCCTAACTGCTCTATGAAAAGATAGGTTAAACTCTGTGAGATGAACGAACACATCACAACGCAGTTTGTGGGAATGATTCTGTCTAGTTTTGAAACGAAGATATTTCCTTTTCTGCCATTGACCTTAAAGCGGTTGAAATCTCCACTTGCCAATTGCACAAAAAGAGTGTTTCAAATCTGCTCGGTCTAAGGGAACGTTCAACTCTGTGAGTTGAATGTACACAACACAAGGAAGTTACTGGGAATTCTTCTGTCTAGCCTTACATGAAAAAAACCCGTTTCCAACGAAGGCCTCTAAGTGGTCAAAATTTCCACGTGCAGACTTTACAAAGAGAGTGTTTCCAAACCGCTGAATGAAAAGAAAAGTTAAACTCTGAGAGTTGAACGCACACATCACGCAGCAGTTTCTGAGAATGATTCTGTCTAGTTTTTATACGAAGATATTTCCTTTTCTGCCTTTGGCCCCAAAGCGCTTGAAATCTCCACTTGCAAATTCCACAAAAACAGTGTTTCAAATCTGCTCTCTCTAAATGAAAGTTCAACTCTGTGAGTTGAATACACACAACACAAGGAAGTTACTGAGAATTCTTCTGTCTAGCATAATATGAAGAAATCCCGTTTCCAACGAAGGCCTCAAGGAGGTCTGAATATCCACTTCCAGACTTTACAAACAGAGTGTTTCCTAACTGCTCTATGAAAAGAAAGGTTAAACTCTGTGAGTTGAACGCACACATCACAAAGGAGTTTCTGAGAATCATTCTGCCTAGTTTTTCTACGAAGATATTTCCTTTTCTACTATTGACCTCAAAGCGGCTGAAATCTCCACTTGCAAATTCCACAAAAAGAATGTTTCAAGTCTGCTCTGTGTAAAGGATCGTTCAACTCTGTGAGTTGAATACACACAACACAAGGAAGTTACTGAGAATTCTTCTGTCTAGCAGAATATGAAGAAATCCCGTTTCCAACGAAGGCCACAAGATGTCCGAATATCCACTTACAGACTTTACAAACAGAGTGTTTCCTAACTGCTCTATGAACAGAAAGGTTAAACTCTGTGAGTTGAACGAACACATCACAACGCAGTTTGTGGGAATGATTCTGTCTAGTTTTGAAACGAAGATATTTCCTTTTCTGCCGTTGACCTTAAAGCGCTTGAAATCTACACTTGCAAATTGCACAAATAGAGTGTTTCAAATCTGCTCTGTCTAAGGGAACGTTCATCTCTGTGAGTTGAATGCACACAACACAAGGAAGTTACTGGGAATGCTTCTGTCTAGCCTTACATGAAAAAAACCCGTTTCCAACGAAGGCCTCTAAGTGGTCAAAATATCCACGTGCAGACTTTACAAACAGAGTGTTTCCAATCCGCTGAATGAAAAGAAAAGTTAAACTCTGAGAGTTGAACGCACACATCACGCAGCAGTTTCTGAGAATGATTCTGTCTAGTTTCTGTAGGAAGATATTTCCTATTCTACCATTGACCTCAAAGCGGCTGAAATCTCCAGTTGCAAATTCCACAAAAAGAATGTTTCAAGTCTGCTCTGTGTAAAGGATCGTTCAACTCTGTGAGTTGAATACACACAACACAAGGAAGTTACTGAGAATTATTCTGTCTAGCATAATATGAAGAAATCCCGTTTCCAACGAAGGCCTCAAAGAGGTCTGAATATCCACTTGCAGACTTTACAAACAGAGTGTTTCCTAACTGCTCTATGAAAAGAAAAGTTAAACTTTGTGAGTTGAACGCACCCATCACAAATGAGTTTATGAGAATCATTCTGTCTAGTTTTTATACGAAGATATTTCCTTTTCTACCATTGATCTCAAAGCGGCTGAAATCTCCACTTGCAAATTCCACGAAAAGAGTGTTTCAAGTCTGCTCTGTGTAAAGGATCGTTCAACTCTGTGAGTTGAATACACACAACACAAGGAGGTTACTGAGAATTCTTCTGTCTAGCAGAATATGAAGAAATCCCGTTTCCAACGAAGGCCACAAGATGTCAGAATATCCACTTACAGAATTTACAAACAGACTGTTTCCCAACTGCTCTATGAAAAGAAAGGTTAAACTCTGTGAGTTGCACACACACATCACAATGAAGTTTCTGAGAATCATTCTGTCTAGTTTTGAAACGAAGATATTTCCTTTTCTGCCGTTGACCTTAAAGCGCTTGAAATCTACACTTGCAAATTGGACAAATAGAGTGTTTCAAATCTGCTCTGTCTAAGGGAACGTTCAACTCTGTGAGTTGAATGCACACAACACAAGGAAGTTACTGGGAATTCTTCTGTCTAGCGTTACAGGAAAAAAACCCGTTTCCAACGAAGGCCTCTAAGTGGTCAAAATATCCACGTGCAGACTTCACAAACAGAGTGTTTCCAAACTGCTGAATGAAAAGAAAAGTTAAACTCTGAGAGTTGAACGCACACATCGCAGAGCAGTTTCTGAGAATGATTCTGTCTAGTTTTTATACGAAGATATTTCCTTTTCTGCCTTTGGCCTCAAAGCGCTTGAAATCTCCACTTGCAAATTCCACAAAATGAGTGTTTCAAATCTGCTCTGTGTAAATGAAAGTTCAACTCTGTGAGTTGAACACACACAACACAAGGAAGTTAGTGGGAATTCTTCTGTCTAGCAGAATATGAAGAAATCCCGTTTCCAACGAAGGCCTCAAGGAGGTCTGAATATCCACTTGCAGACTTTACAAACAGAGTGTTTCCTAACTGCTCTATGAACAGAAAGGTTAAACTCTGTGAGTTGAACGCACACATCACAAAGGAGTTTCTGAGAATCGTTCTGTCTAGTTTTTATATGAAGATATTTCCTTTTCTACCATTGACCTCAAAGCGGCTGAAATCTCCACTTACAAATTCCACAAAAAGAGTGTCTCAAGTCTGCTCTGTGTAAACGATCGTTCACATCTGTGAGTTGAATACACACAACACAAGGAAGTTTCTGAGAATTCTTCTGTCTAGCAGAATATGAAGAAATCCCGTTTCCAACGAAGGCCTCAAGGAGGTCTGAATATCCACTTGCAGACTTTACAAACAGAGTGTTTCCTAACTGCTCTATGAACAGAAAGGTTAAACTCTGTGAGTTGAACGAACACATCACAACGAGTTTGTGGGAATGATTCTGTCTAGTTTTGAAACGAAGATATATCCTTTTCTGCCGTTGACCTTAAAGCGCTTGAAATCTACACTTGCAAATTACACAAATAGAGTGTTTCAAATCTGCTCTGTCTAAGGGAACGTTCAACTCTGTGAGTTGAATGCACACAACACAAGGAAGTTACTGGGAATTCTTCTGTCTAGCCTTACAGGAAAAAAACCCGTTTCCAACGAAGGCCTCTAAGTGGTCAAAATATCCACGTGCAGACTTTACAAACAGAGTGTTTCCCAAACTGGTGAATGAAAAGAAAGGTTAAACTCTGTGAGTTGAACGCACACATCACAAAGGAGTTTCTGAGAATCATTCTGTCTAGTTTCTATAGGAAGATATTTCCTATTCTACCATTGACCTCAAAGCGGCAGAAATCTCCACTTGCAAATTCCACAAAAAGAATGTTTCAAGTCTGCTCTGTGTAAAGGATCGTTCAACTCTGTGAGTTGAATACACACAACACAAGGAAGTTACTGAGAATTATTCTGTCTAGCAGAATATGAAGAAATCCCGTTTCCAACGAAGGCCTCAAAGAGGTCTGAATATCCACTTGCAGACTTTACAAACAGAGTGTTTCCTAACTGCTCTATGAAAAGAAAAGTTAAACTCTGTGAGTTGAACGCACACATCACAAAGGAGTTTCTGAGAATCATTCTGTCTAGTTTCTATAGGAAGATATTACCTATTCTACCATTGACCTCAAAGCGGCTGAAGTCTCCACTTGCAAATTCCACAAAAAGACTGTTTCAAGTCTGCTCTGTGTAAAGGATCGTTCAACTCTGTGAGTTGAATACACAGAACACAAGGAAGTTACTGAGAATTCTTCTGTCTAGCAGAATATGAAGAAATCCCGTTTCCAACGAAGGCCTCAAGGAGGTCTGAATATCCACTTGCAGACTTTACAAACAGTGTTTCCTAACTGCTCTATGAAAAGAAAGGTTAAACTGTGTGAGTTGAACGCACACATCACAAAGGAGTTTCTGAGAATCATTCTGTCTAGTTTTGAAACGAAGATATTTCCTTTTCTGCCTTTGACCTTAAAGCGCTTGAAATCTCCACTTGCCAATTGCACAAAAAGAGTGTTTCAAATCTGCTCTGTCTAAGGGAACGTTCAACTCTGTGAGTTGAATGTACACAACACAAGGAAGTTACTGGGAATTCTTCTGTCTAGCCTTACAGGAAAAAAACACGTTTGCAACGAAGGCCTCTAAGTGGTCAAAATATCCACGTGCAGACTTTACAAACAGAGTGTTTCCAAACTGCTGAATGAAAAGAAAAGTTAAACTCTGAGAGTTGAACGCACACATCGCAGAGCAGTTTCTGAGAATGATTCTGTCTAGTTTCTATAAGAAGATATTTCCTATTCTACCATTGACCTCAAAGCGGCAGAAATCTCCACTTGCAAATTCGACAAAAAGAGTGTTTCAAGCCTGCTCTCTGTAAAGGATCCTTCAACTCTGTGAGTTGAATACACACAACACAAGGAAGTTACTGAGAATTATTCTGTCTAGCATAATATGAAGAAATCCCGTTTCCAACGAAGGCCTCAAAGAGGTCTGAATATCCACTTGCAGACTTTACAAACAGAGTGTTTCCTAACTGCTCTATAAGAAGAAAAGTTAAACTCTGTGAGTTGAACGCACACATCACAAAAGATTTTCTGAGAATCATTCTGTCTAGTTTTTATACGAAGATATTTCCTTTTCTACCATTGACCTCAAAGCGGCTGAAATCTCCCCTTGCAAATTCCACAAAAAGAGTGTTTCAAGTCTGCTCTGTGTAAATGATCATTGAACTCTGTGAGTTGAATACACACAACACAAGGAAGTTACTGAGAATTCTTCTGTCTAGCAGAATATGAAGAAATCCCGTTTCCAACGAAGGCCACAAGATGTCAGAATATCCACTTACAGACTTTACAAACAGAGTGTTTCCTAACTGCTCTATGAACAGAAAGGTTAAACCCTGTGAGTTGAACGAACACATCACAACGCAGTTTGTGGGAATGATTCTGTCTAGTTTTGAAACGAAGATATTTCCTTTTCTGCCATTGACCTTAAAGCGCTTGAAATCTACACTTGCAAATTGCACAAATAGAGTGTTTCAAATCTGCTCTGTCTAAGCGAACGTTCATCTCTGTGAGTTGAATGCACACAACAAAAGGAAGTTACTGGGAATTCTTCTGTCTACCCTTACATGAAAAAAACCCGTTTCCAACGAAGGCCTCTAAGTGGTCAAAATATCCACGTGCAGACTTTACAAACAGAGTGTTTCCAAACCGCTGAATGAAAAGAAAAGTTAAACTCTGAGAGTTGAACGCACACATCACGCAGCAGTTTCTGAGAATGATTCTGTCTAGTTTTTATACGAAGATATTTCCTTTTCTGCCATTGGCCCCAAAGCGCATGAAATCTCCAAGTGCAAATTCCACAAAAACAGTGTTTCAAATCTGCTCTCTCTAAATGAAAGTTCAACTCTGTCAGTTGAATACACACAACACAAGGAAGTTACTGAGAATTCTTCTGTCTAGCCTTACAGGAAAAAAACCCGTTTCCAACGAAGGCCTCAAAGAGGTCTGAATATCCACGTGCAGTCTTTACAAACAGAGTGTTTCCTAACTGCTCTATGAAAAGAAAGTTTTAACTCTGTGAGTTGAACGCACACATCACAAAGAAGTTTCTGAGAATCATTCTGTCTAGTTTCTATAGGAAGATATTTCCTATTCTACCATTGAACTCAAAGCGGCTGAAATCTCCACTTGCAAATTCCACAAAAAGAGTGTTTCAAGTCTGCTCTGTGTAAAGGATCGTTCAACTCTGTGAGTTGAATACACACAACACAAGGAAGTTATTGAGAATTCTTCTGTCTAGCAGAATATGAAGAAATCCCGTTTCCAACGAAGGCCTCAAGGAGGTCTGAATGTCCACTTGCAGACTTTACAAACAGAGTGTTTCCTAACTGCTCTATGAAAAGAAAGGTGAAACTCTGTGAGTTGAACACACACATCACAAAGGAGTTTCTGAGAATCATTCTGTCTAATTTTTATATGAAGATATTTCCTTTTCAACCATTGATCTTAAAGCGGCTGAAATCTCCATTTGCAAATTCCACAAAAAGAGTGTTTCAAGTCTGCTCTGTGTAAAGGATCGTTCAAGTCTGTGAGTTGAATACACACAACACGAGGAAGTTACTGAGAATTCTTCTGTCTAGCAGAATACGAAGAAATCCCGTTTCCAACGAAGGCCTCAAAGAGGTCTGATTATCCCCTTGCAGACTTTACAAACAGAGTGTTTCCTAACTGCTCTATGAAAAGAAAGGTTAAACTCTGTGAGTTGAACGCACACATCACAAAGGAGTTTCTGAGAATCATTCTGTCTAGTTTTTATAGGAAGATATTTCCTTTTCTACCTTTGACTTCAAAGCGGCTGAAATCTCCACTTGCAAATTCCACAAAAAGAGTGTTACAAGTCTGCTCTGTCTAAGGGAAAGTTCAACTCTGTGAGTTGAATGTACACAACACAAGGAAGTTACTGGGAATTCTTCTGTCTAGCCTTACATGAAAAAAACCCGTTTCCAACGAAGGCCTCTAAGTGGTCAAAATATCCACGTGCAGACTTTACAGACAGAGTGTTTCCAAACCGCTGAATGAAAAGAAAAGTTAAACTCTGAGAGTTGAACGCACACATCACGCATCAGTTTCTGAGAATGATTCTGTCTAGTTTTTATACGAAGATATTTCCTTTTCTGCCCTTGGCCCCAAAGCCCTTGAAATCTCCACTTGCAAATTCCACAAAAACAGTGTTTCAAATCTGCTCTCTCTAAATGAAAGTTCAACTCTGTCAGTTGAATACACACAACACAAGGAAGTTACTGAGAATTCTTCTGTCTAGCATAATATGAAGAAATCCCGTTTCCAAAGAAGGCCTCAAAGAGGTCTGAATATCCACTTGCAGACTTTACAAACAGAATGTTTCCTAACTGCTCTATGAAAAGAAAAGTTAAACTCTGTGAGTTGAACGCACACATCACAAAGGAGTTTCTGAGAATCATTCTGTCTAGTTTTTATACGAAGATATTTCCTCTTCTACCATTGACCTCAACGCGGCTGAAATCTCCACTTGCAAATTCCACAAAAAGAGTGTTTCAAGTCTGCTCTGTGTAAAGGATCATTCAACTCTGTGAGTTGAATACACACAACACAAGGAAGTTACTGAGAATTCTTCTGTCTAGCACAGTATGAAGAAATCCCGTTTCCAACGAAGGCCTCAAGGAGGTCTGAATATCCACTTGCAGAGTTTACAAACAGAGTGTTTCCTAACTGCTCTATGAAAAGAAAGGTTAAACTCTGTGAGTTGAACGCACACATCACCAAGAAGTTTCTGAGAATCATTCTGTCTAGTTTTTATAGGGAGATATTTCCTTTTCTACCTTTGACTTCAAAGCGGCTGAAATCTCCACTTGCAAATTCCACAAAAAGAGTGTTACAAGTCTGCTCTGTGTAAAGGATCGTTCAACTCTGTGAGTTGAATACACACAACACAAGGAAAGTTACTGAGAATTCTTCTGTCTAGCCTTACATGAAAAAAACCCGTT
Source organism: Homo sapiens (assembly GCF_000001405.40). Taxonomy (NCBI): domain Eukaryota; kingdom Metazoa; phylum Chordata; class Mammalia; order Primates; family Hominidae; genus Homo; species Homo sapiens. The sequence goes on along the minus strand of NC_000001.11, from coordinate 123,429,511 downwards.
TCCAACGAAGGCCTCTAAGTGGTCAAAATATCCACGTGCAGACTTTACAAACAGAGTGTTTCCAAACCGCTGAATGAAAAGAAAAGTTAAACTCTGAGAGTTGAACGCACACATCACAAAGGAGTTTCTGAGAATGATTCTGTCTAGTTTTTATACGAAGATATTTCCTTTTCTGCCTTTGGCCTCAAAGCGCTTGAAATCTCCACTTGCAAATTCCACAAAAAGAGTGTTTCAAATCTGCTCTGTGTAAATGAAAGTTCAACTCTGTGAGTTGAACACACACAACACAAGGGAAGTTACTGGGAATTCTTCTGTCTAGCCTTACATGAAAAAAACCCGTTTCCAACGAAGACCTCAAAGAAGTCCAAATATCCACCTGCAGACGTTACAAACAGAGTGTTTCCTAACTGCTCTATGAAAAGAAAGGTTAAACTCTGTGAGTTCAACGCCCACATCACAAAGGAGTTTCTGAGAAACATTCTGTCTAGTTTTTATACGAAGATATTTCCTTTTCTACCATTGACCTCAAAGCGGCTGAAATCTCCACTTGCAAATTCCAGAAAAAGAGTGTTTCAAGTCTACTCTGTGTAAAGCATCGTTCAACTCTGTGAGTTGAAGACACACAACACAAGGAAGTTTCTGACAATTCTTCTGTATAGCAGAATATGAAGAAATCCCGTTTCCAACGAAAGCCTCAAAGATGTCTGAATATCCACTTCCAGACTTTACAAACAGAGTGTTTCCTAACTGCTCTATGAAAAGAAAGGTTAAACTCCGTGAGTTGAACGCACACATCACAAAGGAGTTTCTGAGAATCATTCTGTCTAGTTTTGAAACGAAGATATTTCCTTTTCTGCCATTGACCTTAAAGCGCTTGAAATCTCCACTTGCCAATTGCACAAAAAGAGTGTTTCAAATCTGCTCTGTCTAAGGGAACGTTCAACTCTGTGAGTTGAATGTACACAACGCAAGGAAGTTACTGGGAATTCTTCTGTCTAGCCTTACAGGAAAGAAACCCGTTTCCAACGAAGGCCTCTAAGTGGTCAAAATATCCACGTGCAGACTTTACAAACAGAGTGTTTCCAAATTGCTGAATGAAAAGAAAAGTTAAACTCTGAGAGTTGAACGCACACATCGCAGAGCAGTTTCTGAGAATGATTCTGCCTAGTTTTTATACGAAGATATTTCCTTTTCTGCCTTTAGCCTCAAAGCGCTTGAAATCTCCACTTGCAAATTCCACAAAAAGAGTGTTTCAAATCTGCTCTGTGTAAATGAAAGTTCAACTCTGTGAGTTGAACACACACAACACAAGGAAGTTACTGGGAATTCTTCTGTCTAGCATAATATGAAGAAATCCCGTTTCCAACGAAGGCCTCAAGGAGGTCTGAATATCCACTTGAAGACTTTAAAAACAGAGTGTTTCCTAACTGCTCTATGAAAAGAAAGGTTAAACTCTGTGAGTTGAACGCACACATCACAAAGGATTTCTCAGAATCATTCTGTCTAGTTTTTCTACGAAGATGTTTCCTTTTCTACTATTGACCTCAAAGCGGCTGAAATCTCCACTTGCAAATTCCACAAAAAGAGTGTTTCAAGTCTGCTCTGTGTAAAGGATCGTTCAACTCTGTGAGTTGAATACACACAACACAAGGAAGTTACTGAGAATTCTTCTGTCTAGCAGAATATGAAGAAATCCCGTTTCCAACGAAGGCCTCAAGGAGGTCTGAATATCCACTTGCAGACTTTACAAACAGAGTGTTTTCTAACTGCTCTATGAACAGAAAAGTTAAACTCTGTGAGTTGAACGAACACATCACAACGCAGTTTGTGGGAATGATTCTGTCTAGTTTTTATAGGAAGATATTTCCTTTTCTACTTTTGACTTCAAAGCGGCTGAAATCTCCACTTGCAAATTCCACAAAAAGAGTGTTACAAGTCTGCTCTGTGTAAAGGATCGTTCAACTCTGTGAGTTGAATACACACAACACAAAGAAGTTACTGAGAATTCTTCTGTCTAGCCTTACATGAAAAAAACCCGTTTCCAACGAAGGCCTCTAAGTGGTCAAATTATCCACGTGCAGACTTTACAAACAGAGTGTTTCCAAACTGCTGAATGAAAAGGAAAGTTAAACTCTGAGAGTTGAACGCACAAATCGCAGAGCAGTTTCTGAGAATGATTCTGTCTAGTTTTTATACGAAGATATTTCCTTTTCTGCCCTTGGCCCCAAAGCGCTTGAAATCTCCACTTGCAAATTCCACAAAAACAGTGTTTCAAATCTGCTCTCTCTAAATGAAAGTTCAACTCTGTCAGTTGAATACACACAACACAAGGAAAGTTACTGAGAATTCTTCTGTCTAGCATAATATGAAGAAATCCCGTTTCCAACGAAGGCCTCAAAGGGGTCTGAATATCCACTTGCAGACTTTATAAACAGAGTGTTTACGAACTGTTCTATGAAAAGAAAGGTTAAACTCTGTGAGTTGAACACACACATCACAAAGGAGTTTCTGAGAATCATTCTGTCTAGTTTCTATAGGAAGATATTTCCTATTCTACCATTGACCTCAAAGCGGCTGAAATCTCCACTTGCAAATTTCACAAAAAGAGTGTTTCAAGTCTGCTCTCTGTAAAGGATCGTTCAACTCTGTGAGTTGAATACACACCACACAAGGAAGTTACTGAGAATTCTTCTGTCTAGCAGAATATGAAGAAATCCCGTTTCCAACGAAGGCCTCAAGGAGGTCTGAATATCCACTTGCAGACTTTACAAACAGAGTGTTTTCTAACTGCTCTATGAACAGAAAAGTTAAACTCTGTGAGTTGAACGAACACATCACAACGCAGTTTGTGGGAATGATTCTGTCTAGTTTTGAAACGAAGATATTTCCTTTTCTGCCATTGACCTCAAAGCGCTTGAAATCTCCACTTGCCAATTGCACAAAAAGAGTGTTTCAAATCTGCTCTGTCTAAGGGAACGTTCAACTCTGTGAGTTGAATGTACACAACACAAGGGAAGTTACTGGGAATTCTTCTGTCTAGCCTTACATGAAAAAAACCCGTTTCCAACGAAGGCCTCTAAGTGGTCAAAATTTCCACGTGCACACTTTACAAACAGAGTGTTTCCAAACCGCTGAATGAAAAGAAAAGTTAAACTCTGAGAGTTGAACGCACACATCACGCAGCAGTTTCTGAGAATGATTCTGTCTAGTTTTTATACGAAGATATTTCCTTTTCTGCCTTTGGCCTCAAAGCGCTTGAAATCTCCACCTGCAAATTCCACAAAAAGAGTGTTTCAAATCTGCTCTGTGTAAATGAAAGTTCAACTCTGTGAGTTGAACACACACAACACAAGGAAGTTACTGGGGAATTCTTCTGTCTAGCAGAATAAGAAGAAATCCCGTTTCCAACGAAGGCCTCAAGGAGGTCTGAATATCCACTTGCAGACTTTACAAACAGAGTGTTTCCTAACTGCTCTATGAAAAGAAAGGTGAAACTCTGTGAGTTGAATGCACACATCACAAAGGAGTTTATGAGAATCATTCTGTCTAGGTTTTATAGGAAGATATTTCCTTTTCTACCTTTGACTTCAAAGCGGCTGAAATCTCCACTTGCAAATTCCACAAAAAGAGTGTTACAAGTCTGCTCTGTGTAAAGGATCGTTCAACTCTGTGAGTTGAATACACACAACACAAGGAAGTTACTGAGAATTCTTCTGTCTAGCACAGTATGGAGAAATCCCGTTTCCAACGAAGGCCTCAAAGAGGTCTGAATATCCACTTGCAGAGTTTACAAACAGAGTGTTTCCTAACTGCTCTATGAAAAGAAAGGTTAAACTCTGTGAGTTGAACGAACACATCACAACGCAGTTTGTGGGAATGATTCTGTCTAGTTTTTATAGGAAGATATTTCCTTTTCTACCTTTGACCTCAAAGCGGCTGAAATCACCACTTGCCAATTGCACAAAAAGTGTTTCAAATCTGCTCTGTCTAAGGAAACGTTCAACTCTGTGGGTTGAATGTACAAAACACAAGGAAGTTACTGGGAATTCTTCTGTCTAGCCTTACAGGAAAAAAACCCGTTTCCAACGAAGGCCTCTAAGTGGTCAAAATATCCACGTGCAGACTTTACAAACAGAGTGTTTCCAAACTGCTGAATGAAAAGAAAATTTAAACTCTGAGAGTTGAACGCACACATCGCAGAGCAGTTTCTGAGAATGATTCTGTCTAGTTTTTATACGAAGACATTTCCTTTTCTGCCTTTGGCCCCAAAGCTCTTGAAATCTCCACTTGCAAATTCCACAAAAACAGTGTTTCAAATCTGCTCTCTCTAAATGAAAGTTCAACTCTGTCAGTTGAATACACACAACACAAGGAAGTTACTGAGAATTCTTCTGTCTAGCATAATATGAAGAAATCCCATTTCCAACGAAGGCCTCAAGGAGGTCTGAATATCCACTTGCAGACTTTACAAACAGAGTGTTTCCCAACTGCTCTATGAAAAGAAAGGTTAAACTCTGTGAGTTGAACGCACACATCACAAAGGAGTTTCTGAGAATCATTCTGTCTAGTCTTTATACGAAGATATTTCCTTTTCTACCATTGACCTCAAAGCGGCTGAAATCTCCACTTGCAAATTCCACAAAAAGAGTGTTTCAAGTCTGCTCTGTGTAAAGAATCGTTCAACTCTGTAAGTTGAATACACACAACACAAGGAAGTTACTGAGAATTGTTCTGTCTAGCAGAATATGAAGAAATCCCGTTTCCAACGAAGGCCACAAGATGTCAGAATATCCACTTACAGACTTTACAAACAGAGTGTTTCCTAACTGCTCTATGAACAGAAAGGTTAAACTGTGTGAGTTGAACGAACACATCACAACGCAGTTTGTGGGAATGATTCTGTCTAGTTTTGAAACGAAGATATTTCCTTTTCTGCCATTGACCTTAAAGCGCTTGAAATCTACACTTGCAAATTGCACAAATAGAGTGTTTCAAATCTGCTCTGTCTAAGGGAACGTTCAACTCTGTGAGTTTAATGCACCCAACACAAGGGAAGTTACTGGGAATTCTTCTGTCTAGCCTTACATGAAAAAAACCCGTTTCCAACGAAGGCCTCTAAGTGGTCAAAATATCCACGTGCAGACTTTACAAACAGAGTGTTTCCAAACCGCTGAATGAAAAGAAAAGTTAAACTCTGAGAGTTGGACGCACACATCACGCAGGAGTTTCTGAGAATGATTCTGTCTAGTTTTTATACGAAGATATTTCCTTTTCTGCCTTTGGCCCCAAAGCGCTTGAAATCTCCACTTGCAAATTCCACAAAAACAGTGTTTCAAATCTGCTCTCTCTAAATGAAAGTTCAACTCTGTCATTTGAATACACACAACACAAGGAAGTTACTGAGAATTCTTCTGTCTAGCCTTATATGAAAAAAACCCGTTTCCAACGAAGGCCTCAAAGAGGTCTGAATATCCACTTTCAGACTTTACAAACAGAGTGTTTCCTAACTGCTCTATGAAAAGAAAGGTTAAACACTGTGAGTTGAACGCACACATCACAAAGGAGTTTCTGAGAATCATTCTGTCTAGTTTCTATACGAAGATATTTCCTATTCTACCATTGACATCAAAGCGGCAGAAATCTCCACGTGTAAATTCCACAAAAAGAGTATTTCAAGACTGCTCTGTGTAAAGGATCCTTCAACTCTGTGAGTTGAATACACACAACACAAGGAAGTTACTGAGAATTCTTCTGTGTAGCATAATATGAAGAAATCCCGTTTCCAAAGAAGGCCTCAAATATGTCTGAATATCCACTTGCAGACGTTACAAACAGAGTGTTTCCTAACTGCTCTATGAAAAGAACGGTTAAACTCTGTGAGTTAAATGCCCACATAACAAAGGAGTTTCTGACAATCATTCTGTCTAGTTTTCATACGAAGATATTTCTTTTTCTACCATTGACCTCAAAGCGGCTGAAACCTCCACTTGCAAATTCCGCAAAAAGAGTGTTTCAAGTCTGCTCTGTGTAAAGGGTCGTTCAACTCTGAGAGTTGAATACACACAACACAAGGAAGTTTCTGAGAATTCTTCTGTCTAGCATAATATGAAGAAATCCCCTTTCCAAAGAAGGCCTCAAGGAGGTCTGAATATCCACTTGCAGACTTTACAAACAGAGTGTTTCCTAACTGCTCTATGAAAAGAAAGGTTTAACTCTGTGAGTTGAACGCACACATCACAAAGGAGTTTGTGAGAATCATTCTGTCTAGTTTCTATGGGAAGATATTTCCTATTCTACCATTGACCTCAAAGCGGCTGAAATCTCCACTTGCAAATTCCACAAAAAGAGTGTTTCAAGTCTGCTCTGTGTAAAGGATCGTTGAACTCTGTGAGTTGAATACACACAACACAAGGAAGTTACTGAGAATTCTTCTGTCTAGCATAATATGAAGAAATCCCGTTTCCAACGAAGGCCTTAAGGAGGTCTGAATATCCACTTGCAGACTTTACAAACAGAGTGTTTCCTAACTGCTCTATGAAAAGAAAGGTTAAACTCTGTGAGTTGAACGCACACATCACAAAGGAGTTTCTGAGAATCATTCTGTCTAGTCTTTATACGAAGATATTTCCTTTTCTACCATTGACCTCAAATCGGCTGAAATCTCCACTTGCAAATTCCACAAAAAGAGTGTTTCAAGTCTGCTCTGTGTAAAGGATCGTTCAACTCTGTGAGTTGAATACACACAACACAAGGAAGTTACTGAGAATTCTTCTTTCTAGCAGAATACGAAGAAATCCCGTTTCCAACGAAAGCCTCAAGGATGTCTGAATATCCACTTGCAGACTTTACAAACAGAGTGTTTCCTAACTGCTCTATGAAAAGAAAGGTTAAACTCTGTGAGTTGAACGCACGCATCACAAAGGAGTTTCTGAGAATCATTCTGTCTAGTTTCTATAGGAAGATATTTCCTATTCTACCATTGACCTCAAAGCGGCTGAAATCTCCACTTGCAAATTCCACAAAAAGAGTATTTCAAGTCTGCTCTGTGTAAAGGATCGTTTAACTCTGTGAGTTGAATAAACACAACACAAGGCAGTTACTGAGAATTCTTCTGACTAGCCTTACATGAAAAAAACCCGTTTCCAACGAAGGCCTCTAAGTGGTCAAAATATCCACGTGCAGACTTTACAAACAGAGTGTTTCCAAACCGCTGAATGAAAAGAAAAGTTAAACTCTGAGAGTTGAACGCACACATCACGCAGCAGTTTCTGAGAATGATTCTGTCTAGTTTTTATACGAAGATATTTCCTTTTCTGCCTTTGGCCTCAAAGCGCTTGAAATCTCCATTAGCAAATTCCACAAAAAGTGTGTCTCAAACCTGCTCTCTGTAAATGAAAGTTCAACTCTGTGAGTTGAACACACACAACACAAGGAAGTTACTGGGAATTCTTCTGTCTAGCCTTATATGAAAAAAACCCGTTTCCAACGAAGGCCTCAAAGAGGTCTGAATATCCACCTGCAGACTTTACAAACAGAGTGTTTCCTAACTGCTCTATGAAAAGAAAGGTTAAACTCTGTGAGTTGAACACACACATCTCAAAGGAGTTTCTGAGAATCATTCTGTCTAGTTTCTATAGGAAGATATTTCCTATTCTGCCATTGACCTCAAAGCGGCTGAAATCTCCACTTGCAAATTCCACAAAAGGAGTGTTTCAAGTCTGCTCTGTGTAAAGGATCGTTCAACTCTGTGAGTTGAAAACACACAACACAAGGAAGTTTCTGAGAATTCTTCTGTCTAGCAGAATATGAAGAAATCCCGTTTCCAACGAAGGCCACCAGGATGTCAGAATATCCACTTACAGAATTTACAAACAGAGTGTTTCCTAACTGCTCTATGAAAAGAAAGGTTAAACTCTGTGAGATGAACGAACACATCACAACGCAGTTTGTGGGAATGATTCTGTCTAGTTTTGAAACGAAGATATTTCCTTTTCTGCCATTGACCTTAAAGCGCTTGAAATCTCCACTTGCCAATTGCACAAAAAGAGTGTTTCAAATCTGCTCTGTCTAAGGGAACGTTCAACTCTGTGAGTTGAATGTACACAACGCAAGGAAGTTACTGGGAATTCTTCTGTCTAGCCTTACAGGAAAAAAACCCGTTTCCAACGAAGGCCTCTAAGTGGTCAAAATATCCACGTGCAGACTTTACAAACAGAGTGATTCCAAACTGCTGAATGAAAAGAAAAGTTAAAATCTGAGAGTTGAACGCACACATCGCAGAGCAGTTTCTGAGAATGATTCTGTCTAGTTTTGAAACGAAGATATTTCCTTTTCTGCCTTTGGCCTCAAAGCGCTTGAAATCTCCACTTGCAAATTCCACAAAAAGAGTGTTTCGAATCTGCTCTGGGTAAATGAAAGTTCAACTCTGTGAGTTGAACACACACAACACAAGGAAGTTACTGGGAATTCTTCTGTCTAGCATAGTATGAAGAAATCCCGTTTCCAACGAAGGCCTCAAAGAGGTCTGAACATCCACTTGCAGAGTTTACAAACAGAGTGTTTCCTAACTGCTCTATGAAAAGAAAGGTTAAACTCTGTGAGTTGAACGCACACATCACAAAGAAGTTTCTGAGAATCATTCTGTCTAGTTTTTCTACGAAGATATTTCCTTTTCTACTATTGACCTCAAAGCGGCTGAAATCTCCACTTGCAAATTCCACAAAAAGAGTTGTGTTCAAGTCTGCTCTGTGTAAAGGATCGTTCAACTCTGTGAGTTGAATACACACAACAGAAGGAAGTTACTGAGAATTCTTCTGTCTAGCAGAATATGAAGAAATCCTGTTTCCAACGAAGGCCACAAGATGTCAGAATATCCACTTACAGAATTGACAAACAGACTGTTTCCTAACTGCTCTATGAAAAGAAAGGTTAAACTCTGTGAGTTGAACGAACACATCACAACGCAGTTTGTGGGAATGATTCTGTCTAGTTTTGAAACGAAGATATTTCCTTTTCTGCCGTTGACCTTAAAGAGCTTGAAAACTACACTTGCAAATTGCACAAATAGAGTGTTTCAAATCTGCTCTGTCTAAGGGAACGTTCAACTCTGTGAGTTGAATGCACACAACACAAGGAAGTTACTGGGAATTCTTCTGTCTAGCCTTACATTAAAAAAAACCCGTTTCCAACGAAGACCTCTAAGTGGTCAAAATATCCACGTGCAGACTTTACAAACAGAGTGTTTCCAAACCGCTGAATGAAAAGAAAAGTTAAACTCTGAGAGTTGAACGCACACATCACGCAGCAGTTTCTGAGAATGATTCTGTCTTGTTTTTATACGAGGATATTTCCTTTTCTGCCTTTGGCCCCAAAGCGCTTGAAATCTCCACTTGCAAATTCCACAAAAACAGTGTTTCAAATCTGCTCTCTCCAAATGAAAGTTCAACTCTGTCAGTTGAATACACACAACACAAGGAAGTTACTGAGAATTCTTCTGTCTAGCATAATATGAAGAAATCCCGTTTCCAAAGAAGGCCACAAGGAGGTCTGAATATCCAGTTGCTGACTTTACAAACAGAGTGTTTCCTAACTGCTCTATGAAAAGAAAGGTTAAACTCTGTGAGTTGAACGCACACATCACAAAGGAGTTTCTGAGAATCATTCTGTCTAGTTTCTATAGGAAGATATTTCCTATTCTACCATTGAACTCAAAGCGGCTGAAATCTCCACTTGCAAATTCCACAAAAAGAGTGTTTCAAGTCTGCTCTGTGTAAAGGATCATTCAAATCTGTGAGTTGAATACACACAACACAAGGAAGTTACTGAGAATTCTTCTGTCTAGCAGAATATGAAGAAATCCCGTTTCCAACGAAGGCCTCAAGGAAGTCTGAATATCCACTTGCAGACTTTACAAACAGAGTGTTTCCTAACTTCTCTATGAAAAGAAAGGTTAAACTCTGTGAGTTGAACGAACACATCACAACGCAGTTTGTGGGAATGATCCTGTCTAATTTTGAAACGAAGATATTTCCTTTTCTGCCGTTGACCTTAAAGCGCTTGAAATCTACACTTGCAAATTACACAAATAGAGTGTTTCAAATCTGCTCTGTCTAAGGGAACGTTCAACTCTGTGAGTTGAATGCACACAACACAAGGAAGTTACTGGGAATTCTTCTGTCTAGCCTTACATGAAGAAAAACCGTTTCCAAAGAAGGCTTCTAAGTGGTCAAAATATCCACGTGCAGACTTTACAAACAGAGTGTTTCCAAACCGCTGAATGAAAAGAAAAGTTAAACTCTGAGAGTTGAACGCACACATCACGCAGCAGATTCTGAGAATGATTCTGTCTAGTTTTTATACGAAGATATTTCCTTTCCTGCCTTTGGCCCCAAAGCGCTTGAAATCTCCACTTGCAAATTCCACAAAAACAGTGTTTCAAATCTGCTCTCTCTAAATGAAAGTTCAACTCTGTCAGTTGAATACACACAACACAAGGAAGTTACTGAGAATTCTTCCGTCTAGCCTTACATGAAAAAAACCCGTTTCCAACGAAGGCCTCAAAGAAGTCCAAATATCCACGTGCAGACTTTACAAACAGAGTGTTTCCTAACGGCTCTATGAAAAGAAAGGTTAAACTCTGTGAGTTGAACGCCCACATCACCAAGGAGTTTCTGAGAATCATTCTGTCTAGTTTTTATACGAAGATATTTCCTTTTCTACCATGGACCTCAAAGCGGCTGAAATCTCCACTTGCAAATTCCACAAAAAGAGTGTTTCAAGTCTGCTCTGTGTAAAGGATCGTTCAACTCTGTGCGTTGAATACACACAACACAAGGAAGATTCTGAGAATTCTTCTGTCTAGCATAATATGGAGAAATCCCGTTTCCAACGAAGGCCTCAAAGAGGTCTGAATATCCACTTGCAGACTTTACACACAGAGTGTTTCCTAACTGCTCTATGAAAAGAAAAGTTAAACTCTGTGAGTTGAACGCACACATCACAAAGGAGTTTCTGAGAATCATTCTGTCTAGTTTTTATACGAAGATATTTCCTTTTCTACCATTGACCTCAAAGCGGCTGAAATCTCCACTTGCAAATTCCACAAAAAGAGTGTTTCAAATCTGCTCTGAGTAAACCATCGTTCAACTCTGTGAGTTGAATACACACAACACAAGGAAGATTCTGAGAATTCTTCTGTCTAGCAGAATATGAAGAAATCCCGTTTCCAACGAAGGCCACAAGATGTCAGAATATCCACTTACAGAATTTACAAACAGACTGTTTCCTAACTGCTCTCTGAAAAGAAAGGTTAAACTCTCTGAGATGAAGGAACACATCACAACGCAGTTTTTGGGAATGATTCTGTCTAGTTTTGAAACGAAGATATTTCCTTTTCTGCCACTGACCTTAAAGCGCTTGAAATCTCCACTTGCCAATTCCACAAAAAGAGTGTTTCAAATCTGCTCTGTCTAAGGGAACGTTCAACTCTGTGAGTTGAATGTACACAACACAAAGAAGTTACTGGGAATTATTCTGTCTAGCCTTACATGAAAAAAACCCGTTTCCAACGAAAGCCTCTAAGTGGTCAAAATATCCACGTGCAGACTTTACAAACAGAGTGTTTCCAAACCACTGAATGAAAAGAAAAGTTAAACTCTGAGAGTTGAACGCACACATCACGCAGCAGTTTCTGAGAATGATTCTGTCTAGTTTTTAAACGAAGATATTTCCTTTTCTGCCCTTGGCCCCAAAGCGCTTGAAATCTCCACTTGCATATTCCGCAAAAACAGTGTTTCAAATCTGCTCTCTCTAAATGAAAGTTCAACTCTGTCAGTTGAATACACACAACACAAGGAAGTTACCGAGAATTCTTCTTTCTAGCAGAATATGAAGAAATCCCGTTTCCAACGAAAGCCTCAAGGATGTCTGAATATCCACTTGCAGACTTTACAAACAGAGTGTTTCCTAACTGCTCTATGAAAAGAAAGGTTAAACTCTGTGAGTTGAACGCACACATCACAAAGGAGTTTATGAGAATCATTCTGTCTAGTTTCTATAGGAAGATATTTCCTATTCTACCATTGACCTCAAAGCAGCTGAAATCTCCACTTGCAAATTCCACAAAAAGAGTGTTTCAAGTCTGCTCTGTGTAAAGGATCGTTCAACTCTGTGAGTTGAATACACACAACACAAGGAAGTTACTGAGAATTCTTCTGTCTAGCATAATATGAAGAAATCCCGTTTCCAACGAAGGCCACAAGATGTCAGAATTTCCACTTACAGACTTTACAAACAGAGTGTTTCCTAACTGCTCTATGAACAGAAAGGTTAAACTCTGTGAGTTTAACGAACACATCACAACGCAGTTTTTGGGAATGAGTCTGTCTAGTTTTGAAACGAAGATATTTCCTTTTCTGCCGTTGACCTTAAAGAGCTTGAAAACTACACTTGCAAATTGCACAAATAGAGTGTTTCAAATCTGCTCTGTCTAAGGGAACGTTCAACTCTGTGAGTTGAATGCACACAACACAAGGAAGTTACTGGGAATTCTTCTGTCTAGCCTTACATGAAAAAAACACGTTTCCAACGAAGGCCTCTAAGTGGTCAAAATTTCCACGTGCAGACTTTACAAACAGAGTGTTTCCAAACCGCTGAATGAAAAGAAAAGTTAAACTCTGAGAGTTGAACGCACACATCACGCAGCAGTTTCTGAGAATGATTCTGTCTAGTTTTTATACGAAGATATTTCCTTTTCTGCCTTTGGTCCCAAAGCGCTTGAAATCTCCATTTGCAAATTCCACAAAAACAGTGTTTCAAATCTGCTCTCTCTAAATGAAAGTTCAACTCTGTCAGCTTGAATACACACAACACAAGGAAGTTACTGAGAATTCTTCTGTCTAGCAGAATATGAAGAAATCCCGTTTCCAACGAAAGCCTCAAAGATGTCTGAATATCCACTTGCAGACTTTACAAACAGAGTGTTTCCTAACTGCTCTATGAAAAGAAAGGTTAAACTCTGTGAGTTGAACGCACACATCGCAAAGGAGTTTCTGAGAATCATTCTGTCTAGTTTCTGTAGGAAGATATTTCCTATTCTACCATTGACCTCAAAGCGGCTGAAATCTCCACTTGCAAATTCCACAAAAAGAGTGTTTCAAGTCTGCTCTGTGTAAAGGATCGTTCAACTCTGTGAGTTGAATACACACAACACAAGGAAGTTACTGAGAATTCCTCTGTCTAGCATAATATGAAGAAATCCCGTTTCCAACGAAGGCCTCAAGGAGGTCTGAGTATCCACTTGCAGACTTTTCAAACAGAGTGTTTCCTAACTGCTCTATGAAAAGAAAGGTTAAACTCTGTCAGTTGAACGCAGACATCACAAAGAAGTTTCTGAGAATCACTCTGTCTAGTGTTTATAGGAAGATATTTCCCTTTCTACCTGTGACTTCAAAGCGGCTGAAATCTCCACTTGCAAATTCCACAAAAAGAGTGTTACAAGTCTGCTCTGTGTAAAGGATCGTTCAACTCTGTGAGTTGAATACACACAACACAAGGAAGTTACTGAGAATTCTTCTGTCTATCCTTACATGAAAAAAACCCGTTTCCAACGAAGACCTCTAAGTGGTGAAATTATCCACGTGCAGACTTTACAAACAGAGTGTTTCCAAACTGCTGAATGAAAAGAAAAGTTAAACTCTGAGAGTTGAACGCACACATCGCAGAGCAGTTTCTGAGAATGATTCTGTCTAGTTTTTATACGAAGATATTTTCTTTTCTGCCTTTGGCCCCAAAGCGCTTGAAATCTCCACTTGCAAATTCCACAAAAACAGTGTTTCAAATCTGCTCTCTCTAAATGAAAGTTCAACTCTGTCAGTTGAATACACACAACACAAGGAAGTTACTGAGAATTCTTCTGTCTAGCATAATATGAAGAAATCCCGTTTCCAACGAAGGCCTCAAGGAGGTCTGAATATCCACTTGCAGACTTTACAAACAGTGTTTCCTAACTGCTCTATGAAAAGAAAGGTTAAACTCTGTGAGTTGAATGCACACATCACAAAGGAGTTTCTGAGAATCATTCTGTGTACTTTCTATAGGAAGATATTTCCTATTCTACCATTGAACTCAAAGCGGCTGAAATCTCCACTTGCAAATTCCACAAAAAGAGTGTTTCAAGTCTGCTCTGTGTAAAGGATCGTTCAACTCTGTGAGTTGAATACACACAACACAAGGAAGTTACTGAGAATTCTTCTGTCCAGCAGAATATGAAGAAATCCCGTTTCCAACGAAGGCCACAAGATGTCAGAATATCCACTTACAGACTTTACAAACAGAGTGTTTCCTAACTGCTCTATGAACAGAAAGTTTAAACTCTGTGAGTTGAACGAACACATCACAACGCAGTTTGTGGGAATGATTCTGTCTAGTTTTGAAACGAAGATATTTCCTTTTCTCCCATTGACCTTAAAGCGCTTGAGATCTACACTTGCAAATTGCACAAATAGAGTGTTTCAAATCTGCTCTGTCTAAGGGAACGTTCAACTCTGTGAGTTGAATGCACACAACACAAGGAAGTTACTGGGAATTCTTCTGTCTAGCCTTACATGAAAAAATCCCGTTTCCAACGAAGGCCTCTAAGTGGTCAAAATATCCACGTGCAGACTTTACAAACAGACTGTTTCCAAACCGCTGAATGAAAAGAAAAGTTAAACTCTGAGAGTTGAACTCACACATCACGCAGCAGTTTCTGAGAATGATTCTGTCTAGTTTTTATACGAAGATATTTCCTTTTCTGCCTTTGGCCTCAAAGCGCTTGAAATCTCCACTTGCAAATTCCACAAAAAGAGTGTTTCAAATCTGCTCTGTGTAAATGAAAGTTCAACTCTGTGAGTTGAACACACACAACACAAGGAAGTTACTGAGAATTCTTCTGTCTAGCCTTATATGAAAAAAACCCGTTTCCAACGAAGGCCTCAAAGAGGTCTGAATATCCACTTGCAGACTTTACAAACAGAGTGATTCCTAACGGCTCTATGAAAAGAAAGGTTAAACTCTGTGAGTTGAACACACACATCACAAAGGAGTTTCTGAGAATCATTTCCGTCTAGTTTCTATAGGAAGATATTTCCTATTCTACCATTGACCTCAAAGCGGCTGAAATCTCCACTTGCAAATTCCACAAAAAGAGTGTTTCAAGTCTGCTCTGTGTAAAGGATCGTTCAACTCTGTGAGTTGAATACACACAACACAAGGAAGTTACTGAGAATTCCTCTGTCTAGCAGAATACGAAGAAATCCCGTTTCCAACGAAGGCCTCAAAGAGGTCTGAATATCCACTTGCAGACTTTACAAACAGAGTGTTTCCTAACTGCTCTATGAAAAGAAAGGTTAAACTCTGTGAGTTGAACGCACACATTACAACGCAGTTTGTGGGAATGATTCTGTCTAGTTTTGAAACGAAGATATTTCCTTTTCTGCCATTGACCTTAAAGCGCTTGAAATCTCCACTTGCCAATTGCACAAAAAGAGTGTTTCAAATCTGCTCTGTCTAAGGGAACGTTCAACTCTGTGAGTTGAATGTACACAACGCAAGGAAGTTACTGGGAATTCTTCTGTCTAGCCTTATATGAAAAAAAACCCGTTTCCAAAGAAGGCCTCTAAGTGGTCAAATTATCCACGTGCAGACTTTACAAACAGAGTGTTTCCAAACTGCTGAATGAAAAGAAAAGTTAAACTCTGAGAGTTGAACGCACACATCGCAGAGCAGTTTCTGAGAATGATTCTGTCTAGTTTTTATACGAAGATATTTCGTTTTCTGCCTTTGGCCCCAAAGCGCTTGAAATCTCCACTTGCAAATTCCACAAAAAGAGTGTTTCAAATCTGCTCTCTCTAAATGAAAGTTCAACTCTGTCAGTTGAATACACACAACACAAGGAAGTTACTGAGAATTCTTCTGTCTAGCCTTATATGAAAAAAACCCGTTTCCAACGAAGGCCTCAAAGAGGTCTGAATATCCACTTGCAGACTTTACAAACAGAGTGTTTCCTAACTGCTCTATGAAAAGAAAGGTTAAACTCTGTGAGTTGAACGCACACATCACAAAGGAGTTTCCGAGAATCATTCTGTCTAGTTTCTATAGGAAGATATTTCCTATTCTACCATTGACCTCAAAGCGGCTGAAATCTCCACCTGCAAATTCCACAAAAAGAGTGTTTCATGTCTGCTCTGTGTAAAGGATCGTTCAACTCTGTGAGTTGAATACACACAACACAAGGAAGTTACTGAGAATTCTTCTGTCTAGCAGAATATGAAGAAATCCCGTTTCCAACGAAGGCCTCAAAGAGGTCTGAATATCCACTTGCAGACTTCACAAACAGAGTGTTTCCTAACTGCTCTATGAAAAGAAAGGTTAAACTCTGTGAGTTGAACGCACACATTACAACGCAGTTTGTGGGAATGATTCTGTCTAGTTTTGAAACGAAGATATTTCCTTTTCTGCCATTGACCTCAAAGCGCTTGAAATCTCCACTTGCCAATTGCACAAAAAGAGTGTTTCAAATCTGCTCTGTCTAAGGGAACGTTCAACTCTGTGAGTTGAATGTACACAACGCAAGGAAGTTACTGGGAAGTCTTCTGTCTAGCCTTACAGGAAAAAAACCCGTTTCCAACGAAGGCCTCTAAGTGGTCAAAATATCCACGTGCAGACTTTACAAACAGAGTGTTTCCAAACTGCTGAATGAAAAGAAAAGTTAAACTCTGAGAGTTGAACGCACACATCGCAGAGCACTTTCTGAGAATGATTCTGTCTAGTTTCTATAGGAAGATATTTCTATTCTACCATTGACCTCAAAGCGGCTGAAATCTCCACTTGCAAATTCCACAAAAAGAGTGTTTCAAGTCTGATCTCTGTAAAGGATCATTCAACTCTGTGAGTTGAATACACACAACACAAGGAAGTTACTGAGAATTCTTCTGTCTAGCAGAATATGAAGAAATCCCTTTTCCAATGAAGGCCAGAAAATGTCAGAATATCCACTTACAGACTTTACAAACAGAGTGTTTCCTAACTGCTCTATGAAAAGAAAGGTTAAACTCTGTGAGTTGAACGCACACATCACAAAGGAGTTTCTGAGAATCGTTCTGTCTAGTCTTTATACGAAGATATTTACTTTTCTACCATTGACCTCAAAGCGGCTGAAATCTCCACTTGCAAATTCCACAAAAAGAGTGTTTCAAGTCTGCTCTGTGTAAAGGATCGTTCAACTCTGTGAGTTGAATAAACACAACACAAGGAAGTTACTGAGAATTCTTCTGTCTAGCAGAATATGAAGAAATCCCTTTTCCAACGAAGGCCACAAGATGTCAGAATATCCACTTACAGACTTTACAAACAGAGTGTTTCCTAACTGCTCTATGAACAGAAAGGTTAAACTCTGTGAGTTGAACGAACACATCACAACGCAGTTTGTGGGAATGATTCTGTCTTGTGTTGAAACGAAGATATTTCCTTTTCTGCCATTGACCTTAAAGCGCTTGAAATCTACACTTGCAAATTGCACAAATAGAGTGTTTCAAATCTGCTCTGTCTAAGGGAACGTTCAACTCTTTGAGTTGAATGCACACAACACAAGGAAGTTACTGGGAATTCTTCTGTCTAGCCTTACTTGAAAAAAACCAGTTTCCAACGAAGGCCTCTAAGTGGTCAAAATATCCACGTGCAGACTTTACAAACAGAGTGTTTCCAAACTGCTGAATGAAAACAAAAGTTAAACTCTGAGAGTTGAACGCACACATCACAGAGCAGTTTCTGAGAATGATTCTGTCTAGTTTTTATACGAAGATATTTCCTTTACTGCCTTTGGCCCCAAAGCGCTTGAAATCTCCACTTGCAAATTCCACGAAAACAGTGTTTCAAATCTGCTCTCTCTAAATGAAAGTTAAACTCTGTCAGTTGAATACACACAACACAAGGAAGTTACTTAGAAATCTTCTGTCTAGCATAGTATGAAGAAATCCCGTTTCCAACCAAGGCCTCAAAGAGGTCTGAATATCCACTTGCAGAGTTTACAAACAGAGTGTTTCCTAACTGCTCTATGAAAAGAAAGGTTAAACTCTGTGAGTTGAACGCACACATCACAAAGAAGTTTCTGAGAATCATTCTGTCTAGTTTTTATACGAAGATATTTCCTTTTCTACCATTGACCTCAACGCGGCTGAAATCTCCACTTGCAAATTCCACAAAAAGAGTGTTTCAACTCCGCTCTGTGTAAAGGATCGTTCAAATCTGTGAGTTGAATACACACAACACAAGGAAGTTACTGAGAATTCTTCTGTCTAGCAGAATATGAAGAAATCCCGTTTCCAACGAAGGCCACAAGATGTCAGAATATCCACTTACAGAATTGACAGACTGTTTCCTAACTGCTCTATGAAAAGAAAGGTTAAACTCTGTGAGTTGAACGAACACATCACAACGCAGTTTGTGGGAATGATTCTGTCTAGTTTTGAAACGAAGATATTTCCTTTTCTGCCATTGACCTTAAAGCGCTTGAAATCTACACTTGCAAATTGCACAAATAGAGTGTTTCAAATCTGCACTGTCTAAGGGAACGTTCAACTCTGTGAGTTGAATGCACACAACACAAGGAAGTTACTGGGAATTCTTCTGTCTAGGCTTACATGCATAAAACCCGTTTCCAACGAAGGCCTCTAAGTGGTCAAAATATCCACGTGCAGACTTTACAAACAGAGTGTTTCCAAACCGCTGAATGAAAAGAAAAGTTAAACTCTGAGAGTTGAACGCACACATCACGCAGCAGTTTCTGAGAATGATTCTGTCTAGTTTTTATACGAAGATATTTCCTTTTCTGCCTTTGGCCCCAAAGCGCTTGAAATCTCCACTTGCAAATACCACAAAAACAGTGTTTCAAATCTGCTCTCTCTAAATGAAAGTTCAACTCTGTCAGTTGAATACACACAACACAAGGAAGTTACTGAGAATTCTTCTGTCTAGCATAATATGAAGAAAACCCGTTTCCAACGAAGGCCTCAAAGAGGTCTGGATATCCACTTGCAGACTTTACAAACAGAGTGTTCCCTAACTGCTCTATGAAAAGAAAGGTTGAACTCTGTGAGTTGAACGCACACATCACAAAGCAGTTTCTGAGAATCATTCTGTCTAGTTTTTATACGAAGATATTTCCTTTTCTACCATTGACCTCAAAGCGGCTGAAATCTCCACCCTGCCAATTCCACAAAAAGAGTTTCAAGTCTACTCTGTGTAAAGGATCGTTGAACTCTGTGAGTTGAATACACACAACACAAGGAAGTTACTGAGAATTCTTCTTTCTAGCAGAATATGAAGAAATCCCGTTTCCAAAGAAAGCCTCAAGGATGTCTGAATATCCACTTGCAGACTTTACAAACAGAGTGTTTCCTAACTGCTCTATGAAAAGAAAGGTTAAACTCTGTGAGTTGAACGCACACATCACAAAGGAGTTTCTGAGAATCATTCTGTCTAGTTTTGAAACGAAGATATTTCCTTTTCTGCCATTGACCTTAAAGCGCTTGAAATCTACACTTGCAAACTGCACAAATAGAGTGTTTCAAATCTGCTCTGTCTAAGGGAACGTTCAACTCTGTGAGTTGAATGCACACAACACAAGGAAGTTACTGGGAATTCTTCTGTCTAGCCTTACATGCAAAAAACCCGTTTCCAACGAAGGACTCTAAGTGGTCAAAATATCCACGTGCAGACTTTACAACCAGAGTGTTTCGAAACCGCTGAATGAAAAGAAAAGTTAAACTCTGAGAGTTGAACGCACACATCACGCAGCAGTTTCTGAGAATGATTCTGTCTAGTTTTTATACGAAGATATTTCCTTTTCTGCCTTTGGCCCCAAAGCGCTTGAAATCTCCAATTGCAAATTCCACAAAAACAGTGTTTCAAATCTGCTCTCTCTAAATGAAAGTTCAACTCTGTAAGTTGAATACACACAACACAAGGAAGTTACTGAGAATTCTTCTGTCTAGCATAGTATGAACAAATCCCGTTTCCAACGAAGGCCTCAAAGAGGTCTGAATATCCACTTGCAGACTTTACAAACAGAGTGTTTCCTAACTGCTCTATGAAAAGAAAGGTTAAACTTTGTGAGTTGAACGCACACATCACAAAGGAGTTTCTGAGAATCATTCTGTCTAGTTTCTATAGGAAGATATTTCCTATTCTACCATTGACCTCAAAGCGGCTGAAATCTCCAGTTGCAAATTCCACAAAAAGAATGTTTCAAGTCTGCTCTGTGTAAAGGATCGTTCAACTCTGTGAGTTGAATACACACAACACAAGGAAGTTACTGAGAATTATTCTGTCTAGCAGAATAGGAAGAAATCCCGTTTCCAAGGAAAGCCTCAAAGAGGTCTGAATATCCACTTGCAGACTTTACAAACAGAGTGTTTCCTAACTGCTCTATGAAAAGAAAGGTTAAACTGTGAGTTGAACGCACACATCACAAAGGAGTTTCTGAGAATCATTCTGTCTAGTTTTTATAGGAAGATATTTCCTTTTCTACCTTTGACATCAAAGCGGCTGAAATCTCCACTTGCAAATTCCACAAAAAGAGTGTTACAAGTCTGCTCTGTGTAAAGGATCGTTCAACTCTGTGAGTTGAATACACACAACACAAGGGAAGTTACTGAGAATTCTTCTGTCTAGCCTTACATGAAAAAAACCCGTTTCCAACGAAGGCTTCTAAGTGGTCAAATTATCCACGTGCAGACTTTACAAACAGAGTGTTTCCAAACTGCTGAATGAAAAGAAAAGTTAAACTCTGAGAGTTGAACGCACACATCGCAGAGCAGTTTCTGAGAATGATTCTGTCTAGTTTTTATACGAAGATATTTCCTTTTCTGCCTTTGGCCTCAAAGCGCTTGAAATCTCCATTTGCAAATTCCACAAAAAGAGTGTTTCAAATCTGCTCTGTGTAAATGAAAGTTCAACTCTGTGAGTAGAACACACACAACACAAGGAAGTTACTGGGAATTCTTCTGTCTAGCATAATATGAAGAAATCCCGTTTCCAACGAAGGCCTCAAAGGGGTCTCAATATCCACTTGCAGACTTTATAAACAGAGTGTTTACTAACTGCTCTAGGAAAAGAAAGGTTAAACTCTGTGAGTTGAACACACACATCACAAAGGAGTTTCTGAGAATCATTCTGTCTAGTTTCTATAGGAACATATTTCCTATTCTACCATTGACCTCAAAGCGGCTGAAATCTCCACTTGCAAATTCCACAAAAAGAATGTTTCAATTCTGCTCTGTGTAAAGGATCGTTCAACTCTGTGAGTTGAATACACACAACACAAGGAAGTTACTGAGAATTCTTCTGTCTAGCAGAATATGAAGAAATCCCGTTTCCAACGAAGGCCACAAGATGTCAGAATATCCACTTAGAGACTTTACAAACAGAGTGTTTCCTCACTGCTCTATGAACAGAAAGGTTAAACTCTGTGAGTTGAACGAACACATCACAACGCAGTTTGTGGGAATGATTCTGTCTAGTTTTGAAACGAAGATATTTCCTTTTCTGCCATTGACCTTAAAGCGCTTGAAATCTACACTTGCAAATTGCACAAATAGAGTGTTTCAAATCTGCTCTGTCTAAGGGAACGTTCAACTATGTGAGTTGAATGCACACAACACAAGGAAGTTACTGGGAATTCTTCTGTCTAGCCTTACATGAAAAAAAACCCGTTTCCAACGAAGGCCTCTAAGTGGTCAAAATATCCACGTGCAGACTTTACAAACAGAGTGTTTCCAAACTGCTGAATGAAAAGAAAAGTTAAACTCTGCGAGTTGAACGCACACATCACAGAGCGGTTTCTGAGAATGATTCTGTCTAGTTTTTATAAGAAGATATTTCCTTTTCTGCCTTTGGCCCCAAAGCGCTTGAAATCTCCACTTGCAAATTCCACAAAAACAGTGTTTCAAATCTGCTCTCTCTAAATGAAAGTTCAACTCTGTCAGTTGAATACACACAACACAAAGAAGTTACTGAGAATTCTTCTGTCTAGCAGAATATGAAGAAATCCCGTTTCCAACGAAGGCGTCAAAGAGGTCTGAATATCCACTTGCAGACTTTGCAAACAGAGTGTTTCCTAACTGCTCTATGAAAAGAAAGGTTAAACTCTGTGAGTTGAACGCCCACATCACAAAGGAGTTTCTGAGAATCATTCTGTCTTGTTTTTCTACGAAGATATTTCCTTTTCTACTATTGACCTCAAAGCGGCTGAAATCTCCACTTGCAAATTCCACAAAAAGAGTGTTTCAAGTCTGCTCTGTGTAAAGGATCGTTCAACTCTGTGAGCTGAATACACACAACACAAGGAAGTTACTGAGAATTATTCTGTCTAGCAGAATATGAAGAAATCCCGTTTCCAACGAAGGCCACAAGATGTCAGAATATCCACTTACAGAATTGACAAACAGACTGTTTCCTAACTGCTCTATGAAAAGAAAGGTTAAACTCTGTGAGTTGAACGAACACATCACAACCCAAGTTTGTGGGAATGATTCTGTCTGGTTTTTATACGAAGATATTTCCTTTTCTACCATGGACCTCAAAGCGGCTGAAATCTCCACTTGCAAATTCCACAAAAAGAGTGTTCCAAGTCTGCTCTGTGTAAAGGATCGTTCAACTCTGTGAGTTGAATACACACAACACAAGGAAGTTACTGAGAATTCTTCTGTCTAGCCTTACATGGAAAAAACCCGTTTCCAACGAAGGCATCTAAGTGGTCAAATTATGCACGTGCAGACTTTACAAACAGAGTGTTTCCAAACTGCTGAATGAAAGGAAAAGTTAAACTCTGAGAGTTGAACGCACACATCGCAGAGCAGTTTCTGAGAATGATTCTGTCTAGTTTTTATACGAAGATATTTCCTTTTCTGCCTTTGGCCTCAAAGCGCTTGAAATCTCCACTTGCAAATTCCACAAAAGAGTGTTTCCAATCTGCTCTGTGTAAATGAAAGTTCAACTCTGTGAGTTGAATACACACAACACAAGGAAGTTACTGAGAATTCTTCTGTGTAGCATAACATAAAGAAATCCCGTTTGCAACGAAGGCCTCAAAGAGGTCTGAATATCCAATTGCAGATTTTACAAACAGAGTGTTTCCTAACTGCTCTATGAAAAGGAAGGTTAAACTCTGTGAGTTGAACGCACACATCACAAAGCAGTTTCTGAGAATCATTCTGTCTAGTTTCTATAGGAAGATATTTCCTATTCTACCGTTGACCTCAAAGCGGCTGAAATCTCCACTTGCAAATTCCACAAAAAGAGTGTTTCAAGTCTGTTCTGTGTAAAGGATCATTCAACTCTGTGAGTTGAATACACACAACACAAGGAAGTTACTGAGAATTCTTCTGTCTAGCAGAATATGAAGAAATCCCGTTTCCAACGAAGGCCACAAGACGTCAGAATATCCACTTACAGACTTTACAAACAGAGTGTTTCCTAACTGCTCTATGAAAAGAAAGGTTAAACTCTGTGAGTTGAACGAACACATCACAACGCAGTTTCTGGGAATGATTCTGTCTAGTTTTGAAACGAAGATATTTCCTTTTCTGCCATTGACCTTAAAGCGCTTGAAATCTCCACTTGCCAATTGCACAAAAAGAGTGTTTCAAATCTGCTCTGTCTAAGGGAACGTTCAACTCTGTGAGTTGAATGTACACAACACAAGGAAGTTACTGGGAATTCTTCTGTCTAGCCTTACATGAAAAAAACCCGTTTCCAACGAAGGACTCTAAGTGGTCAAAATATCCACGTGCAGACTTTACAAACAGAGTGTTTCCAAACCGCTGAATGAAAAGAAAAGTTAAACTCTGAGAGTTGAACGCACACATCGCGCAGCAGGTTCTGAGAATGATTCTGTCTAGTTCTTCTACGAAGATATTTCCTATTCTACCATTGACCCCAAAGCGGCTGAAATCTCCACTTGCAAATTCCACAAAAAGAATGTTTCAAGTCTGCTCAGTGTAAAGGATCGTTCAACTCTGTGAGTTGAATACACACAACACAAGGAAGTTACTGAGAATTCTTCTGTCTAGCATAATATGAAGAAATCCCGTTTCCAATGAAGGACTCAAAGAGGTCTGAATATCCACTTGCAGACTTTACAAACAGAGTGTTTCCTAACTGCTCTATGAAAAGAAAAGTTAAACTCTGTGAGTTGAACGCACACATCACAAAGGAGTTTCTGAGAATCATTCTGTCTAGTCTTTATACGAAGATATTTCCTTTTCTAACATTGACCTCAAAGCGGCTGAAATCTCCACTTGCAAATTCCACAAAAAGAGTGTTTCAAGTCTGCTCTGTGTAAAGGATCATTCAACTCTGTGAGTTGAATAAACACAACACAAGGAAGTTACTGAGAATTCTTCTGTCTAGCAGAATATGAAGAAATCCCGTTTCCAACGAAGGCCACAAGATGTCAGAATATCCACTTACAGAATTGACAAACAGACTGTTTCCTAACTGCTCTATGAAAAGAAAGTTTAAACTCTGTGAGTTGAACGAACACATCACAAAGCAGTTTGTGGGAATGATTCTGTCTAGTTTTGAAACGAAGATATTTCCTTTTCTGCCATTGACCTTAAAGCGCTTGAAATCTACACTTGCAAATTGCACAAATAGAGTGTTTCAAATCTGCTCTGTCTAAGGGAACGTTCAGCTCTGTGAGTTGAATGCACACAACACAAGGAAGTTACTGGGAATTCTTCTGTCTAGCCTTACAAGAATAAAACCCGTTTCCAACGAAGGCCTCTAAGTTGTCAAAATATCCACGTGCAGACTTTACAAAGAGAATGTTTCCAAACTGCTGAATGAAAAGAAAAATTAAACTCTGAGAGTTGAATGCACACATCGCAGAGCAGTTTCTGAGAATGATTCTGTCTAGTTTTTATACGAAGATATTTCCTTTTCTGCCTTTGGCCTCAAAGCGCTTGAAATCTCCATTTGCAAATTCCACAAAAAGAGGGTTTCAAATCTGCTCTGTGTAAATGAAAGTTCAACTCTGTGAGTTGAACACACACAACACAAGGAAGTTACTGGGAATTCTTCTGTCTAGCATAATATGAAGAAATCCCGTTTCCAACGAAGGCCTCAAAGACGTCTGAATATCCACTTGCAGACTTTACAAACAGAGTGTTTCCTAACTGCTCGATGAAAAGAAAAGTTAAACTCTGTGAGTTGAAGGCACACATCACAAAGGATTTTCTGAGAATCATTCTGTGTACTTTCTATAGGAAGATATTTCCTATTCTACATTTGAACTCAAAGCGGCTGAAATCTCCACTTGCAAATTCCACAAAAAGAGTGTTTCAAGTCTGCTCTGTGTAAAGGGTCGTTCAACTCTGTGAGTTGAATACACACAACACAAGGAAGTTCCTGAGAATTCCTCTGTCTAGCAGAATATGAAGAAATCCCGTTTCCAACGAAGGCCACAAGATGTCAGAATATCCACTTACAGAATTTTCAAATAGACTGTTTCCTAACTGCTCTATGAAAAGAATGGTTAAACTCTGTGAGTTGAACGAACACATCACAACGCAGTTTGTGGGAATGATTCTGTCTAGTTTTGAAACGAAGATATTTCCTTTTCTGCCATTGACCTTAAAGCGCTTGAAATCTCCACTTGCCAATTGCACAAAAAGAGTGTTTCAAATCTGCTCTGTCTAAGGGAACGTTCAACTCTGTGAGTTGAATGTACACAACGCAAGGAAGTTACTGGGAATTCTTCTGTGTAGCCTTACATGAAAAAAACCCGTTTCCAACGAAGGCCTCTAAGTGGTCAAATTATCCACGTGCAGACTTTACAAACAGAGTGTTTCCAAACTGCTGAATGAAAAGAAAAGTTAAACTGTGAGAGTTGAACGCACACATCGCAGAGCAGTTTCTGAGAATGATTCTGTCTAGTTTCTATAGGAAGAAATTTCCTATTCTACCATTGACCTCAAAGCGGCTGAAATCTCCACTTGCAAATTCCACAAAAAGAGTGTTTCAAGTCTGCTCTCTGTAAAGGATCGTTCAACTCTGTGAGTTGAATACACACAACACAAGGAAGTTACTGAGAATTATTCTGTCTAGCATAATATGAAGAAATCCCGTTTCCAACGAAGGCCTCAAAGAGGTCTGAATATTCACTTGCAGACTTTACAAACAGAGTGTTTCCTAACTGCTCCATGAAAAGAAAAGTTAAACTCTGTGAGTTGAACGCACACATCACAAAGGATTTTCTGAGAATCATTCTGTCTAGTTTTTATACGAAGATATTTCCTTTTCTACCATTGACCTCAACGCGGCTGAAATCTCCACTTGCAAATTCCACAAAACGAGTGTTTCAAGTCTGCTCTGTGTAAAGGATCGTTCAACTCTGTGAGTTGAATACACACAACACAAGGGAAGTTACTGAGGAATTCTTCTGTCTAGCAGAATATGAAGAAATCCCGTTTCCAACGAAGGCCACAAGATGTCAGAATATCCACTTACAGAATTTACAAACAGAGTGTTTCCTAACTGCTCTATGAAAAGAAAGGTTAAACTCTGTGAGTTGAACGAACACATCACAACGCAGTTTGTGGGAATGATTCTGTCTAGT
Organism: Homo sapiens; assembly: GCF_000001405.40. Taxonomy (NCBI): domain Eukaryota; kingdom Metazoa; phylum Chordata; class Mammalia; order Primates; family Hominidae; genus Homo; species Homo sapiens. Next base: position 123,402,855 of record NC_000001.11, on the reverse strand, counting down.
TTTGAAAGTAAGATATTTCCTTTTCTGCCATTGACCTTAAAGCGCTTGAAATCTCCACTTGCTAATTGCACAAAAAGAGTGTTTCAAATCTGCTCTGTCTAAGGGAACGTTCAACTCTGTGAGTTGAATGTACACAACACAAGGAAGTTACTGGGAATTCTTCTGTCTAGCCTTACAGGAAAAAAACCCGTTTCCAACGAAGGCCTCTAAGTGGTCAAAATATCCACGTGCAGACATTACAAACAGAGTGTTTCCAAACTGCTGAATGAAAAGAAAAGTTAAACTCTGAGAGTTGAACGCACACATCGCAGAGCAGTTTCTGAGAATGATTCTGTCTAGTTTTTATACGAAGATATTTCCTTTTCTGCCTTTGGCCTCAAAGCGCTTGAAATCTCCATTTGCAAATTCCACAAAAAGAGTGTTTCAAATCTGCTCTGTGTAAATGAAAGTTCAACTCTGTGAGTTGAACACACACAACACAAGGAAGTTACTGGGAAATCTTCTGTCTAGCATAATATGAAGAAATCCCGTTTCCAACGAAGGCTTCAAAGAGGTCTGAATATCCACTTGCAGACTTTACAAACAGAGTGTTTCCTAACTGCTCTATGAGAAGAAAGGTTAAACTCTGTGAGTTGAACGCACACATCACAAAGGAGTTTCTGAGAATCATTCTGTCTAGTCTTCATACGAAGATATTTACTTTTCTACCATTGACCTCAAAGCGGCTGAAATCTCCACTTGCAAATTCCACAAAAAGAGTGTTTCAAGTCTGCTCTGTGTAAAGGATCATTCAACTCTGTGAGTTGAATACACACAACACAAGGAAGTTACTGAGAATTATTCTGTCTAGCATAATATGAAGAAATCCCGTTTCCAACGAAGGCCTCAAGGAGGTCTGAATATCCACTTGCAGACTTTACAAACAGAGTGTTTCCTAACTGCTCTATGAAAAGAAAGGTTAAACTCTGTGAGTTGAACGCATACATCACAAAGGAGTTTATGAGAATCATTCTGTCTAGTTTTGAAACGAAGATATTTCCTTTTCTGCCATTGACCTTAAAGCGCTTGAAATCTCCATTTGCCAATTGCACAAAAAGAGTGTTTCAAATCTGCTCTGTCTAAGGGAACGTTCAACTCTGTGAGTTGAATGTACACAACACAAGGAAGTTACTGCGAATTCTTCTGTCTAGCCTTACATGAAAAAAACCCGTTTCCAACGAAGGCCTCTAAGTGGTCAAAATATCCACGTGCAGACTTTACAAACAGAGTGTTTCCAAACCGCTGAATGAAAAGAAAAGTTAAACTCTGAGAGTTGAACGCAAACATCACGCAGCAGTTTTTGAGAATGATTCTGTCTAGTTTTTATACGAAGATATTTCCTTTTCTGCCTTTGGCCCCAAATCGCTTGAAATCTCCACTTGCAAATTCCACCAAAACAGTGTTTCAAATCTGCTCTCTCTAAATGAAAGTTCAACTCTGTCAGTTGAATACACACAACACAAGGAAGTTACTTAGAATTCTTCTGTCTAGCCTTATATGAAAAAAACCCGTTTCCAACGAAGGCCTCAAAGAGGTCTCAATATCCACTTGCAGACTTTACAAACAGAGTGTTTCCTAACTGCTCTATGAAAAGAAAGGTTAAACTCTGTGAGTTGAACGTACACATCACAAAGGAGTTTCTGAGAATCATTCTGTCTAGTCTTTATACGAAGATATTTCCTTTTCTACCATTGACCTCAAAGCGGCTGAAATCTCCACTTGCAAATTCCACAAAAAGAGTGTTTCAAGTCTCCTCTGTGTAAAGGATCGTTCAACTCTGTGAGTTGAATACACACAACACAAGGAAGTTAGTGAGAATTCTTCTGTCTAGCAGAATATCAAGAAATCCCGTTTCCAACGAAGGCCACAAGATGTCAGAATATCCACGTACAGAATTTACAAACAGACTGTTTCCTAACTACTCTATGAAAAGAAAGGTTAAACTCTGTGAGTTGAACGAACACATCACAACGCAGTTTGTGGGAATGATTCTGTCTAGTTTTGAAACGAAGATATTTCCTTTTCTGCCATTGACATTAAAGCGCTTGAAATCTACACTTGCAAATTGCACAAATAGAGTGTTTCAAATCTGCTCTGTCTAAGGGAACGTTGAACTCTGTGAGTTGAATGCACACAACACAAGGAAGTTACTGGGAATTCTTCTGTCTAGCCTTACATGAAAAAAACCCGTTTCCAACGAAGGCCTCTAAGTGGTCAAAATATCCACGTGCAGACTTTACAAACAGAGTGTTTCCAAACCGCTGAATGAAAAGAAAAGTTAAACTCTGAGAGTTGAACGCACACATCACGCAGCAGTTTCTGAGAATGATTATCTGTCTAGTTTCTATAGGAAGATATTTCCTATTCTACCATTGAACTCAAAGCGGCTGAAATCTCCACTTGCAAATTCCACAAAAAGAGTGTTTCAAGTCTGCTCTGTGTAAAGGATAGTTCAACTCTGTGAGTTGAATACACACAACACAAGGAAGTTACTGAGAATTCTTCTGTCTAGCATAATAGGAAGAAACTCCCGTTTCCAACGAAGGCCTCAAGGAGGTCTGAATATCCACTTGCAGACTTTACAAACAGAGTGTTTCCTAACTGCTCTATGAAAAGAAAGGTTAAACTCTGTGCGTTGAAAGCACACATCACAAAGGAGTTTCTGAGAATCATTCTGTCTAATTTCTATAGGAAGATATTTCCTATTCTACCATTGACCTCAAAGCGGCTGAAATCTCCACTTACAAATTCCACAAAAAGAATGTTTCAAGTCTGCTCTGTGTAAAGGATCGTTCAACTCTGTGAGTTGAATACACACAACACAAGGAAGTTACTGAGAATTCTTCTGTCTAGCATAATATGAAGAAATCCCGTTTCCAACAAAGGCCTCAAAGAGGTCTGAATATCCACTTGCAGACTTTACAAACAGAGTGTTTCCTAACTGCTCTATGAAAAGAAAAGTTAAACTCTGTGAGTTGAACGCACACATGACAAAGGAGTTTATGAGAATCATTCTGTCTAGTTTTGAAACGAAGATATTTCCTTTTCTGCCGTTGACCTTAAAGCGCTTGAAATCTACACTTGCAAATTGGACAAATAGAGTGTTTCAAATCTGCTCTGTCTAAGGGAACGTTCAACTCTGTGAGTTGAATGCACACAACACAAGGAAGTTACTGGGAATTCTTCTGTCTAGCCTTACATGAAGAAAACCCGTTTCCAACGAAGGCCTCTAAGTGGTCAAAATATCCACGTGCAGACTTTACAAACAGAGTGTTTCCAAACCGCTGAATGAAAAGAAAAGTTAAACTCTGAGAGTTGAACGCACACATCACGCAGCAGTTTCTGAGAATGATTCTGTCTAGTTTTTATACGAAGATATTTCCTTTTCTGCCTTTGGCCCCAAAGCGCTTGAAATCTCCACTTGCAAATTCCACAAAAACAGTGTTTCAAATCTGCTCTCTCTAAATGAATGTTCAACTCTGTCAGTTGAATACACACAACACAAGGAAGTTAGTGAGAATTCTTCTGTATAGCAGAATATGAAGAAATCCCGTTTCCAACGAAGGCCTCAAGGAGGTCTGAATATCCACTTGCAGACTTTACAAACAGAGTGTTTCCAAACTGCTCTATGAAAAGAAAGGTTAAACTCTGTGAGTTGAACGCAGACATCACAAAGGAGTTTCTGAGAATCACTCTGTCTAGTTTTTATACGAAGATATTTCCTTTTCTACCATTGACCTCAAAGCGGCTGAAATCTCCACCCTGCCAATTCCACAAAAAGAGTGTTTCAAGTCTACTCTGTGTAAAGGATCGTTGAACTCTGTGAGTTGAAAACACACAACACAACAAAGTTTCTGAGAATTCTTCTGTCTAGCAAAATATGAAGAAATCCCGTTTCCAACGAAGGCCACAAATGTCAGAATATCCACTTACAGAATTTACAAACAGACTGTTTCCTAACTGCTCTATGAAAAGAAAGGTTAAACTCTGTGAGTTGAACGAACACATCACAACGCAGTTTGTGGGAATGATTCTGTCTAGTTTTGAAACGAAGATATTTCCTTTTCTGCCATTGACCTTAAAGCACTTGAAATCTCCACTTGCCAATTGCACAAAAAGAGTGTTTCAAATATGCTCTGTCTAAGGGAACGTTCAACTCTGTGAGTTGAATGTACACAACACAAGGAAGTTACTGGGAATTCTTCTGTCTAGCCTTACATGAAAAAAACCCGTTTCCAACGAAGGCCTCTAAGTGGTCAAATTATCCACGTGCAGACTTTACAAACAGAGTGTTTCCAAACTGCTGAATGAAAAGAAAAGTTAAACTCTGAGAGTTGTACGCAGACATCGCAGAGCAGTTTCTGAGAATGATTCTGTCTAGTTTTTATACGAAGATATTTCCTTTTCTGCCTTTGGCCTCAAAGCGCTTGAAATCTCCATTAGCAAATTCCACAAAAAGAGTGTCTCAAATCTGCTCCTGTGTAAAGGACCGTTCACCTACTGTGAGTTGAACACACACAACACAAGGAAGTTACTGGGAATTCTTCTTTCTAGCAGAATATGAAGAAATCCCGTTTCCAACGAAAGCCTCAATGATGTCTGAATATCCACTTGCAGACTTTACAAACAGAGTGTTTCCTAACTGCTCTATGAAAAGAAAGGTTAAACTCTGTGAGTTGAACGCACACATCACAAAGGAGTTTCTGAGAATCATTCTGTCTAGTTTTTCTACGAAGATATTTCCTTTTCCACTATTGACCTCAAAGCGGCTGAAATCTCCACTTGCAAATTCTACAAAAAGAGTGTTTCAAGTCTGCTCTGTGTAAAGGATCGTTCAACTCTGTGAGTTGAATACACACAACACAAGGAAGTTACTGAGAATTCTTCTGTGTAACAGAATATGAAGAAATCCCGTTTCCAACGAAGGCCTCAAAGAGGTCTGAATATCCACTTGCAGACTTTACAAACAGAGTGTTTCCTAACTGCTCTATGAAAAGAAAGGTTAAACTCTGTGAGTTGAACGCACACATCACAAAGGAGTTTCTGAGAATCATTCTGTCTAGTTTCTATAGAAAGATATTTCCTATTCTACCATTGACCTCAAAGCGGCTGAAATCTCCACTTGCAAATTCCACAAAAAGAGTGTTTCAAGTCTGCTCTCTGTAAAGGATCGTTCAACTCTGTGAGTTGAATACACACAACACAAGGAAGTTACTGAGAATTCTACTGTCTAGCCTTACAGGAAAAAAACCCGTTTCCAACGAAGGCCTCTAAGTGGTCAAAATATCCACGTGCAGACTTTACAAACAGAGTGTTTCCAAACTGCTGAATGAAAAGAAAAGTTAAACTCTGAGAGTTGAACGCACACATCGCAGAGCAGTTTCTGAGAATGATTCTGTCTAGTTTTGAAACGAAGATATTTCCTTTTCTGCCTTTGGCCTCAAAGCGCTTGAAATCTCCACTTGCAAATTCCACAAAAAGAGTGTTACAAGTCTGCTCTGTGTAAAGGATCGTTCAACTCTGTGAGTTGAATACACACAACACAAGGAAGTTACTGAGAATTACTTCTGTCTAGCAGAACATGAAGAAATCCCGCTTCCAAAGAAGGCCTCAAAGAAGTCTGAATATCCACTTGCAGACTTTACAAACAGAGTGTTTCCCAACTGCTCTATGAAAAGAAAGGTTGAACTCTGTGAGTTGAACACACACATCACAAAGGAGTTTCTGAGAATCATTCTGTCTAGTCTTTATACGAAGATATTACCTTTTCTACCATTGACATCAAAGCGGCTGAAATCTCCATTTGCAAATTCCACAAAAAGAGTGTTTCAAGTCTGCTCTGTGTAAAGGATCGTTCAACTCTGTGAGTTGAATACACACAACACAAGGAAGTTACTGAGAATTCTTCTGTCTAGCAGGAATATGAAGAAATCCCGTTTCCAACGAAGGCCACAAGATGTCAGAATATCCACTTACAGAATTGACAAACAGACTGTTTCCTAACTGCTCTATGAAAAGAAAGGTTAAACTCTGTGAGTTGAACGAACACATCACAACGCAGTTTGTGGGAATGATTCTGTCTAGTTTTTATACGAAGATATTTCCTTTTCTACCATTGACCTCAAAGCGGCTGAAATCACCACTTGCCAAATGCACAAAAAGAGTGTTTCAAATCTGCTCTGTCTAAGGGAACGTTCAACTCTGTGAGTTGAATGTACACAACACAAGGAAGTTACTGGGAATTCTTCTGTCTAGCCTTACATGAAAAAAACCCGTTTCCAACGAAGGCCTCTAAGTGTTCAAAATATCCACGTGCAGACTTTACAAACAGAGTGTTTCCAAACCGCTGAATGAAAGGAAAAGTTAAACTCTGAGAGTTGAACGCACACATCACGCAGCAGTTTTCTGAGAATGATTTCTGTCTAGTTTTTATACGAAGATATTTCCTTTTCTGCCTTTGGCCCCAAAGCTCTTGAAATCTCCACTTGCAAATTCCACAAAAACAGTGTTTCAAATGTGCTCTCTCTAAATGAAAGTTCAACTCTGTCAGTTGAATACACACAACACAAGGAAGTTACTGAGAATTCTTCTCTCCAGCACAGTATGAAGAAATCCCGTTTCCAACGAAGGCCTCAAAGAGGTCTGAATATCCACTTGCACAGTTTAAAAACACAGTGTTTCCTAACTGCTCTATGAAAAGAAAGGTTAAACTCTGTGAGTTGAACGCACACATCACAAAGAAGTTTCTGAGAATCATTCTGTCTAATTTCTATAGGTAGATATTTCCTATTCTACCATTGACCTCAAAGCGGCTGAAATCTCCACTTGCAAATTCCACAAAAAGAGTGTTTCAAGACTGTTCTGTGTAAAGGATCATTCAACTCTGTGAGTTGAATACACACAACACAAGGAAGTTACTGAGAATTCTTCTGTCTAGCAGAATATGAAGAAATCCCGTTTCCAACGAAGGCCACAAGATGTCAGAATATCCACTTACAGAATTAACAAACAGAGTGTTTCCTAACTGCTCTATGAAAAGAAAGGTTAAACTCTGTGAGATGAACGAACACATCACAACGCAGTTTGTGGGAATGATTCTGTCTAGTTTTGAAACGAAGATATTTCCTTTTCTGCCATTGACCTCAAAGCGCTTGAAATCTCCACTTGCCAATTGCACAAAAAGAGTGTTCCAAATCTGCTCTGTCTAAGGGAACGTTCAACTCTGTGAGTTGAATGTACACAACACAAGGAAGTTACTGGGAATTCTTCTGTCTAGCCCTACATGACAAAAACCCGTTTCCAACGAAGGCCTCTATGTGGTCAAATTATCCACGTGCAGACTTTTCAAACAGAGTGTTTCCAAACTGCTGAATGAAAAGGAAAGTTAAACTCTGAGAGTTGAACGCACACATCACAGAGCAGTTTCTGAGAATCATTCTGTCCAGTTTTTATACGAAGATATTTCCTTTTCTTCCTTTGGCCTCAAAGCGCTTGAAATCTCCATTTGCAAATTCCACAAAAAGAGTGTTTCAAATCTGCTCTGTGTAAATCAAAGTTCAACTCTGTGAGTTGAACACACACAACACAAGGAAGTTACTGGGAATTCTTCTGTCTAGCCTTATATGAAAAAAACCCGTTTCCAACGAAGGCCTCAAAGAGGTCTGAATATCCACTTGCAGACTTTACAAAAAGAGTGTTTCCTAACTGCTCTATGAAAAGAAAAGTTAAACTCTGTGAGTTGAACGCACACATCACAAAGGAGTTTCTGAGAATCATTCTGTCTAATTTTTATAGGAAGATATTTCCTTTTCTACCTTTGACTTCAAAGCGGCTGAAATCTCCACTTGCAAATTCCACAAAAAGAGTGTTACAAGTCTGCTCTGTGTAAAGGATCGTTCAACTCTGTGAGTTGAATACACACAACACAAGGAAGTTACTGAGAATTCTTCTGTCTAGCACAGTATGAAGAAATCCCGTTTCCAACGAAGGCCTCAAAGAGGTCTGAATATCCACTTGCAGAGTTTACAAACAGAGTGTTTCCTAACTGCTCTATGAAAAGAAAGGTTAAACTCTGTGAGTTGAACGCACACTTCACAAATGAAGTTTCTGAGAATCATTCTGTCTAGTTTTGAAACGAAAATATTTCCTTTTCTGCCATTGACCTTAAAGCGCTTGAAATCTCCACTTGCCAATTGCACAAAAAGAGTGTTTCAAATCTGCTCTGTCTAAAGGAACGTTCAACTCTGTGAGTTGAATGTACACAACACAAGGAAGTTACTGGGAATTCTTCTGTCTAGCCTTACATGCAAAAAACCGTTTCAAAAGAAGGCCTCTAAGTGGTGAAAATATCCACGTGCGGACTTTACAAACAGAGTGTTTCCAAACCGCTGAATGAAAAGAAAAGTTAAACTCTGAGAGTTGAATGCACACATCACGCAGCAGTTTCTGAGAATGATTCTGTCTAGTTTTTATACGAAGATATTTCCTTTTCTGCCTTTGGCCCCAAAGCGCTTGAAATCTCCACTTGCAAATTCCACAAAAACAGTGTTTCAAATGTGATCTCTCTAAATGAAAGTTCAACTCTGTCAGTTGAATACACACAACACAAGGAAGTTACTGAGAATTCTTCTGTCTAGCATAATATGAAGAAATCCAGTTTCCAACGAAGGCCTCAAGGATGTCTGAATTATCCACTTGCAGACTTTACACACAGAGTGTTTCCTAACTGCTCTATGAAAAGAAAGGTTAAACTCTGTGAGTTGAACGCACACATCACAAAGGAGTTTCTGAGAATCATTCTGTCTAGTTTCTATAGGAAGATATTTCCTATTCTACCGTTGACCTCAAAGCGGCTGAAATCTCCACTTGCAAATTCCACAAAAAGAGTGTTTCAAGTCTGCTCTATGTAAAGGATCGTTCAACTCTGTGAGTTGAATACACACAACACAAGGAAGTTTCTGAGAATTCTTCTGTCTAGCAGAATATGAAGAAATCCCGTTTCCAACGAAGGCCACAAGATGTCAGAATATCCACTTACAGACTTTACAAACAGAGTGTTTCCTAACTGCTCTATGAAAAGAAAAGTTAAACTCTGTGAGTTGAACGCACACATCACAAAGGAGTTTATGAGAATCATTCTGTCTAGTCTTTATACGAAGATATTTCCTTTTCTACCATTGACCTCAAAGCGGCTGTAATCTCCACTTGCAAATTCCACAAAAAGAGTGTTTCAAGTCTGCTCTGTGTAAAGGATTGTTCAACTCTGTGAGCCGAATACACACAACACAAGGAAGTTACTGAGAATTCTTCTGTCTAGCCTTACATGAAAAAAACCCGTTTCCAACGAAGGCCTCAAAGAGGTCAAAATATCCACGTGCAGACTTTCCAAACAGAGTGTTTCCAAACTGCTGAATGGAAAGAAAAGTTAAACTCTGTGAGTTGAACGCACACATCCCAGAGCAGTTTCTGAGAAAGATTCTGTCTAGTTTTGAAACGAAGATATTTCTTTTTCTGCCTTTGGCCTCAAAGCGCTTGAAATCTCCACTTGCAAATTCCACAAAAAGAGTGTTTCAAATCTGCTCTGTGTAAATGAAAGTTCAACTCTGTGAGTCGAACACACACAATACAAGGAAGTTACTGGGAATTCTTCTGTCTAGCATAATATGAAGAAATCCCGTTTCCTACGAAGGCCTCAAAGAGGTCTGAATATCCACTTGCAGACTTTACAAACAGAGTGTTTCCTAACTGCTCTATGAAAAGAAAGGTTGAACTCTGTGAGTTGAGCGCACACATCACAAAGGAGTTTCTGAGAATCATTCTGTCTAGTTTTTATACGAAGATATTTCCTTTTCTACCATTGACCTCAACGCGGCTGAAATCTCCAATTGCAAATTCCACAAAAAGAGTGTTACAAGTCTGCTCTGTGTAAAGGATCGTTCAACTCTGTGAGTTGAATACACACAACACAAGGAAAGTTACTGAGAATTCTTCTGTCTAGCAGAATATGAAGAAATCCCGTTTCCAACGAAGGCCACAAGATGTCAGAATATCCACTTACAGACTTTACAAACAGAGTGTTTCCTAACTGCTCTATGAACAGAAAGGTTAAACTCTGTGAGTTGAACGAACACATCAGAACGCAGTTTGTGGGAATGATTCTGTCTAGTTTTGAAACGAAGATATTTCCTTTTCTGCCGTTGACCTTAAAGCGCTTGAAATCTACACTTGCAAATTGCACAAATAGAGTGTTTCAAATCTGCTCTGTCTAAGGGAACGTTCAACTCTGTGAGTTGAATGCACACAAAACAAGGAAGTTACTGGGAATTCTTCTGTCTAGCCTTACATGAAAAAAACCCGTTTCCAACGAAGGCCTCTAAGGGGTCAAAATATCCTCGTGCAGACTTTACAAACAGAGTGTTTCCAAACCGCTGAATGAAAAGAAAAGTTAAACTCTGAGAGTTCAACGCACACATCACGCAGCAGTTTCTGAGAATGATTCTGTCTAGTTTTTATACGAAGATATTTCCTTTTCCGCCTTTGGCCCCAAAGCGCTTGAAATCTCCACTTGCAAATTCCACAAAAACAGTGTTTCAAATCTGCTCTCTATAAATGAAAGTTCAACTCTGTCAGTTGAATACACACAACACAAAGAAGTTACTGAGAATTCTTCTGTCTAGCCTTATATGAAAAAAACCCGTTTCCAACGAAGGCCTCAAACAGGTCTGAATATCCACTTGCAGACTTTAGAAACAGAGTGTTTCCTAACTGCTCTATGAAAAGAAAGGTTAAACTCTGTGAGTTGAACGCACACATCACAAAGGAGTTTCTGAGAATCATTCTGTCTAGTTTCTATAGGAAGATATTTCCTATTCTACCACTGACCTCAAAGCGGCTGAAATCTCCACTTGCAAATTCCACAAAAAGAGTGTTTCAAGTCTGCTCTCTGTAAAGGATCGTTCAACTCTGTGAGTTGAATACACACAACACAAGGAAGTTTCTGAGAATTATTCTGTCTAGCAGAATATGAAGAAATCCCGTTTCCAACGAAGGCCACAAGATGTCAGAATATCCACTTACAGAATTGACAAACAGACTGTTTCCTAACTGCTCTATGAAAAGAAAGGTTAAACTCTGTGAGTTGAACGAACACATCACAACGCAGGTTGTGGGAATTATTCTGTCTAGTTTTGAAACGAAGATATTTCCTTTTCTGCCATTGACCTTAAAGCGCTTGAAATCTACACTTGCAAATTGCACAAATAGAGTGTTTCAAATCTGCTCTGTCTAAGGGAACGTTCAACTCTGTGAGTGGAATGCACACAACAGAAGGAAGTTACTGGGAATTCTTCTGTCTAGCCTTACATGAAAAAAACCCGTTTCCAACGAAGGCCTCTAAGTGGTCAAATTATCCACGTGCAGACTTTACAAACAGAGTGTTTCCAAACTGCTGAATGAAAAGCAAAGTTAAACTCTGAGAGTTGAACGGCACACATCGCAGAGCAGTTTCTGAGAATGATTCTGTCTAGTTTTGAAACGAAGATATTTCCTTCTCTGCCTTTGGCCTCAAAGCGCTTGAAATCTCCACTTGCAAATTCCACAAAAAGAGTGTTTCAAATCTGCTCTGTGTAAATGAAAGTTCAACTCTGTGAGTTGAACACACACAACACAAGGAAGGTACTGGGAATTCTTCTGTCTAGCATAATATGAAGAAATCCCCTTTCCAACGAAGGCCTCAAGGAGGTCTGAATATCCACTTGCACACTTTACAAACAGAGTGTTTCCTAACTGCTCTATGAAAAGAAAGGTTAAACTCTGTGAGTTGAACGCACACATCACAAAGGAGTTTCTCAGAATCATTCTGTCTAGTTTTTATACGAAGATATTTCCTATTCTACCATTGACCTCAAATCGGCTGAAATCTCCACTTGCAAATTCAACAAAAAGTGTGTTTCAAGTCTCCTCTGTGTAAAGCATCGTTGAACTCTGTGAGTTGAATACACACAACACAAGGAAGTTACTGAGAATTCTTCTCTCTAGCAGAATATGAAGAAATCCCGTTTCCAACGATGGCCTCAAAGAGGTCTGAATATCCACATGCAGACTTTACAAACAGAGTGTTTCCTAACTGCTCTATGAAAAGAAAGGTTAAACTCTGTGAGTTGAACGCACACATCACAAAGGAGTTTCTGAGAATCATTCTGTCTAGTTTTGAAACGAAGATATTTCCTTTTCTGCCATTGACCTTAAAGCTCTTGAAATCTCCACTTGCAAATTGCACAAAAAGAGTGTTTCAAATCTGCTCTGTCTAAAGGAACGTTCAACTCTGTGAGTTGAATGCACCCAACACAAAGAAGTTACTGGGAATTCTTCTGTCTAGCCTTACATGGAAAAAGCCCGTATCCAATGAAGGACTCAAAGAGGTCAATATATCCACTTGCAGACTTTACAAGCAGAGTGTTTCCAAACTGCTGAATGAAAAGAAAAGTTAAACTCTGTGAGTTGAACGCACACATCACAGAGCAGTTTCTGAGAATGATTCTGTCTAGTTTTGAAACGAAGATATTTCCTTTTCTGCCTTTGGCCTCAAAGCGCTTGAAATCTCCACTTGCAAATTCCACAAAAAGAGTGTTTCAAATCTGCTCTGTGTAAATGAAAGTTCAACTCTGTGACTTGAACACACACAACACAAGGAAGTTACTGGGAATTCTTCTTTCTAGCAGAATATGAAGAAATCCCGTTTCCAACGAAAGCCTCAAAGATGTCTGAATATCCACTTGCAGACTTTACAAACAGAGTGTTTCCCAACTGCTCTATGAAAAGAAAGGTTAAACTCTGTGAGTTGAACGCACACATCACAAAGGAGTTTCTGAGAATCATTCTGTCTAGTTTTTATAGGAAGATATTTCCTTTTCTACCTTTGACTTGAAAGCGGCTGAAATCTCCACTTGCAAATTCCACAAAAAGAGTGTTACAAGTCTGCTCTGTCTAAGGGAACGTTCAACTCTGTGAGTGGAATGTACACAACACAAGGAAGTTACTGGGAATTCTTCTGTCTAGCAAAATATGAAGAAATCCCTTTTCCAACGAAGGCCACAAGATGTCAGAATATCCACTTACAGACTTTACAAACAGAGTGTTTCCTAACTGCTCTATGAACAGAAAGGTTAAACTCTGTGAGTTGAACGAACACATCACAACGCAGTTTGTGGGAATGATTCTGTCTAGTTTTGAAACGAAGATATTTCCTTTTTCTGCCGTTGACCTTAAAGCGCTTGAAATCTACACTTGCAAATTGCACAAATAGAGTGTTTCAAATCTGCTCTGTCTAAGGGAACGTTCAACTCTGTGAGTTGAATGCACACAACACAAGGAAGTTACTGGGAATTCTTCTGTCTAGCCTTACATGAAAAAAACCCGTTTCCAACGAAGGCCTCTAAGTGGTCAAAATATCCACGTGCAGACTTTACAAACAGAGTGTTTCCAAACCGCTGAATGAAAAGAAAAGTTAAACTCTGAGAGTTGAACGCACAGATCACGCAGCAGTTTCTGAGAATGATTCTGTCAAGTTTTTATACGAAGATATTTCCTTTTCTGCCTTTGGCCCCAAAGCGCTTGAAATCTCCACTTGCAAATTCCACAAAAACAGTGTTTCAAATCTGATCTCTCTAAATGAAAGATCAACTCTCTCAGTTGAATACACACAACACAAGGAAGTTACTGAGAATTCTTCTCTCTAGCAGAATATGAAGAAATCCCGTTTCCAACGATGGCCTCAAAGAGGTCTGAATATCCACTTGCAGACTTTACAAACAGAGTGTTTCCTAACTGCTCTATGAAAAGAAAGGTTAAACTCTGTGAGTTGAACGCACACATCACAAAGGAGTTTCTGAGAATCATTCTGTCTAGTCTTTATACGAAGATATTTACTTTTCTACCATTGACCTCAAAGCGGCTGAAATCTCCACTTGCAAATTCCACAAAAAGAGTGTTTCAAGTCTGCTCTGTGTAAAGGATCATTCAACCCTGTGAGTTGAATAAACACAACACAAGGAAGTTACTGAGAATTCTTCTGTCTAGCAGAATATGAAGAAATCCCGTTTCCAACGAAGGCCTCAAGGAGGTCTGAATATCCACTTGCACACTTTACAAACAGAGTGTTTCCTAACTGCTCTATGAGAAGAAAAGTTAAACTCTGTGAGTTGAACGCACACATCACAAAAGATTTTCTGAGAATCATTCTGTCTAGTTTTGAAACGAAGATATTTCCTTTTCTGCCATTGACCTTAAAGCGCTTCAAATCTCCACTTGCCAATTGCACAAAAAGAGTGTTTCAAATCTGCTCTGTCTAAGGGAACGTTCAACTCTGTGAGTTGAATGTACACAACACAAGGAAGTTACTGGGAATTATTCTGTCTAGCCTTACATGAAAAAAACCCGTTTCCAACGAAGGCCTCTAAGTGGTCAAAATATCTACGTGCAGACTTTACAGAGTGTTTCCAAACTGCTGAATGAAAAGAAAAGTTAAACTCTGAGAGTTGAACGCACACATCACAGAGCAGTTTCTGAGAATGATTCTGTCTAGTTTTTATACGAAGATATTTCCTTTTCTGCCTTTGGCCTCAAAGCGCTTGAAATCTCCACCTGCAAATTCCACAAAAAGAGTATTTCAAATCTGCTCTGTGTAAATGAAAGTTCAACTCTGTGAGTTGAACACACACAACACAAGGAAGTTACTGGGAATTCTTCTGTCTAGCCTTACATGAAAAAAACCCGTTTCCAACGAAGGCCTCAAAGAAGTCCAAATATCCACGTGCAGACTTTACAAACAGAGTGTTTCCTAATTGCTCTATGAAAAGAAAGGTTAAACTCTGTGGGTTGAACGCACACATCACAAAGGAGTTTCTGAGAATCATTCTGTCTAGTTTTTATACGAAGATATTTCCTTTTCTGCCTTTGACTTCAAAGCGGCTGAAATCTCCACTTGCAAATTCCACAAAAAGAGTGTTACAAGTCTGCTCTGTGTAAAGGATCGTTCAACTCTGTGAGTTGAATACACACAACACAAGGAAGTTACTGAGAATTCTTCTGTCTAGCAGAATATGAAGAAATCCCGTTTCCAACGAAGGCCACAAGATGTCAGAATATCCACTTACAGAATTGACAAACAGACTGTTTCCTAACTGCTCTATGAAAAGAAAGGTTAAACCCTGTGAGTTGAACGAACACATCACAACGCAGTTTGTGGGAATGATTCTGTCTAGTTTTGAAACGAAGATATTTCCTTTTCTGCCATTGACCTTAAAGCCCTTGAAATCTCCATTTGCCAATTGCACAAAAAGAGTGTTTCAAATCTGCTCTGTCTAAGGGAACGTTCAACTCTGTGAGTTGAATGTACACAACACAAGGAAGTTACTGGGAATTCTACTGTCTAGCCTTACAGGAAAAAAACCCGTTTCCAACGAAGGCCTCTAAGTGGTCAAAATATCCACGTGCAGACTTTACAAACAGAGTGTTTCCAAACTGCTGAATGAAAAGAAAAGTTAAACTCTGAGAGTTGAACGCACACATCGCAGAGCAGTTTCTGAGAATGATTCTGTCTAGTTTCTATAGGAAGATATTTCCTATTCTACCATTGACCTCAAAGCGGCTGAAATCTCCACTTGCAAATTCCACAAAAAGAGTGTTTCAAGTCTGCTCTGTGTAAAGGATCGTTGAAATCTGTGAGTTGAATACACACAACACAAGGAAGTTACTGAGAATTCTTCTGTCTAGCATAATATGAAGAAATCCCGTTTCCAACGAAGGCCTCAAGGAGGTGTGAATATCCACTTGCAGACTTTACAAACAGAGTGTTTCCTAACTGCTCTATGAAAAGAAAGGTTAAACTCTGTGAGTTGAACGCACACATCACAAAGGAGTTTCTGAGAATCATTCTGTCTAGTTTTTATACGAAGAGATTTCCTTTTCTACCATTGACCTCAACGCGGCTGAAATCTCCACTTGCAAATTTCACAAAAAGAGTGTTTCAATTCCGCTCTGTGTAAAGGATCGTTCAACTCTGTGAGTTGAATACACACAACACAAGGAAGATTCTGAGAATTCTTCTGTCTAGCACAGTATGAAGAAATCCCGTTTCCAACGAAGGCCTCAAAGAGGTCTGAATATCCACTTGCAGACATTACCAACAGAGTGTTTCCTAACTGCTCTATGAAAAGAAAGGTTAAACTCTGTGAGTTGAACACACACATCACAAAGGCGTTTCTGAGAATCATTCTGTCTAGTTTTGAAACCAAGATATTTCCTTTTCTGCCGTTGACCTTAAAGAGCTTGAAAACTACACTTGCAAATTGCACAAATAGAGTGTTTCAAATCTGCTCTGTCTAAGGGAACGTTCAACTCTGTGAGTTGAATGCACACAACACAAGGAAGTTACTGGGAATTCTTCTGTCTAGCCTTACAGGTAAAAAAACCCGTTTCCAACGAAGGCCTCTAAGTGGTCAAAATATCCACGTGCAGACTTTACAAACAGAGTGTTTCCAAACAGCTGAATGAAAAGAAAAGTTAAACTCTGAGAGTTGAACGCACACATCGCAGAGCAGTTTCTGAGAATGATTCTGTCTAGTTTTTATACGAAGATATATCCTTTTCTGCCTTGGCCTCAAAGCGCTTGAAATCTCCACTTGCAAATTCCACAAAAAGAGTGTTTCAAATCTGCTCTGTGTAAATGAAAGTTCAACTCTGTGAGTTGAACACACACAACACAAGGAAGTTACTGGGAATTCTTCTGTCTAGCAGAATATGAAGAAATCCCGTTTCCATCGAAGACCTCAAGGAGGTCTGAATATCCACTTGCAGACTTTAGAGAGTGTTTCCTAACTGCTCTATGAAAAGAAAGATTAAACTCTGTGAGTTGAACGCACACATCACAAAGGAGTTTCTGAGAATCATTCTGTCTAGTTTCTATAGGAAGATATTTCCTATTCTAACATTGAACTCAAAGCGGCTGAAATCTCCACTTGCAAATTCCACAAAAAGAGTGTTTCAAGTCTGCTCTGTGTAAAGGATCGTTCAACTCTGTGAGTTGAATACACACAACACAAGGAAGTTACTGAGAATTCTTCTGTCTAGCAGAATATGAAGAAATCCCGTTTCCAACGAAGGCCACAAGATGTCAGAATATCCACTTACAGAATTTACAAACAGAGTGTTTCCTAACTGCTCTATGAAAAGAAAGGTTAAACTCTGTGAGTTGAACTAACACATCACAACGCAGTTTGTGGGAATGATTCTGTCTAGTTTTGAAACGAAGATATTTCCTTTTCTGCCATTGACCTTAAGCGCTTGAAATCTCCACTTTCCAATTGCACAAAAAGAGTGTTTCAAATCTGCTCTGTCTAAGGGAACGTTCAACTCTGTGAGTTGAATGTACACAACACAAGGAAGTTACTGGGAATTATTCTGTCTAGCCTTACATGAAAAAAACCCGTTTCCAACGAAGGCCACTAAGTGGTCAAAATTTCCACGTGCAGACTTTACAAACAGAGTGTTTCCAAACCGCTGAATGAAAGGAAAAGTTAAACTCTGAGAGTTGAACGCACACATCACGCAGCAGTTTCTGAGAATGATTCTGTCTAGTTTTTATACGAAGATATTTCCTTTTCTGCCTTTGGCCCCAAAGCGCTTGAAATCTCCACTTACAAATTCCACAAAAACAGTGTTTCAAATCTGCACTCTCTAAATGATAGTTCAACTCTGTCAGTTGAATACACACAACACAAGAAAGTTACTGAGAATTCTTCTGTCTAGAATTACATGAAAAAAAACCCGTTTCCAACGAAGGCCTCAAAGAGGTGAAAATATCCACTTGCAGACTTTACAAACAGAGTGTTTCCTAACTGCTCTATGAAAGGAAAGGTTAAACTCTGTGAGTTGAACACCCATATCACAAAGGAGTTTCTGAGAATCATTCTGTCTAATTTTTATATGAAGATATTTCCTTTTCTATCATTGACATCAAAGCGGCTGAAATCTCCACTTGCAAATACCACAAAAAGAGTGTTTCAAATCTGCTCTGTGTAAATGAAAGTTCAACTCTGTCAGTTTAATACACACAACAAAAGGAAGTTACTGAGAATTCTTCTCTCTAGCCTTACATGAAAAAAACCCGTTTCCAACGAAGGCCTCAAAGAGGTTAAAATACCCACTTGCAGACTTTACAGAGTGTTTCCTAACAGCTCTATGAAAAGAAAGTTAAACTCTGTGAGTTGAACACCCACATCACAAAGGAGTTTCTGAGAATCATTCTGTCTAGTTTTTATACGAAGATATTTCCTTTTCTACCATTGACCTCAAAGCTGCTGAAATCACCACTTGCCAATTGCACAAAAAGAGTGTTTCAAATCTGCTCTGTCTAAGGGAACGTTCAACTCTGTGAGTTGAATGTACACAACACAAGGAAGTTCCTGGGAATTCTTCTGTCTAGCCTTACAGGAAAAAAGCCCGTTTCCAACGAAGGCCTCTAAGTGGTCAAAATATCCACGTGCAGACTTTACAAACAGAGTGTTTCCAAACTGCTGAATGAAAAGAAAAGTTAAACTCTGAGAGTTGAACGCACACATCGCAGAGCAGTTTCTGAGAATGATTCTGTCTAGTTTTTATACGAAGATATTTCCTTTTCTGCCTTTGGCCTCAAAGCGCTTGAAATCTCCATTTGCAAATTCCACAAAAAGAGTGTGTCAAATCTGCTCTGTGTAAATGAAAGTTCAACTCTGTGAGTTGAACACACACAACACATGGAAGTTACTGGGAAATCTTCTGTCTAGCATAATATGAAGAAATCCCGTTTCCAACGAAGGCCTCAAGGAGGTCTGAATATCCACTTGCAGACTTTACAAACAGAGTGTTTCCTAACTGCTCTATGAAAAGAAAGGTTAAACTCTGTGAGTTGAACGCACACATCGCAAAGTAGTTTCTGAGAATCATTCTGTCTAGTTTCTATATTAAGATATTTCCTATTCTACCATTGACCTCAAAGCGGCTGAAATCTCCACTTACAAATTCCACAAAAAGAGTGTTTCAAGTCTGCTCTCTGTAAAGGATCTTTCAACTCTGTGAGTTGAATACACACAACACAAGGAAGTTACTGAGAATTCTTCTGTCTAGCAGAATATGAAGAAATCCCGTTTCCAACGAAGGCCACAAGATGTAAGAATATCCACTTACAGACTTAACAAACAGAGTGTTTCCTAACTGCTCTATGAACAGAAAGGTTAAACTCTGTGAGTTGAACGAACACATCACAACGCAGTTTGTGGGAATGATTCTGTCTAGTTTTGAAACGAAGATATTTCCTTTTCTGCCATTGACCTTAAAGCGCTTGAAATCTACACTTGCAAATTGCACAAATAGAGTGTTTCAAATCTGCTCTGTCTAAGGGAACGTTCAATTCTGTGAATTGAATGCACACAACACAAGGAAGTTACTGGGAATTCTTCTGTCTAGCCTTACATGAAAAAAACCCGTTTCCAACGAAGGCCTCTACGTGGTCAAGTTATCCACGTGCAGACTTTACAAACAGAGTGTTTTCAAACTGCTGAATGAAAAGAAAAGTTAAACTCTGAGAGTTCAACGCACACATCGCAGAGCAGTTTCTGAGAATGATTCTGTCTAGTTTTTATACGAAGATATTTCCTTTTCTGCCTTTGGCCTCAAAGCGCTTGAAATCTCCACTTGCAAATTCCACAAAAAGAGTGTTTCAAATCTGCTCTGTGTAAATGAAAGTTCAACTCTGTGAGTTGAACACACACAACACAAGGAAGTTACTGGGAATTCCTCTGTCTAGCCTTATATGAAAAAAACCCGTTTCCAACGAAGACCTCAAAGAGGTCTGAATATCCACTTGCAGACTTTACAAACAGAGTGTTTCCTAACTGCTCTATGAAAAGAAAGGTTAAACTCTGTGAGTTGAACGCACACATCACAAAGGAGATTCTGAGAATCATTCTGTCTAGTTTTTATAGGAAGATATTTCCTTTTCTACCTTTGACTTCAAAGCGGCTGAAATCTCCACTTGCAAATTCCACAAAAAGAGTGTTACAAGTCTGCTCTGTGTAAAGGATCGTTCAACTCTATGAGTTGAATACACACAACACAAGGAAGTTACTGAGAATTCTTCTGTCTAGCAGAATATGAAGAAATCCCGTTTCCAACGAAGGCCTCAAGGAGGTCTGAATATCTACTTGCAGACTTTACAAACAGAGTGTTTCCTAACTGCTCTATGAAAAGAAAGGTGAAACTCTGTGAGTTGAATGCACACATCATAAAGGAGTTTATGAGAATCATTCTGCCTAGTTTTGAAACGAAGATATTTCCTTTTCTGCCGTTGACCTTAAAGCGCTTGAAATCTACACTTGCAAATTGCACAAATAGAGTGTTTCAAATCTGCTCTGTCTAAGGGAACGTTCAACTCTGTGAGTTGAATGCACACAACACAAGGAAGTTACTGGGAATTCTTCTGTCTAGCCTTACAGGAAAAAAACCCGTTTCCAACGTAGGCCTCTAAGTGGTCAAAATATCCACGTGCAGACTTTACAAACAGAGTGTTTCCAAACTGCTAAATGAAAAGAAAAGTTAAACTCTGAGAGTTGAACGCACACATCGCAGAGCAGTTTCTGAGAATGATTCTGTCTAGTTTCTATAAGAAGATATTTCCTATTCTACCATTGACCTCAAAGCGGCTGAAATCTCCACTTGCAAATTCCACAAAAAGAATGTTTCAAGTCTGCTCTGTGTAAACGATCGTTCAACTCTGTGAGTTGAATACACACAACACAAGGAAGTTACTGAGAATTCTTCTGTCTAGCATAATATGAAGAAATCCCGTTTCCAACGAAGGCCTCAAAGAGGTCTGATTATCCACTTGCAGACTTTAAAAACAGAGTGTTTCCTAACTGCTCTATGAAAAGAAAAGTTAAACTTTGTGACTTGAACGCACACATCACAAAGGAGTTTATGAGAATCATTCTGTCTAGTTTTTATAGGAAGATATTTCCTTTTCTACCTTTGACTTCAAAGCGGCTGAAATCTCCACTTGCAAATTCCACAAAAAGAGTGTTTCAAATCTGCTCTGTGTAAATGAAAGTTCAACTCTGTGAGTCGAACACACACAACACAAGGAAGTTACTGGGAATTCTTCTGTCTAGCCTTATATGAAAAAAACCCGTTTCCAACGAAGGCCTCAAAGAGGTCTGAATATCCACTTGCAGACTTTACAAACAGATTGTTTCCTAACTGCTCTATGAAAAGAAAGGTTAAACTCTGTGAGTTGAACACACACATCACAAAGGAGTTTCTGAGAATCATTCTGTCTAGTTTTGAAACGAAGATATTTCCTTTTCTGCCATTGACCTTAAAGCGCTTGAAATCTCCACTTGCCAAGTGCACAAAAAGAGTGTTTCAAATCTGCTCTGTCTAAGGGAACGTTCAACTCTGTGAGTTGAATGTACACAACACAAGGAAGTTACTGGGAATTCTTCTGTCTAGCCTTACAGGAAAAAAACCCGTTTCCAACGAAGGCCTCTAAGTGGTCAAAATATCCACGTGCAGACTTTACAAACAGAGTGTTTCCAAACTGCTGAATGAAAAGAAAAGTTAAACTCTGAGAGTTGAACGCACACATCGCAGAGCAGTTTCTTAGAATGATTCTGTCTAGTTTTTATACGAAGATATTTCGTTTTCTGCCTTTGGCCCCAAAGCGCTTGAAATCTCCACTTGCAAATTCCACAAAAACAGTGTTTCAAATCTGCTCTCTCTAAATGAAAGTTCAACTATGTCAGTTGAATACACACAACACAAGGAAGTTACTGAGAATTCTTCTCTCTAGCCTTATATGAAAAAAACCCGTTTCCAACGAAGGCCTCAAAGAGGTCTGAATATCCACTTGCAGACTTTACAAACAGAGTGATTCCTAATTGCTCTATGAAAAGAAAGGTTAAACTCTGTGAGTTGAACACACACATCTCAAAGGAGTTTCTGAGAATCATTCTGTCTAGTTTCTATAGGAAGATATTTCCTATTCTACCATTGACCTCAAAGCGGCTGAAATCTCCACTTGCAAATTCCAGAAAAAGAGTGTTTCAAGTCTGCTCTGTGTAAAGGATCGTTCAACTCTGTGAGTTGAATACACACAACACAAGGAAGTTACTGAGAATTCTTCAGTCTAGCAGAATATGAAGAAATCCCGTTTCCAACGAAGGCCTCAAAGAGGTCTGAATATCCACTTGCAGACTTAACAAACAGAGTGTTTCCTAACTGCTCTATGAAAAGAAAGGTTAAACTCTGTGAGTTGAACGCACACATCACAAAGGAGTTTCTCAGAATCATTCTGTCTAGTTTTTATACGAAGATATTTCCTATTCTACCATTGACCTCAAAGCGGCTGAAATCTCCAATTGCAAATTCCACAAAAAGAGTGTTTCAAGTCTGCTCTGTGTAAAGGATCGTTCAACTCTGTGAGTTGAATACACACAACACAAGGAAGCTACTGAGAATTCTTCTGTCTAGCATAATATGAAGAAAACCCGTTTCCAACGAAGGCCTCAAAGAGGTCTGAATATCCACTTGCAGACTTTACAAACAGAGTGTTTCCTAACTGCTCTATGAAAAGAAAGGTTGAACTCTGTGAGTTGAACGCACACATCACAAAGGAGTTTCTGAGAATCATTCTGTCTAGTTTTTATACGAAGATATTCCCTTTTCTACTATTGACCGCAAAGCGGCTGAAATCTCTACCTGCAAATTCGAGAAAAAGAGTGTTTCTAATCTGCTCTGTGTAAAGGATCGTTCAACTCTGTGAGTTGAATACACACAACACAAGGAAGTTACTGAGAATTCTTCTGTCTAGCATAATTTGAATAAATCCCGTTTCCAACGAGGGCCTCAAGGAGGTCTGAATATCCACTTGCAGACTTTACAAACAGAGTGTTTCCTAACTGCTCTATGAAAAGAAAGGTTAATCCCTGTGAGTTTAACGCACACATCACAAAGAACTTACTGAGAATCATTCTGTCTAGTTTTTATACGAAGATATTTCCTTTTCTACCTTTGACTTCAAAGCGGCTGAAATCTCCACTTGCAAATTCCACAAAAAGAGTGTTTCAAGTCTGCTCTGTGTAAAGGATCGTTCAACTCTGTGAGTTGAATACACACAACACAAGGAAGTTACTGAGAATTCTTCTGTCTAGCAGAATATGAAGAAATCCCGTTTCCAACGAAGGCCACAAGATGTCAGAATATCCACTTACAGAATTTACAAACAGACTGTTTCCTAACTGCTCAATGAAAAGAAAGGTTAAACTCTGTGAGTTGAACGAACACATCACAACGCAGTTTGTGGGAATGATTCTGTCTAGTTTTGAAACCAAGATATTTCCTTTTCTGCCGTTGACCTTAAAGAGCTTGAAAACTACACTTGCAAATTGCACAAATAGAGTGTTTCAAATCTGCTCTGTCTAAGGGAACGTTCAACTCTGTGAGTTGAATGCACACAACACAAGGTAGTTACTGGGAATTCTTCTGTCTAGCCTTACATGATAAAAACCCGTTTCCAACGAAGACCTCTAAGTGGTCAAATTATCCACGTGCAGACTTTACAAACAGAGTGTTTCCAAACTGCTGAATGAAAAGATAAGTTAAACTCTGAGAGTTGAATGCACACATCGCAGAGCAGTTTCTGAGAATGATTCTGTCTAGTTTTTATACGAAGATATTTCCTTTTCTGCCTTTGGCTTCAAAGCGCTTGAAATCTCCACTTGCAAATTCCACAAAAAGAGTGTTTCAAATCTGCTCTGTGTAAATGAGAGTTCAACTCTGTGAGTTGAACACACACAACACAAGGAAGTTACTGGGAATTCTTCTGTCTAGCAGAATATGAAGAAATCCCGTTTCCAACGAAGGCCTCAAAGAGGTCTGAATATCCACTTGCAGACTTTACAAACAGAGTGTTTCCTAACTGCTCTATGAAAAGAATGGTTAAACTCTGTGAGTTGAACGCACACATCACAAAGGAGTTTCTGTGAATCATTCTGTCTAGTTTTTATACGAAGATATTTCCTTTTATACCATTGACCTCAAAGCGGCTGAAATCTCCACTTGCAAATTCCACAAAAAGAGTGTTTCAAGTCTGCTCTGCGTAAAGGATCGTTCAACTCTGTGAGTTGAAAACACACAACACAAGGAAGTTTCTGAGAATTCTTCTGTCTAGCAGAATATGCAGAAATCCCGTTTCCAACGAAGGCCACAAGATGTCAGAATATCCACTTACAGACTTTACAAACAGAGTGTTTCCTAACTGCTCTATGAACAGAAAGGTTAAACTCTGTGAGTTGAACGAACACTTCACAACGCAGTTTGTGGGAATGATTCTGTCTAGTTTTGAAACGAAGATATTTCCTTTTCTGCCATTGACCTTAAAGCGCTTGAAATCTACACTTGCAAATTGCACAAATAGAGTGTTTCAAATCTGCTCTGTCTAAGGGAACGTTCAACTCTGTGAGTTGAATGCACACAACACAAGGAAGTTTCTGGGAATTCTTCTGTCTAGCCTTACAGGAAAAAAACCCGTTTCCAACGAAGGCCTCTAAGTGGTCAAAATATCCACGTGCAGACTATACAAACAGAGTGTTTCCAAACTGCTGAATGAAAAGAAAAGTTAAACTCTGAGAGTTGAACGCACACATCGCAGAGCAGTTTCTGAGAATGATTCTGTCTAGTTTTTATACGAAGATATTTCCTTTTCTGCCTTTGGCCTCAAAGCGCTTGAAATCTCCACTTGCAAATTCCACAAAAAGAGTGTTTCAAATCTGCTCTGTGTACATCAAAGTTCAACTCTGTGAGTTGAACACACACAACACAAGGAAGTTACTGGGAATTCTTCTGTCTAGCAGAATATGAAGAAATCCCGTTTCCAACGAAGGCCTCAAAGAGGTCTGAATATCCACTTGCAGACTTTACAAACAGAGTGTTTCCTAACTGCTCTATGAAAAGAAATGTTAAATTCTGTGAGTTGAACGCACACATCACAAAGGAGTTTCTGAGAATCATTCTGTCTAGTTTCTATAGGAAGATATTTCCTATTCTACCATTGACCTCAAATCGGCTGAAATCTCCACTTGCAAATTGCACAAAAAGAGTGTTTCAAGTCTGCTCTGTGTAAAGGATCGTTCAACTCTGTGAGTTGAATACACACAACACAAGGAAGTTACTGAGAATTATTCTGTCTAGCATAATATGAAGAAATCCCGTTTCCAAAGAAGGCCTCAAAGAGGTCTGAATATCCACTTGCAGACTTTACAAACAGAGTGTTTCCTAACTGCTCTATGAAAAGAAAAGTTAAACTCTGTGATTTGAACGCACACATCACAAAGGAGTTTATGAGAATCATTCTGTCTAGTTTTGAAACGAAGATATTTCCTTTTCTGCCATTGACTTTAAAGCGCTTGAAATCTACACTTGCAAATTGCACAAATAGAGTGTTTCAAATCTGCTCTGTCTAAGGGAACGTTCAACTCTGTGAGTTGAATGCACACAACACAAGGAAGTTACTGGGAATTCTTCTGTCTAGCCTTACATGAAAAAAACCCGTTTCCAACGAAGGCCTCTAAGTGGTCAAATTATCCACGTGCAGACTTTACAAACAGAGTGTTTCCAAACTGCTGAATGAACAGAAAAGTTAAGCTCTGAGAGTTGAACGCACACATCACAGAGCAGTTTCTGAGAATGATTCTGTCTAGTTTTGAAACGAAGATATTTCCTTTTCTGCCTTTGGCCTCAAAGCCCTTGAAATCTCCATTTGCAAATTCCACAAAAAGAGTGTTTCAAATCTGCTCTGTGTAAATGAAAGTTCAACTCTGTGAGTTGAATACACACAACACAAGGAAGTTACTGAGAATTCTTCTTTCTAGCAGAATATGAAGAAAACCCGTTCCCAACGAAAGCCTCAAGGATGTCTGAATATCCACTTGCAGACTTTACAAACAGAGTGTTTCCTAACTGCTCTATGAAAAGAAAGGTTAAACTCTGTGAGTTGAACGCACACATCACAAAGGAGTTTCTGAGAATCATTCTGTCTAGTTTTTATACGAAGATATTTCCTTTTCTACCATGGACCTCAAAGCGGCTGAAATCTCCACTTGCAAATTCCACAAAAAGACTGTATCAAGTCTGCTCTGTGTAAAGGATCGTTCAACTCTGTGAGTTGAATACACACAACACAAGGAAGATTCTGAGAATTCTTCTGTCTAGCAGAATATGAAGAAATCCCGTTCCCAACGAAGGCCACAAGATGTCAGAATATCCACTTACAGACTTTACAAACAGAGTGTTTCCTAACTGCTCTATGAACAGAAAGGTTAAACTCTGTGAGTTGAACGAACACATCACAACGCAGTTTGTGGGAATGATTCTGTCTAGTTTTGAAACCAAGATATTTCCTTTTCTGCCGTTGACCTAAAAGAGCTTGAAAACTACACTTGCAAATTGCACAAATAGAGTGTTTCAAATCTGCTCTGTCTAAGGGTACGTTCAACTCTGTGAGTTGAATGCACACAACACAAGGAAGTTACTGGGAATTCTTCTGTCTAGCCTTACATGAAAAAAACCCGTTTCCAACGAAGGCCTCTAAGTGGTCAAATTATCCACGTGCAGACTTTACAAACAGAGTGTTTCCAAACTGCTAAATGAAAAGAAAAGTTAAACTCTGAGAGTTGAACGCACACATCGCAGAGCAGTTTCTGAGAATGATTCTGTCTAGTTTTGAAACGAAGATATTTCCTTTTCTGCCTTTGGCCTCAAAGCGCTTGAAATCTCCACTTGCAAATTCCACAAAAGAGTGTTGCAAATCTGCTCTGTGTAAATGAAAGTTCAACTCTGTGAGTTGAACACACACAACACAAGGAAGTTACCGGGAATTCTTCTGTCTAGCAGAATATGAAGAAATCCCGTTTCCAACGAAGGCCTCAAGGAGGTCTGAATATCCACTTGCAGACTTTACAAACACAGTGTTTCCTAACTGCTCTATGAACAGAAAGGTTAAACTCTGTGAGTTGAACGCACACATCACAAAGGAGTTTCTGAGAATCATTCTGTCTAGTTTCTATAGGAAGATATTTCCTATTCTACCATTGACCTCAAAGCGGCTGAAATCTCCACTTGCAAATTCCACAAGAAGAGTGTTTCAAGTATGCTCTGTGTAAAGGATCGTTCAACCCTGTGAGTTGAATACACACAACACAAGGAAGTTACTGAGAGTTCTTCTGTCTAGCAGAATATGAAGAAATCCCGTTTCCAACGAAGGCCTCAAAGAGGTCTGAATATCCACTTGCAGACTTTACAAACAGAGTGTTTCCTAACTACTCTATGAAAAGAACGGTTAAACTCTGTGAGTTGAACGCACACATCACAAAGGAGTTTCTGAGAATCATTTTCTGTCTAGTTTTGAAACGAAGATATTTCCTTTTCGGCCATTGACCTCAACGCGCTTGAAATCCCCACTTGCCAATTGCACAAAAAGAGTGTTTCAAATCTGCTCTGTCTAAGGGAACGTTCAACTCTGTGAGTTGAATGTACACAACACAAGGAAGTTACTGGGAATTCTTCTGTCTAGCCTTACAGGAAAAAAACCCGTTTCCAAAGAAGGCCTCTAAGTGGTCAAAATATCCACGTGCAGACTTTACAAACAGAGTGTTTCCAAACTGCTGAATGAAAAGAAAAGTTAAACTCTGAGAGTTGAACGCACACATTGCAAAGCAGTTTCTGAGAATGATTCTGTCTAGTTTTTATACGAAGATATTTCCTTTTCTAACTTTGGCCTCAAAGCGCTTGAAATCTCCACTTGCAAATTCCACAAAAAGAGTGTTTCAAATCTGCTCTGTGTAAATGAAAGTTCAACTCTGTGAGTTGAACACACACAACACAAGGAAGTTACTGGGAATTCTTCTCTCTAGCAGAATATGAAGAAATCCCGTTTCCAACGAAGGCCTCAAAGAGGTCTGAATATCCACTTGCAGACTTTACAAACAGAGTGTTTCCTAACTGCTCTATGAAAAGAAAGGTTAAACTCTGTGAGTTGAACGCACACATCACAAAAGAGTTTCTGAGAATCATTCTGTCTAGTTTTTCCACGAAGATATTTCCTTTTCTACTACTGACCTCAAAGCGGCTGAAATCTCCACTTGCAAATTCTACAAATAGAGTGTTTCAAGTCTGCTCTGTGTAAAGGATCGTTCAACTCTGTGAGTTGAATACACACAACACAAGAAAGTTACTGAGAATTCTTCTGTCTAGCAGAATATGAAGAAATCCCGTTTCCAACGAAGGCCACAAGATGTCAGAATATCCACTTACAGAATTGACAAACAGACTGTTTCCTAACTGCTCTATGAAAAGAAAGGTTAAACTCTGTGAGTTGAACGCACACATCACAAAGAAGTGTCTGAGAATCATTCTGTCTAGTTTTGAAACCAAGATATTTCCTTTTCTGCCGTTGACCTTAAAGAGCTTGAAAACTACACTTGCAAATTGCACAAATAGAGTGTTTCAAATCTGCTCTGTCTAAGGGAACGTTCAACTCTGTGAGTTGAATGCACACAACACAAGGAAGTTACTGGGAATTCTTCTGTCTAGCCTTACAGGAAAAAAACCCGTTTCCAACGAAGTCCTCTAAGTGGTCAAGTTATCCACGTGCAGACTTTACAACCAGAGTGTTTCCAAACTGCTGAATGAAAAGAAAAGTTAAACTCTGAGAGTTGAACGCACACATCGCAGAGCAGTTTCTGAGAATGATTCTGTCTAGTTTTGAAACGAAGATATTTCCTTTTCTGCCTTTGGCCTCAAAGCGCTTGAAATCTTCATTTGCAAATTCCACAAAAAGAGTGTTTCAAATCTGCTCTGTGTAAATGAAAGTTCAACTCTGTGAGTTGAACACACACAACACAAGGAAGTTACTGGGAATTCCTCTGTGTAGCATAATATGAAGAAGTCCCGTTTCCAACGAAGGCCTCAAGGAGGTCTGAATATCCACTTGCAGACTTTACAAACAGAGTGTTTCCTAACTGCTCTATGAAAAGAAAGGTTAAACTCTGTGAGTTGAATGCACACATCACTAAAGGAGTTTCTGAGAATCATTCTGTCTACTTTCTATAGGAAGATATTTCCTATTCTACCATTGACCTCAAAGCGGCTAAAATCTCCACTTGCAAATTCCACAAAAGGAGTGTTTCAAGTCTGCTCTGTGTAAAGGATCGTTCAACTCTGTGAGTTGAAAACACACAACACAAGGAAGTTTCTGAGAATTCTTCTGTCTGGCAGAATATGTAGAAATCCCGTTTACAACGAAGGCCACAAGATGTCAGAATATCCACTTACAGAATTTACCAACAGAGTGTTTCCTAACTGCTCTATGAAAAGAAAGGTTAAACTCTGTGAGTTGAACGAACACATCACAACGCAGTTTGTGGGAATGATTCTGTCTAGTTTTGAAAGTAAGATATTTCCTTTTCTGCCATTGACCTTAAAGCGCTTGAAATCTCCACTTGCTAATTGCACAAAAAGAGTGTTTCAAATCTGCTCTGTCTAAGGGAACGTTCAACTCTGTGAGTTGAATGTACACAACACAAGGAAGTTACTGGGAATTCTTCTGTCTAGCCTTACAGGAAAGAAACCCGTTTCCAACGAAGGCCTCTAAGCGGTCAAAATATCCACGTGCAGACTTTACAAACAGAGTGTTTCCAAACTGCTGAATGAAAAGCAAAGTTAAACTCTGAGAGTTGAACGCACACATCGCAGAGCAGTTTCTGAGAATGATTCTGTCTAGTTTTTATACGAAGATATTTCCTTTTCTGCCTTTGGCCTCAAAGCGCTTGAAATCTCCATTTGCAAATTCCACAAAAAGAGTGTTTCAAATCTGCTCTGACTAAATGAAAGTTCAACTCTGTGAGTTGAACACACACAACACAAGGGAAGTTACTGGGAATTCTTCTTTCTAGCAGAATATGAAGAAATCCCGTTTCCAACGAAAGCCTCAAGGAGGTCTGAATATCCACTTGCAGACTTTACAAACAGAGTGTTTCCCAACTGCTCTATGAAAAGAAAGGTTAAACTCTGTGAGTTGAACGCACACATCACAAAGGAGTTTCTGAGAATCATTCTGTCTAGTTTCTATAGGAAGATATTTCCTATTCTACCATTGACCTCAAAGCGGCTGAAATCTCCACTTGCAAATTCCACAAAAAGAGTGTTTCAAGTCTGCTCTGTGTAAAGGATCGTTCAACTCTGTGAGTTGAATACACACAACACAAGGAAGTTACTGGGAATTCTTCTGTGTAGCAGAATATGAAGAAATCCCGTTTCCAACGAAGGCCACAAGATGTCAGAATATCCACTTACAGACTTCACAAACAGAGTGTTTCCTAACTGCTCTATGAAGAGAAAGGTTAAACTCTGTGAGTTGAACGAACACATCACAACGCAGTTTGTGGTAATGATTCTGTCTAGTTTTTATACGAAGATATTTCCTTTTCTACCATTGACCCCAAAGCGGCTGAAATAACCACTTGCCAATTGCACAAAAAGAGTGTTTCAAATCTGTTCTGTCTAAGGGAACGTTCAACTCTGTGAGTTGAATGTCCACAACACAAGGAAGTTACTGGGAATTCTTCTGTCTAGCCTTACATGAAAAAAACCCGTTTCCAACGAAGGCCTCTAAGTGGTCAAGTTATCCACGTGCAGACTTTACAAAGAGAGAGTTTCCAAACTGCTGAATGAAAAGAAAAGTTAAACTCTGAGAGTTAAACGCACACATCGCACAGCAGTTTCTGAGAATGATTCTGTCTAGTTTTTATACGAAGATATTTCCTTTTCTGCCTTTGGCCTCAAAGCGCTTGAAATCTCCACTTGCAAATTCCACAAAAAGAGTGTTTCCAATCTGCTCTGTGTAAATGAAAGTTCAACTCTGTGAGTTGAACACACACAACACAAGGAAGTTACTGGGAATTCTTCTGTCTAGCAGAATATGAAGAAATCCCGTTTCCAACGAAGGCCTCAAAGAGGTCTGAATATCCACTTGCTGACTTTACAAACAGAGTGTTTCCTAACTGCTCTATGAAAAGAAAGGTTAAACTCTGTGAGTTGAACGCACACATCACAAAGGAGTTTCTGAGAATCATTCTGTCTAGTTTCTATAGGAAGATATTTCCTATTCTACCATTGAACCCAATGCGGCTGAAATCTCCACTTGCAAATTCCACAAAAAGAGTGTTTCAAGTCTGCTCTGTGTAAAGGATCGTTCAACTCTGTGAGTTGAATACACACAACACAAGGAAATTACTGAGAATTCTTCTGTCTAGCATAATATGAAGAAATCCCGTTTCCAATGAAGGCCTCAAAGGGGTCTGAATATCCAGTTGCAGACTTTATAAACAGAGTGTTTACTAACTGCTCTATGAAAAGAAAGGTTAAACTCTGTGAGGTGAACACACACATCACAAAGGAGTTTCTGAGAATCATTCTGTCTAGTTTTTCTACGAAGATATTTCCTTTTCTACTATTGACCTCAAAGCGGCTGAAATCTCCAATTGCAAATTCCACAAAAAGAGTGTTTCAAGTCTGCTCTGTGTAAAGGATCGTTCAACTCTGTGAGTTGAATACACACAACACAAGGAAGTTACTGAGAATTCTTCTGTCTTGCAGAATATGAAGAAATCCCGTTTCCAACGAAGGCCACAAGATGTCAGAATATCCACTTACAGACTTTACAAACAGAGTGTTTCCTAACTGCTCTATGAACTGAAAGGTTAAACTCTGTGAGTTGAACGAACACATCACAACGCAGTTTGTGGGAATGATTCTGTATAGTTTTGAAACGAAGATATTTCCTTTTCTGCCGTTGACCTTAAAGCGCTTGAAATCTACACTTGCAAATTGCACAAATAGAGTGTTTCAAATCTGCTCTGTCTAAGGGAACGTTCAACTCTGTGAGTTGAATGCACACAACACAAGGAAGTTACTGGGAATTCTTCTGTCTAGCCTTACATGAAAAAATCCCGTTTCCAACGAAGGCCTCTAAGTGGTCAAAATATCCACGTGCAGACTTTACAAACAGAGTGTTTCCAAACCGCTGAATGAAAAGAAAAGTTAAACTCTGAGAGTTGAACGCACACATCACGCAGCAGTTTCTGAGAATGATTCTGTCTAGTTTCTATAGGAAGATATTTCCTATTCTACCATTGACCTCAAAGCGGCTGAAATCTCCACTTGCAAATTCCACAAAAAGAGTGTTTCAAGTCTGCTCTGTGTAAAGGATCGTTCAACTCTGTGAGTTGAATACACACAACACAAGGAAGTTATTGAGAATTCTTCTGTCTACAATAATATGAAGAAATCCCGTTTCCAACGAAGGCATCAAGGAGGTCTGAATATCCACTTGCAGACTTTACAAACAGAGTGTTTCCTAACTGCTCTATGAAAAGAAAGGGTAAACTCTGTGAGTTGAACGCACACATCACAAAGGAGTTTCTGAGAATCATTCTGTCTAGTTTTTATACGAAGATATTTCCTTTTCTACAATTGACCTCAAAGCGGCTGAAATCTCCACTTGCAAATTCCACAAAAAGAGTGTTTCAAGTCTGCTCTGTGTAAAGGATCGTTGAACTCTCTGAGTTGAATACACACAACACAAGGAAGTTCCTGAGAATTCTTCTTTCTAGCAGAATATGAAGAAATCCCGTTTCCAACGAAAGCCTCAAGGATGTCTGAATATCCACTTGCAGACATTACAAACAGAGTGTTTCCTAACAGCTCTATGAAAAGAAAGGTTAAACTCTGTGAGTTGAACGCACACATCACAAAGGAGTTTCTGAGAATCATTCTGTCTAGTTTCTATAGGAAGATATTTCCTATTCTACCATTGACCTCAAAGCGGCTGAAATCTCCACTTGCAAATTCCACAAAAAGAGTGTTTCAAGTCTGCTCTGTGTAAAGCGTCATTGAACTCTGTGAGTTGAATACACACAACACAAGGAGGTTTCTGAGAATTCTTCTGTCTAGCATAGTATGAAGAAATCCCGTTTCCAACAAAGGCCTCAAAGAGGTCTGAATATCCACTTGCAGAGTTTATAAACAGAGTGTTTCCTAACTGCTCTATGAAAAGAAAGGTTAAACTCTGTGAGTTGAACGAACACATCACAACGCAGTTTGTGGGAATGATTCTGTCTAGTTTTGAAACGAAGATATTTCCTTTTCTGCCATTGACCTTAAAGCGCTTGAAATCTACACTTGCAAATTGCGCAAATAGAGTGTTTCAAATCTGCTCTGTCTAAGGGAACGTTCAACTCTGTGAGTTGAATGCACACAACACAAGGAAGTTACTGGGAATTCTTCTGTCTAGCCTTATATGAAAAAAACCCGTTTCCAAAGAAGGCCACAAAGAGGTCTGAATATCCACTTGCAGACCTTACAAACAGAGTGTTTCCAAACTGCTGAATGAAAAGAAAAGTTAAACTCTGAGAGTTGAACGCACACATCGCAGAGCAGTTTCTGAGAATGATTCTGTCTAGTTTTTATACGAAGATATTTCCTTTTCTGCCTTTGGCCCCAAAGCGCTTGAAATCTCCAGTTGCAAATTCCACAAAAACAGTGTTTCAAATCTGCTCTCTCTAAAAGAAAGTTCAACTCTGTCAGTTGAATACACACAACACAAGGAAGTTACTGAGAATTCCTCTCTCTAGCAGAATATGAAGAAATCCCGTTTCCAACGATGGCCTCAAAGAGGTCTGAATATCCACTTGCAGACTTTACAAACAGAGTGTTTCCTAACTGCTCGATGAAAAGAAAGGTTAAACTCTGTGAGTTGAACGCACACATCACAAAGGAGTTTCTGAGAATCATTCTGTCTAGTCTTTATACGAAGATATTTACTTTTATACCATTGACCTCAAATCGGCTGAAATCTCCACTTGCAAATTCCACAAAAAGAGTGTTTCAAGTCTGCTCTGTGTAAAGGATCATTCAACTCTGTGAGTTGAATAAACACAACACAAGGAAGTTACTGAGAATTCTTCTGTCTAGCAGAATATGAAGAAATCCCGTTTCCAACGAAGACCTCAAGGAGGTCTGAATATCCACTTGCAGACTTTAGAGAGTGTTTCCTAACTGCTCTATGAAAAGAAAGGTTAAACTCTGTGAGTTGAACGCACACATCACAAACGAGTTTCTGAGAATCATTCTGTCTAGTTTTGAAACGAAGGTATTTCCTTTTCTGCCATTGACCTTAAAGCGCTTGAAATCTCCACTTGCCAATTTCACAAAAAGAGTGTTTCAAATCTGCTCTGTCTAAGGGAACGTTCAACTCTGTGAGTTGAATGTACACAACACAAGGAAGTTACTGGGAATTCTTCTGTCTAGCCTTACATGAAAAAAACCCGTTTCCAACGAAGGCCTCTAAGTGGTCAAAATATCCACGTGCAGACTTTACAAACAGAGTGTTTCCAAACTGCTGAATGAAAAGAAAAGTTAAACTCTGAGAGTTGAACGCATACATCGCACAGCAGTTTCTGAGAATGATTCTGTCTAGTTTTTATACGAAGATATTTCCTTTTCTGCGTTTGGCCCCAAAGCGCTTGAAATCTCCAATTGCAAATTACACAAAAACAGTGTTTCAAATCTGCTCTCTCTAAATGAAAGTTCAACTCTGTCAGCTGAATACACACAACACAAGGAAGTTACTGAGAATTCTTCTGTCTACGCATAATATGAAGAAATCCCGTTTCCAACGAAGGCCTCAAAGAGGTCTGAATATCCACTTGCAGACTTTACAAACAGAGTGTTTCCTAACGGCTCTATGAAAAGAAAAGTTAAACTCTGTGAGTTGAACGCACACATCACAAAGGAGTTTCTGAGAATCATTCTGTCTAGTTTCTATAGGAAGATATTTCCTATTCTACCATTGACCTCAAAGCGGCTGAAATCTCCACTTGCAAATTCCACAAAAAGAGTGTTTCAAGTCTACTCTGTGTAAAGGATCGTTCAACTCTGTGAGTTGAATACACACAACACAAGGAAGTTACTGAGAATTCTTCTGTCTAGCACAATATGAAGAAATCCCGTTTCCAACGAAGGCCACAAGATGTCAGAATATCCACTTACAGACTTTACAAACAGAGTGTTTCCTAACTGCTCTATGAACAGAAAGGTTAAACTCTGTGAGTTGAACGAACACATCACAACGCAGTTTGTGGGAATGATTCTGTCTAGTTTTGAAACGAAGATATTTCCTTTTCTGCCATTGACCTTAAAGCGCTTGAAATCTACACTTGCAAATGGCACAAATAGAGTGTTTCAAATCTGCTCTGTCTAAGGGATCTTTCATCTCTGTGAGTTGAATGCACACAACACAAGGAAGTTACTGGGAATTCTTCTGTCTAGCCTTACATGAAAAAAACCCGTTTCCAACGAAGGCCTCTAAGGGGTCAAAATATCCACGGGCAGACTTCACAAACAGAGTGTTTCCAAACCGCTGAATGAAAAGAAAAGTTAAACTCTGAGAGTTGAACGCACACATCACGCAGCAGTTTCTGAGAATGATTCTGTCTAGTTTTGAAACGAAGATATTTCCTTTTCTGCCTTTGGCCTCAAAGCGCTTGAAATCTCCATTTGCAAATTCCACAAAAAGAGTGTTTCAAATCTGCTCTGTGTAAATGAAAGTTCAATTCTGTGAGTTGAACACACACAACACAAGGAAGTTACTGGGAATTCTTCTGTCTAGCAGAATATGAAGAAATCCCGTTTCCAACGAAGGCCTCAAGGAGGTCTGAATATCCACTTGCAGACTTTACAAACAGAGTGTTTCCTAACTGCTCTATGAACAGAAAGGTTAGACTCTGTGAGTTGAACGCACACATCACAAAGGAGTTTATGGGAATCATTCTGTCTAGTCTTTATACGAAGACATTTCCTTTTCTACCATTGACCTCAAAGCGGCTGAAATCTCCACTTGCGAATTCCACAAAAAGAGTGTTTCAAGTCTGCTCTCTGTAAAGGATCGTTCAACTCTGTGAGTTGAATACACACAACACAAGGAAAGTTACTGAGAATTATTCTGTCTAGCATAATATGAAGAAATCCCGTTTCCAACGAAGGCCTCAAAGAGGTCTCAATATCCACTTGCAGACTTTACAAACAGAGTGTTTCCTAACTGCTCTATGAAAAGAAAAGTTAAACTCTGTGAGTTGAACGCACACATCACAAAGGAGTTTCTGAGAATCATTCTGTCTAGTTTTGAAAGGAAGATATTTCCTTTTCTGCCGTTGACCTTAAAGCGCTTGAAATCTACACTTGCAAATTGCACAAATAGGCTGTTTCAAATCTGCTCTGTCTAAGGGAACGTTCAACTCTGTGAGTTGAATGCACACAACACAAGGAAGTTACTGGGAATTCTTCTGTCTAGCCTTACATGAAAAAAACCCGTTTCCAACGAAGGCCTCTAAGCGGTCAAATTATGCACGTGCAGACTTGACAAACAGAGTGTTTCCAAACTGCTGAATGAAAAGAAAAGTTAAACTCTGAGAGTTGAACGCACACATCGCAGAGCAGTTTCTGAGCATGATTCTGTCTAGTTTTTATACGAAGATATTTCCTTTTCTGCCTTTGGCCTCAAAGCGCATGAAATCTACCTTTGCAAATTCCACAAAAAGAGTGTTTCAAATCTGCTCTGTCTAAATGAAAGTTCAACTCTGTCAGTTGAATACACACAACACAAGGAAGTTACTGAGAATTCTTCTGTCTAGCAGAATATGAAGAAATCCCGTTTCCAACGAAGGCCTCAAAGGGGTCTGAATATCCACTTGCAGACTTTACAAACAGAGTGTTTCCTAACTGCTCCATGAGAAGAAAAGTTAAACTCTGTGAGTTGAACGCACACATCACAAAAGATTTTCTGTGAATCATTCTGTCTAGTTTTTATACGAAGAGATTTCCTTTTCTACCATTGACCTCAACGCGGCTGAAATCTCCAATTGCAAATTCCACAAAAAGAGTGTTTCAAGTCCGCTCTGTGTAAATGAAAGTTCAACTCTGTCAGTTGAATACACACAACACAAGGAAGTTACTGAGAATTCTTCTGTCTAGCAGAATATGAAGAAATCCCGTTTCCAACGAAGGCCACAAGGATGTCAGAATATCCACTTTCATACTTTACAAACAGAGTGTTTCCTAACTGCTCTATGAACAGAAAGGTTAAACTCTGTGGGTTGAACGAACACATCACAACGCAGTTTGTGGGAATGATTCTGTCTAGTTTTGAAACGAAGATATTTCCTTTTCTGCCATTGACCTTAAAGCGCTTGAAATCTACACTTCCAAATTGCACAAATAGAGTGTTTCAAATCTGCTCTGTCTAAGGGAACGTTCAACTCTGTGAGTTGAATGCACACAACACAAGGAAATTACTGGGAATTCTTCTGTCTAGCCTTACATGCAAAAAACCCGTTTCCAACGAAGGCCTCTAAGTGGTCAATATATCCACGTGCAGACTTTACAAACAGAGTGTTTCCAAACCGCTGAATGAAAAGAAAAGTTAAACTCTGAGAGTTGAACGCACACATCACGCAGCAGTTTCTGAGAATGATTCTGTCTAGTTTTTATACGAAGATATTTCCTTTTCTGCCTTTGGCCCCAAAGCGCTTGAAATCTCCACTTACAAATTCCACAAAAACAGTGTTTCAAATCTGCACTCTCTAAATGATAGTTCAACTCTGTCAGTTGAATACACACAACACAAGGAAGTTACTGAGAATTATTCTGTCTAGCATAATATGAAGAAATCCCCTTTCCAACGAAGGCCTCAAGGAGGTCTGAATATCCACTTGCAGACTTTACAAACAGAGTGTTTCCTAACTGCTCTATGAAAAGAAAGGTTTAACTCTGTGAGTTGAACGCACACATCACAAAGGAGTTTGTGAGAATCATTCTGTCTAGTTTCTATAGGAAGATATTTCCTATTCTACCATTGACCTCAAAGCGGCTGAAATCTCCACTTGCAAATTCCACAAAAAGAGTGTTTCAAGTCTGCTCTGTGTAAAGGATCGTTCAACTCTGTGAGTTGAATACACACAACATAAGGAAGTTACTGAGAATTATTCTGTCTAGCAGAATATGAAGAAATCCCGTTTCCAACGAAGGCCACAAGATGTCAGAATATCCACTTACAGAATTTACAAACAGACTGTTTCCTAACAGCTCTATGAAAAGAAAAGTTAAACTCTGTGATTTGAACGAACACATCACAACGCAGTTTGTGGGAATGATTCTGTCTAGTTTTGAAACCAAGATATTTCCTTTTCTGCCGTTGACCTTAAAGAGCTTGAAAACTACACTTGCAAATTGCACAAATAGAGTGTTTCAAATCTGCTCTGTGTAAAGTATCGTTCAACTCTGTGAGTTGAATACACACAACACAAGGAAGTTACTGAGAATTCTTCTGTCTAACCTTTCATGCAAAAAACCCGTTTCCAACGAAGGCCTCTAAGTGGTCAAAATATCCACGTGCAGACTTTACAAACAGACTGTTTCCAAACCGCTGAATGAAAAGAAAAGTTAAACTCTGAGAGTTGAACGCACACATCACGCAGCAGTTTCTGAAAATGATTCTGTCTAGTTTTTATACGAAGATATTTCCTTTTCTGCCCTTGGCCCCAAAGCGCGTGAAATGTCCTCTTGCAAATTCCACAAAAACAGTGTTTCAAATCTGCTCTCTCTAAATGAAAGTTCAACTCTGTGAGTTGAATACACACAACACAAGGAAGTTACTGAGAATTCTTCTGTCTAGCAGAATATGAAGAAATCCCATTTCCAACGAAGGCCTCAAGGAGGTCTGAATATCCACTTGCAGACTTTAACAACACAGTGTTTCCTAACTGCTCTATGAAAAGAAAGGTTAAACTCTGTGAGTTGAACGCACACATCACAAAGGAGTTTCTGACAATCATTCTGTCTAGTCTTTATACGAAGATATTTCCTTTTCTACCATTGACCTCAAAGCGGCTGAAATCTCCACTTGCAAATTCCACAAAAAGAGTGTTTAAAGTCTGCTCTGTGTAAAGGATCATTCAACTCTGTGAGTTGAATAAACACAACACAAGGAAGTTACTGAGAATTCTTCTGTCTAGCAGAATATGATGAAATCCCATTTCCAACGAAGGCCACAAGATGTCAGAATATCCACTTACAGACTTTACAAACAGAGTGTTTCCTAACTGCTCTATGAACAGAAAGGTTAAACTCTGTGAGTTGAACGAACACATCACAACGCAGTTTGTGGGAATGATTCTGTCTAGTTTTGAAACGAAGATATTTCCTTTTCTGCCATTGACCTTAAAGCGCTTGAAATCTACACTTGCAAATTGCACAAATAGAGTGTTTCAAATCTGCTCTGTCTAAGGGAACGTTCAACTCTTTGAGTTGAATGCACACAACACAAGGAAGTTACTGGGAATTCTTCTGTCTAGCCTTACATGAAAAAATCCCGTTTCCAACGAAGGCCTCTAAGTGGTCAAATTATCCACGTGCAGACTTTACAAACAGAGTGTTTCCAAACCGCTGAATGAAAAGAAAAGTTAAACTCTGAGTGTTGAACGCACACATCACGCAGCAGTTTCTGAGAATGATTTCTGTGTAGTTTTCAAACGAAGATATTTCCTTTTCTGCCTTTGGCCTCAAAGCGCTTGAAATCTCCACTTGCAAATTCCACAAAAAGAGTGTTTCAAATCTGCTCTGTGTAAATGAAAGTTCAACTCCGTGAGTTGAACACACACAACACAAGGAAGTTACTGGGAATTCTTCTGTCTAGCATAATATGAAGAAATCCCGTTTCCAACGAAGGCCTCAAGGAGGTCTGAATATCCACTTGCAGATTTTACAAACAGAGTGTTTCCTAACTGCTCTGTGAAAAGAAAGGTTAAACTCTGTGAGTTGAATTCACACATCACAAAGGAGTTTCTGAGAATCATTCTGTCTAGTCTTTATACGAAGATATTTCCTTTTCTACCATTGACCTCAAAGCGGCTGAAATCTCCACTTGCAAATTCCACAAAAAGAGTGTTTCAAGTCTGCTCTGTGTAAACGATCGTTCAACTCTGTGAGTTGAATACACACAACACAAGGAAGTTACTGAGAATTCTTCTGTCTAGCAGAATATGAAGAAATCCCGTTTCCAACGAAGGCCACAAGATGTCAGAATATCCACTTACAGAATTTACAAACAGACTGTTTCCTAACTGCTCTATGAAAAGAAAGGTTAAACATCTGTGAGTTGAACGAACACATCACAACGCAGTTTGTGGGAATGATTCTGTCTAGTTTTGAAACGAAGATATTTCCTTTACTGCCATTGACCTTAAAGCGCTTGAAATCTCCACTTCCCAATTGCACAAAAAGAGTGTTTCAAATCTGCTCTGTCTAAGGGAACGTTCAACTCTGTGAGTTGAATGTACACAACACAAGGAAGTTACTGGGAATTCTTCTGTCTAGCCTTACATGAAAAAAACCCGTTTCCAACGAAGGCCTCTAAGTGGTCAAGTTATCCACGTGCAGACTTTACAAACAGAGTGTTTCCAAACTGCTGAATGAAAAGAAAAGTTAAACTCTGAGAGTTGAACGCACACATCGCAGAGCAGTTTCTGAGAATGATTCTGTCTAGTTTTTATACGAAGATATTTCCTTTTCTGCCTTTGGCCTCAAAGCGCTTGAAATCTCCATTTGCAAATCCCACAAAAAGAGTGTTTCAAATCTGCTCTGTGTAAATGAAAGTTCAAATCTGTGAGTCGAACACACACAACACAAGGAAGTTACTGGGAATTCTTCTGTCTAGCAGAATATGAAGAAATCCCGTTTCCAACAAAAGCCTCAAAGATGTCTGAATATCCACTTGCAGACTTTACAAACAGAGTGTTTCCTAACTGCTCTATGAAAAGAAAGGTTAAACTCTGTGAGCTGAACGCACACAGCAAAAAGGAGTTTCTGAGAATCATTCTGTCTTGTCTTTATATGAAGATAGTTTCCTTTTCTACCATTGACCTCAAAGCGGCTGAAATCTCCACTTGCAAATTCCACAAAAAGAGTGTTTCAAGTCTGCTCTGTGTAAAGGATCGTTCAACTCTGTGAGTTGAATACACACAACACAAGGAAGTTACTGAGAATTCTTCTGTCTAGCAGAATATGAAGAAATCCCGTTTCCAAAGAAGGCCACAAGATGTCAGAATATCCACTTACAGAATTTACAAACAGAGTGTTTCCTAACTGCTCTATGAAAAGAAAGGTTAAACTCTGTGATTTGAACGAACACATCACAACGCAGTTTGTGGGAATGATTCTGTCTAGTTTTGAAACGAAGATATTTCCTTTTCGGCCATTGACCTTAAAACTCTTGAAATCTCCACTTGCCAATTGCACAAAAAGAGTGTTTCAAATCTGCTCTGTCTAAGGGAACGTTCAAATCTGTGAGTTGAATGTACACAACACAAGGAAGTTACTGGGAATTCTTCTGTCTAGCCTTACAGGAAAAAAACCCGTTTCCAACGAAGGCCTCTAAGTGGTCAAAATATCTACGTGCAGACTTTACAAACAGAGTGTTTCCAAACTGCTGAATGAAAAGAAAAGTTAAACTCTGAGAGTTGAACGCACACATCGCAGAGCAGTTTCTGAGAATGATTCTGTCTAGTTTTTATACGAAGATATTTCCTTTTCTACCATTGACCTCAAAGCGGCTGAAATCTCCACTTGCCAATTCCACAAAAAGAGTGTTTCAAGTCTTCTCTGTGTAATGGATCGTTGAACTCTGTGAGTTGAAAACACACAACACAAGGAAGTTTCTGAGAATTCTTCTGTCTAGCAGAATATGAAGAAATCCCGTTTCCAACGAAAGCCTCAAAGATGTCTGAATATCCACTTGCAGACTTTACAAACAGAGTGTTTCCTAACTGCTCTATGAAAAGAAAGGTTAAACTCTGTGAGCTGAACGCACACAGCACAAAGGAGTTTCTGAGAATCATTCTGTCTAGTTTCCATAGGAAGATATTTCCTATTCTACCATTGACCTCAAAGCGGCTGAAATCTCCACTTGCAAATTCCACAAATGGAGTGTTTCAAGTCTGCTCTGAGTAAAGGATCGTTCGACTCTGTGAGTTAAATAAACAGAACACAAGGAAGTTTCTGAGAATTCTTCTGTCTAGCAGAATATGAAGAAATCCCGTTTCCAACGGAGGCCACAAGATGTCAGAATATCCACTTACAGAATTTACCAACAGAGTGTTTCCTAACTGCTCTATGAAAAGAAAGGTTAAACTCTGTGAGTTGAACGAACACATCACAACGCAGTTTGTGGGAATGATTCTGTCTAGTTTTGAAACGAAGATATTTCCTTTTCTGCCGTTGACCTTAAAGAGCTTGAAAACTACACTTGCAAATTGCACAAATAGAGTGTTTCAAATCTGCTCTGTCTAAGGGAACGGTTCAACTCTGTGAGTTGAATGCACACAACACAAGGAAGTTACTGGGAATTCTTCTGTCTAGCCTTACATGAAAAAAACCCGTTTCTAACGAAGGCCTCTAAGTGGTCAAAATATCCACGTGCAGACTTTACAAACAGAGTGTTTCCAAACTGCTGAATGAAAAGAAAAGTTAAACTCTGAGAGTTGAACGCACACATCACAGAGCAGTTTCTGAGAATGATTCTGTCTAGTTTTTATACGAAGATATTTCCTTTTCTGCCTTTGGCCCCAAAGCGCTTGAAATCTCCACTTGCAAATTCCACAAAAACAGTGTTTCAAATCTGCTCTCTCTAAATGAAAGTTCACCTCTGTCACTTGAATACACACAACACAAGGAAGTTACTGAGAATTCTTCTGTCTAGCCTTATATGAAAAAAACCCGTTTCCAACGAAGGCCTCAAAGAGGTCTGAATATCCACTTGCAGACTTTACAAACAGAGTGATTCCTAACTGCTCTATGAAAAGAAAGGTTAAACTCTGTGAGTAGAACACACACATCTCAAAGGAGTTTCTGAGAATCATTCTGTCTAGTTTTTCTACGAAGATATTTCCTTTTCTATTATTGACCTCAAAGCGGCTGAAATCTCCACTTGCAAGTCCCACAAAAAGAGTGTTTCAAGTCTGCTCTGTATAAAGGATCGTTCAACCCTGTGAGCTGAATACACACAACACAAGGAAGTTACTGAGAATTCTTCTGTCTAGCATAGTATGAAGAAATCCCGTTTCCAACGAAGGCCTCAAACAGGTCTGAATATCCACTTGCAGACTTTACAAACAAAGTGTTTCCTAACTGCTCTATGAAAAGAAAGGTTAAACTCTGTGAGGTGAACGCACACATCACAAAGAAGTTTCTGAGAATCATTCTCTCTAGTTTTGAAACGAAGATATTTCCTTTTCTGCCATTGACCATAAAGCGCTTGAAATCTCCACTTGCCAATTGCACAAAAAGAGTGTTTCAAA
This sequence comes from Homo sapiens, assembly GCF_000001405.40. Lineage (NCBI taxonomy): Eukaryota > Metazoa > Chordata > Mammalia > Primates > Hominidae > Homo > Homo sapiens. The sequence goes on along the minus strand of NC_000001.11, from coordinate 123,359,266 downwards.
TCTGCTCTGTCTAAGGGAACGTTCAACTCTGTGAGTTGAATGTACACAACACAAGGAAGTTACTGGGAATTCTTCTGTCTAGCCTTACAGGAAAAAAACCCGTTTCCAACAAAGGCCTCTAAGTGGTCAAATTATCCACGTGCAGACTTTACAAACAGAGTGTTTCCAAACTGCTGAATGAAAAGAAAAGTTAAACTCTGAGAGTTGAACGCACGCATCGCAGAGCAGTTTCTGAGAATGATTCTGTCTAGTTTTTTTACGAAGATATTTCCTTTTCTGCCTTTGGCCTCAAAGCGCTTGAAATCTCCATTTGCAAATTCCACAAAAAGAGTGTTTCAAATCTGCTCTGTGTAAATGAAAGTTCAACTCTGTGAGTTGAACACACACAACACAAGGATGTTACTGGGAATTCTTCTGTCTAGCATAATATGAAGAAATCCCGTTTCCAACGAAGGCCTCAAAGAGGTCTGAATATCCACTTGCAGACTTTACAAACAGAGTGTTTCCTAACTGCTCTATGAAAAGAAAAGTTAAACTATGTGAGTTGAACGCACACATCACAAAGGAGTTTCTGAGAATCATTCTGTCTAGTTTCTATAGGAAGATATTTCCTATTCTACCATTGACCTCAAAGCGGCTGATATCTCCACTTGCAAATTCCACAAAAAGAGTGTTTCAAGTCTGCTCTGTGTAAAGGATCGTTCAACTCTGTGAGTTGAATACACACAACACAAGGAAGTTACTGAGAATTCTTCTGTCTAGCAGAATATGAAGAAATCCCGTTTCCAACGAAGGCCACAAGATGTCAGAATATCCACTTACAGACTTTACAAACAGAGTGTTTCCTAACTGCTCTATGAACAGAAAGGTTAAACTCTGTGAGTTGAGCGAACACATCACAACGCAGTTTGTGGGAATGATTCTGTCTAGTTTTGAAACGAAGATATTTCCTTTTCTGCCGTTGACCTTAAAGCGCTTGAAATCTACACTTGGAAATTGCACAGAGTGTTTCAAATCTGCTCTGTGTAAGGGAACGTTCAACTCTGTGAGTTGAATGCACACAACACAAGGAAGTTACTGGGAATTCTTCTGTCTAGCCTTACAGGAAAAAAACCCGTTTCCAACGAAGGCCTCCAAGCGGTCAAATTATCCACGTGCAGACTTTACAAACAGAGTGTTTCCAAACTGCTGAATGAAAAGAAAAGTTAAAGTCTGAGAGTTGAACGCACACATCGCAGAGCAGTTTCTGAGAATGATTCTGTCTAGTTTTTATACGAAGATATTTCCTTTTCTGCCTTTGGCCTCAAAGCGCTTGAAATCTCCAATTGCAAATTCCACTAAAAGAGTGTTTCAAATCTGCTCTTTGTAAATGAAAGTTCAACTCTGTGAGTTGAACACACACAACACAAGGAAGTTACTGGGAATCCTTCTGTCTAGCCTTATATGAAAGAAACCCGTTTCCAACGAAGGCCTCAAAGAGGTCTGAATATACACTTGCAGACTTTACAAACAGAGTGTTTCCTAACTGCTCTATGAAAAGAAAGGTTAAACTCTGTGAGTTGAACGCACACATCACAAAGGAGTTTCTGAGAATCTATCTGTCTAGTCTTTATACGAAGATATTTCCTTTTCTACCATGGACCTCAAAGCGGCTGAAATCTCCACTTGCAAATTCCACAAAAAGAGTGTTTCAAGTCTGCTCTGTGTAAAGGATCGTTCAACTCTGTGAGTTGAATACACACAACACAAGGAAGTTACTGAGAATTCTTCTGTCTAGCAGAATATGAAGAAATCCCGTTTCCAACGAAGGCCACAAGATGTCAGAATATCCCCTTACAGAATTTTCAAACAGACTGTTTCCTAACTGCTCTATGAAAAGAAAGGTTAAACTCTGTGAGTTGAACGAACACATCACAACGCAGTTTGTGGGAATGATTCTGTCTAGTTTTGAAACAAAGATATTTCCTTTTCTGCCATTGACTTTAAAGCGCTTGAAATCTACACTTGCAAATTGCACAAATAGAGTGTTTCAAATCTGCTCTGTCTAAGGGAACGTTCAACTCTGTGAGTTGAATGCACACAACACAAGGAAGTTACTGGGAATTCTTCTGTCTAGCCTTACAGGAAAAAAACCCGTTTCCAACGAAGGCCACTAAGTGGTCAAAATATCCACGTGCAGACTTTACAAACAGAGTGTTTCCAAACTGCTGAATGAAAAGAAAAGTTAAACTCTGAGAGTTGAACGCACACATCGCAGAGCAGTTTCTGAGAATGATTCTGTCTAGTTTCTATAGGAAGATATTTCCTATTCTACCATTGACTTCAAAGCGGCTGAAATATCCACTTGCAAATTCCACAAAAAGAGTGTTTCAAGTCTGCTCTGTGTAAAGGATCGTTCAACTCTGTGAGTTGAATACACACAACACAAGGAAGTTACTGAGAATTCTTCTGTCTAGCATAATATGAAGAAATCCCGTTTCCAAAGAAGGCCTCAAGGAGGTCTGAATATCCACTTGCAGACTTTACAAACAGAGTGTTTCCCAACTGCTCTATGAAAAGAAAGGTTAAACTGTGTGAGTTGAACGCACACATCACAAAGGAGTTTCTGAGAATCATTCTGTCTAGTTTTTATACGAAGATATTTCCTTTTCTACCATGGACCTCAAAGCGGCTGAAATCTCCACTTGCAAATTCCACAAAAAGAGTGTTACAAGTCTGCTCTGTGTAAAGGATCGTTCAACTCTGTGAGTTGAATACACACAACACAAGGAAGTTACTGAGAATTCTTCTGTCTAGCAGAATATGAAGAAATCCCGTTGCCAACGAAGGCCACAAGATGTCAGAATATCCACTTACAGACTTTACAAACAGAGTGTTTCCTAACTGCTCTATGAACAGAAAGGTTAAACTCTGTGAGTTGAACGAACACATCACAACGCAGTTTGTGGGAATGATTCTGTCTAGTTTTTATAGGAAGATATTTCCTTTTCTACCTTTCACTTCAAAGCGGCTGAAATCTCCACTTGCAAATTCCACAAAAAGAGTGTTACAAGTCTGCTCTGTCTAAGGGAACGTTCAACTCTGTGAGTTGAATGTACACAACACAAGGAAGTTACTGGGAATTCTTCTGTCTAGCCTTACAAAAAAAATTCCGTTTCCAACGAAGGCCTCTAAGTGGTCAAAATATCCACGTGCAGACTTTACAAACACAGTGTTTCCAAACCGCTCAATGAAAAGAAAAGTTAAACTCTGAGAGTTGAACGCATACATCACGCAGCAGTTTCTGAGAATGATTCTGTCTAGTTTTTATACGAAGATATTCCCTTTTCTGCCTTTGGCCCCAAAGCGCTTGAAATCTCCACTTGCAAATTCCACAAAAACAGTGTTTCAAATCTGCTCTCTCTAAATGAAAGTTCAACTCTGTCAGTTGAATACACACAACACAAGGAAGTTACTGAGAATTCTTCTGTCTAGCAGAATATGAAGAAATCCCGTTTCCAACGAAGGCCTCAAGGAGGTGTGAATATCCACTTGCAGACTTTACAAACAGAGTGTTTCCTAACTGCTCTATGAAAAGAAAGGTTAAACTCTGTGAGTTGAACGCACACATCACAAAGGAGTTTCTGAGAATCATTCTGTCTAGTCTTTATACGAAGATATTTACTTTTCTACCATTGACCTCAAAGCGGCTGAAATCTCCACTTGCAAATTCCACAAAAAGAGTGTTTCAAGTCTGCTCTGTGTAAAGGATCCTTCAACTCTGTGAGTTGAATAAACACAACACAAGGAAGTTACTGAGAATTCTTCTGTCTAGCAGAATATGAAGAAATCCCGTTTCCAACGAAGGCCTCAAGGAGGTCTGAATATCCACTTGCAGACTTTACAAACAGAGTGTTTCCTAACTGCTCTATGAATAGAAAGGTAAAACTCTGTGAGTTGAACGCACACATCACAAAGGAGTTTCTGAGAATCATTCTGTCTAGTTTTGAAACGAAGATATTTCCTTTTCTGCCGTTGACCTTAAAGAGCTTGAAAACTACACTTGCAAATTGCACAAATAGAGTGTTTCAAATCTGCTCTGTCTAAGGGAACGTTCAACTCTGTGAGTTGAACGCACACAACACAAGGAAGTTACTGGGAATTCTTCTGTCTAGCCTTACATGAAAAAAACCCGTTTCCAACGAAGGCCTCTAAGTGGTCAAGTTATCCACGTGCAGACTTTACAAACAGAGTGTTTCCAAACTGCTGAATGAAAAGAAAAGTTAAACTCTGAGAGTTGAACGCACACATCGCAGAGCAGTTTCTGAGAATGATTCTGTCTAGTTTTGAAACGAAGATATTTCCTTTTCTACCATTGACCTCAACGCGGCTGAAATCTCCATTTGCAAATTCCACAAAAAGAGTGTTTCAAATCTGCTCTGTGTAAATGAAAGTTCAACTCTATGAGTTGAACACACACAACACAAGGAAGTTACTGGGAATTCTTCTGTCTAGCATAATATGAAGAAATCCCGTTTCCAACGAAGGCCTCAAAGATGTCTGAATATCCACTTGCAGACTTTACAAACAGAGTGTTTCCTAACTGCTCTATGAAAAGAAAGGTTAAACTCTGTGAGTTGAACGCACACATCACAAAGGAGTTTCTGAGAATCATTCTGTCTTGTTTCTATACGAAGATATTTCCTTTTCTACCATTGACCTCAAAGCGGCTGAAATCTCCACTTGCAAATTCCACAAAAAGAGTGTTTCAAGTCTGCTCTGTGTAAAGGATCGTTCAACTCTGTGAGTTGAATACACACAACACAAGGACGTTTCTGAGAATTCTTCTATCTAGCAGAATATGAAGAAATCCCGTTTCCAACGAAGGCCACAAGATGTCAGAATATCCACTTACAGAATTTACCAACAGAGTGTTTCCTAACTGCTCTATGAAAAGAAAGGTTAAACTCTGTGAGTTAAACGAACACATCACAACGCAGTTTGTGGGAATGATTCTGTCTAGTTTTGAAACGAAGATATTTCCTTTTCTGCCATTGACCTTAAAGCGCTTGAAATCTCCATTTGCCAATTGCACAAAAAGAGTGTTTCAAATCTGCTCTGTCTAAGGGAACGTTCAACTCTGTGAGTTGAATGTACAGAACACAAGGAAGTTACTGGGAATTCTTCTGTCTAGCCTTACATGAAAAAAACCCGTTTCCAACGAAGGCCTCTAAATGGTCAAATTATCCACGAGCAGACTTTACAAACAGAGTGTTTCCAAACTGCTGAATGAAAAGCAAAGTTAAACTCTGAGAGTTGAACGCACACATCGCAGAGCAGTTTCTGAGAATGATTCTGTCTAGTTTTTATACGAAGATATTTCCTTTTCTGCCTTTGGCCTCAAAGCGCTTGAAATCTCCACTTGCAAATTCCACAAAAAGAGTGTTTCAAATCTGCTCTGTGTAAATCAAAGTTCAACTCTGGGGGTAGAACACACACAACACAAGGAAGTTACTGGGAATTCTTCTGTCTAGCAGAATATGAAGAAATCCCGTTTCCAACGAAGGCCTCAAAGAGGTCTGAATATCCACTTGCAGACTTTACAAACAGAGTGTTTCCTAACTGCTCTATGAAAAGAAAGGTTAAACTCTGTGAGTTGAACGCACACATTACAAAGGAGATTCTGAGAATCATTCTGTCTAGTCTTTATACGAAGATATTTCCTTTTCTACCATTGACCTCAAAGCGGCTGAAATCTCCACTTGCAAATTCCACAAAAAGAGTGTTTCAAGTCTGCTCTCTGTAAAGGATCGTTCAACTCTGTGAGTTGAATACACAGAACACAAGGAAGTTACTGAGAATTATTCTGTGTAGCATAATATGAAGAAATCCCGTTTCCAACGAAGGCCACAAGATGTCAGAATATCCACTTACAGACTTTACAAACAGAGTGTTTCCTAACTGCTCTATGAACAGAAAGGTTAAACTCTGTGAGTTGAACGAACACATCACAACGCAGTTTGTGGGAATGATTCTGTCTAGTTTTGAAACGAAGATATTTCCTTTTCTGCCATTGACCTTAAAGCGCTTGAAATCTACACTTGCAAATTGCACAAATAGAGTGTTTCAAATCTGCTCTGTCTAAGGGAACGTTCAACTCTGTGAGTTGAATGCACACAACACAATGAAGTTACTGGGAATTCTTCTGTCTAGCCTTACATGCAAAAAACACGTTTCCAACGAAGGCCTCTAAGTGGTCAAAATATCCACGTGCAGACTTTACAGACAGAGTGTTTCCAAACCGCTGAATGAAAAGAAAAGTTAAACTCTGAGAGTTGAACGCACACATCACGCAGCAGTTTCTGAGAATGATTCTGTCTAGTTTTTATACGAAGATATTTCGTTTTCTGCCTTTGGACACAAAGCGCTTGAAATCTCCACTTGCAAATTCCACAAAAACAGTGTTTCAAATCTGCTCTCTCTAAATGAAAGTTCAACTCTGTCAGTTGAATACACACAACACAAGGAAGTTACTGAGAATTCTTCTCTCTAGCAGAATATGAAGAAATCCCGTTTCCAACGAAGGCCTCAAAGAGGTCTGAATATCCACTTGCAGACTTTACAAACAGAGTGTTTCCTAACCGCTCTATGAAAAGAAAGGTTAAACTCTGTGAGTTGAACGCACACATCACAAAGGAGTTTCTGAGAATCATTCTGTCTAGTTTCTATAGGAAGATATTTCCTATTCTACCATTGACCTCAAAGCGGCTGAAATCTCCACTTGCAAATTGCACAAAAAGTGTGTTTCAAGTCTGCTCTCAGTAAAGGATCGTTCAACTCTGAGAGTTGAATACACACAACACAAGGAAGTTACTGAGAATTCTTCTGTCTAGCAGAATATGAAGAAATCCCGTTTCCAACGAAGGCCACAAGATGTCAGAATCTCCACTTACAGACTTTACAAACAGAGTGTTTCCTAACTGCTCTATGAACAGAAAGGTTAAACTCTGTGAGTTGAACGAACACATCACAACGCAGTTTGTGGGAATGATTCTGTCTAGTTTTGAAACGAAGATATTTCCTTTTCTGCCATTGACCTCAAAGCGCTTGAAATGTCCACTTGCCAATTGCACAAAAAGAGTGTTTCAAATCTGCTCTGTCTAAGGGAACGTTCAACTCTGTGAGTTGAATGTACACAACACAAGGAAGTTACTGGGAATTCTTCTGTCTAGCCTTACATGAAAAAAACCCGTTTCCAACGAAGGCCTCTAAGTGGTCAAATTATCCACGTGCAGACTTTACAAACAGAGTGTTTCCAAACTGCTGAATGAAAAGAAAAGTTAAACTCTGAGAGTTGAACGCACACATCGCAGAGTAGTTTCTGAGAATGATTCTGTCTAGTTTTTATACGAAGATATTTCCTTTTCTGCCTTTGGCCCCAAAGCTCTTGAAATCTCCACTTGCAAATTCCACAAAAACAGTGTTTCAAATCTGCTCTCTCTAAATGAAAGTTCAACTCTGTCAGTTGAATACACACAACACAAGGAAGTTACTGAGAATTCTTCTGTCTAGCAGAATATGAAGAAATCCCGTTTCTAACGAAAGCCTCAAAGATGTCTGAATATCCACTTGCAGACTTTACAAACAGAGCGTTTCCTAACTGCTCTATGAAAAGAAAGGTTAAACTCTGTGAGTTGAACGCACACATCACAAAGGAGTTTCTGAGAATCATTCTGTCTAGTTTTTATAGGAAGATATTTCCTTTTCTACCTTTGACTTCAAAGCGGCTGAAATCTCCACTTGCAAATTCCACAAAAAGAGTGTTACAAGTCTGCTCTGTGTAAAGGATCGTTCAACTCTGTGAGTTGAATACACACAACCCAAGGAAGTTACTGAGAATTCTTCTGTCTAGCAGAATATGAAGAAATCCCGTTTCCAACGAAGGCCTCAAGGAGGTCTGAATATCCACTTGCAGACTTTAGAAACAGAGTGTTTCCTAACTGCTCTATGAAAAGAAAGGTTAAACTCTGTGAGTTGAACGCACACATCACAAAGGAGTTTATGAGAATCATTCTGTCTATTTTCTATAAGAAGATATTTCCTATTCTACCATTGACCTCAAAGCGGCTGAAATCTCCACTTGCAAATTCGACAAAAAGAGTGTTTCAAGCCTGCTCTCTGTAAAGGATCCTTCAACTCTGTGAGTTGAATACACACAACACAAGGAAGTTACTGAGAATTCTTCTGTCTAGCAGAATATGAAGAAATCCCGTTTCCAAGGAAGGCCACAAGATGTCAGAATATCCACTTACAGAATTGACAAACAGACTGTTTCCTAACTGCTCTATGAAAAGAAAGGTTAAACTCTGTGAGTTGAACGAACACATCACAACGCAGTTTCTGGGAATGATTCTGTCTAGTTTTGAAACGAAGATATTTCCTTTTCTGCCATTGACCTTAAAGCGCTTGAAATCTCCATTTGCCAATTGCACAAAAAGAGTGTTTCCAATCTGCTCTGTCTAAGGGAACGTTCAACTCTGTGAGTTGAATGTACACAACACAAGGAAGTTAGTGGGAATTCTTCTGTCTAGCCTTACAGGAAAAAAACCCGTTTCCAACGAAGGCCTCTAAGTGGTCAAAATATCCACGTGCAGACTTTACAAACAGAGTGTTTCCAAACTGCTGAATGAAAAGAAAAGTTAAACTCTGAGAGTTGAACGTACACATCGCAGAGCAGTTTCTGAGAATGATTCTGTCTAGTGTTTATACGAAGATATTTCCTTTTCTGCATTTGGCCCCAAAGCTCTTGAAATCTCCAATTGCAAATTCCACAAAAACAGTGTTTCAAATCTGCTCTCTCTAAATGAAAGTTCAACTCTGTCAGTTGAATACACACAACACAAGGAAGTTACTGAGAATTCTTCTGTCTAGCAGAATATGAAGAAATCCCGTTTCCAAAGAAAGCCTCAAAGAGGTCTGAATATCCTCTTGCAGACTTTACAAACAGAGTGTTTCCTAACTGCTCTATGAAAAGAAAGGTTAAACTCTGTGAGTTGACCGCACACATCACAAAGGAGTTTATGAGAATCATCCTGTCTAGTTTTTATACGAAGATATTTCCTTTTCTGCCATTGACCTTAAAGCGCTTGAAATCTACACTTGCAAATTGCACAAATAGAGTGTTTCAAATCTGCTCTGTCTAAGGGAACGTTCAACTCTGTGAGTTGAATGCACACAACACAAGGAAGTTACTGGGAATTCTTCTGTCTAGCCTTACAGGAAAGAAACCCGTTTCCAACGAAGGCCTCTAAGTGGTCAAAATATCCACGTGCAGACATTACAAACAGAGTGTTTCCAAACTGCTGAATGAAAAGAAAAGTTAAACTCTGAGAGTTGAACGCACACATCGCAGAGCAGTTTCTGAGAATGATTCTGTCTAGTTTTGAAACGAAGATATTTCCTTTTCTGCCATTGACCTTAAAGCGCTTGAAATCTCCAGTTGCCAATTGCACAAAAAGAGTGTTTCAAATCTGCTCTGTCTAAGGGAACGTTCAACTCTGTGAGTTGAATGTACACAACACAAGGAAGTTACTGGGAATTCTTCTGTCTATCCTTACATGAAAAAAACCCGTTTCCAACGAAGGCCTCTAAGTGGTCAAAATATCCACGTGCAGACTTTACAAACAGAGTGTTTCCAAACTGCTGAATGAAAAGAAAAGTTAAACTCTGAGAGTTGAACGCACACATCACAGAGCAGTTTCTGAGAATGATTCTGTCTAGTTTTTCTACGAAGATATTTCCTTTTCTGCCTTTGGCCCCAAAGCGCTTGAAATCTCCACTTGCAAATTCCACAAAAACAGTGTTTCAAATCTGCTCTCCCTAAATGAAAGTTCAACTCTGTCAGTTGAATACACACAACACAAGGAAGTTACTGAGAATTCTTCTGTCTAGCATAATATGAAGAAATCCCGTTTCCAACGAAGGCCTCAAAGGGGTCTGAATATCCACTTGCAGACTTTATAAACAGAGTGTTTACTAACTGCTCTATGAAAAGAAAGGTTAAACTCTGTGAGTTGAAAACACACATCACAAAGGACTTTCTGAGAATCATTCTGTCTAGTTTTTATACGAAGATATTTCCTTTTCTACCATGGACCTCAAAGCGGCTGAAATCTCCACTTGCAAATTCCACAAAAAGAGTGTTTCAAGTCTGCTGTGTGTAAAGGATCGTTCAACTCTGTGAGTTGAATACACACAACACAAGGAAGATTCTGAGAATTCTTCTGTCTAGCAGAATATGAAGAAATCCCGTTTCCAACGAAGGCCAAAAGATGACAGAATATCCACTTACAGACTTTACAAACAGAGTGTTTCCTAACTGCTCTATGAAGAAAAAGGTTAAACTCTGTGAGTTGAGCGAACACATCACAACGCAGTTTGTGGGAATGATTCTGTCTAGTTTTGAAACGAAGATATTTCCTTTTCTGCCATTGACCTTAAAGCGCTTGAAATCTGCACTTGCCAATTGCACAAATAGAGTGTTTCAAATCTGCTCTGTCTAAGGGAACGTTCAAATCTGTGAGTTGAATGCACACAACACAAGGAAGTTACTGGGAATTCTTCTGTCTAGCCTTACATGAAAAAATCCCGTTTCCAACGAAGGCCTCTAAGTGGTCAAATTATCCACGTGCAGACTTTACAAACAGAGTGTTTCCAAACCGCTGAATGAAAAGAAAAGTTAAACTCTGAGAGTTGAACGCACTCATCACGCAGCAGTTTCTGAGAATGATTCTGTCTAGTTTTTATACGAAGATATTTCCTTTTCAGCCTTTGGCCTCAAAGCGCTTGAAATCTCCATTAGCAAATTCCACAAAAAGAGTGTCTCAAATCTGCTCTGTGTAAATGAAAGTTCAACTCTGTGAGTTGAACACACACAACACAAGGAAGTTACTGGGAATTCTTCTGTCTAGCCTTATATGAAAAAAAACCGTTTCCAACGAAGGCCTCAAGGAGGTCTGAATATCCACTTGCAGACTTTACAAACAGAGTGTTTCCTAACTGCTCTATGAAAAGAAAGGTTAAACTCTGTGAGTTGAACGCACACATCACAAAGGAGTTTCTGAGAATCATTCTGTCTAGTTCTTATACGAAGATATTTCCTTTTCTACCATTGACCTCAACGCGGCTGAAATCTCCACTTGCAAATTCCACAAAAAGTGTGTTTCAAGTCCGCTCTGTGTAAAGGATCGTTCAACTCTGTGAGTTGAATACACACAACACAAGGAAGTTACTGAGAATTCTTCTTTCTAGCAGAATATGAAGAAATCCCTTTTCCAAAGAAAGCCTCAAGGATGTCTGAATATCCACTTGCAGACTTTACAAACAGAGTGTTTCCCAACTGCTCTATGAAAAGAAAGGTTAAACTCTGTGAGTTGAACGCACACATCACAAAGGAGTTTCTGAGAATCATTCTGTCTAGTTTTGAAACGAAGATATTTCCTTTTCTGCCATTGACCTTAAAGCGCTTGAAATCTACACTTGCAAATTGCGCAAATAGAGCGTTTCAAATCTGCTCTGTCTAAGGGAACGTTCATCTCTGTGAGTTGAATGCACACAACACAAGGAAGTTACTGGGAATGCTTCTGTCTAGCCTTACAGGAAAAAAACCCGTTTCCAACGAAGGCCTCTAAGTGGTCAAAATATCCACGTGCAGACTTTACAAACAGAGTGTTTCCAAACTGCTGAATGAAAAGAAATGTTAAACTCTGAGAGTTGAACGCACACATCGCAGAGCAGTTTCTGAGAATGATTCTGTCTAGTTTCTATAGGAAGATATTTCCTATTCTACCATTGACCTCAAAGCGGCTGAAATCTCCACTTGCAAATTCCACAAAAAGAATGTTTCAAGTCCGCTCTGTGTAAAGGATCGTTCAACTCTGTGAGTTGAATACACACAACACAAGGAAGTTACTGAGAATTATTCTGTCTAGCAGAATATGAAGAAATCCCGTTTCCAACGAAGGCCCCAAAGAGGTCTGAATATCCACTTGCAGACTTTACAAACAGAGTGTTTCCTAACTGCTCTGTGAAAAGAAAAGTTAAACTCTGTGAGTTGAACGCACACATCACAAAGGAGTTTATGAGAATCATTCTGTCTAGTTTCTATAAGAAGATATTTCCTATTCTACCATTGACCACAAAGCGGCTGAAATCTCCACTTGCAAATTCGACAAAAAGAGTGTTTCAAGCCTGCTCTCTGTAAAGGATCCTTCAACTCTGTGAGTTGAATACACACAACACAAGGAAGTTACTGAGAATTATTCTGTCTAGCAGAATATAAAGAAATCCCGTTTCCAACGAAGGCCACAAGCTGTCAGAATATCTACTTACAGAATTTTCAAACAGACTGTTTCCTAACTACTCTATGAAAAGAAAGGTTAAACTCTGTGAGTTGAACGAACACATCACAACGCAGTTTGTGGGAATGATTCTGTCTAGTTTTTATACGAAGATATTTCCTTTTCTACCATTGACCTCAAAGCGGCTGAAATCACCACTTGCCAATTGCTCAAAAAGAGTGTTTCAAATCTGTTCTGTCTAAGGGAACGTTCAACTCTGTGAGTTGAATGTCCACAACACAAGGAAGTTACTGGGAATTCTTCTGTCTAGCCTTATATGAAAAAAACCCTTTTCCAAAGAAGGCCTCTAAGTGGTCAAATTATCCACGTGCAGACTTTACAAACAGAGTGTTTCCAAACTGCTGAATGAAAAGAAAAGTTAAACTCTGAGAGTTGAACGCACACATCGCAGAGCAGTTTCTGAGAATGATTCTGTCTAGTTTTTAGACGAAGATATTTCCTTTTCTGCCTTTGGCCTCAAAGCGCTTGAAATCTCCACTTGCAAATTCCACAAAAAGAGTGTTTCAAATCTGCTCTGTGTAAATCAAAGTTCAACTCTGTGAGTTGAACACACACAACACAAGGAAGATACTGAGAATTCTTGTGTCTAGCAGAACATGAAGAAATCCCGTTTCCAACGAAGGCCTCAAAGATGTCTGAATATCCACTTGCAGACTTTACAAACAGAGTGTTTCCTAACTGCTCTATGAAAAGAAAGGTTAAACTCTGTGAGTTGAACGCACACATCACAAAGGAGTTTCTGAGAATCATTCTGTCTAGTTTTTATACGAAGATATTTCCTTTTCTACCATGGACCTCAAAGCGGCTGAAATCTCCACTTGCAAATTCCACAAAAAGAGTGTTTCAAGTCTGCTCTGTGTAAAGGGATCGTTCAACTCTGTGAGTTGAATACACACAACACAAGGAAGATTCTGAGAATTCTTCTGTCTAGCAGAATATGAAGACATCTCGTTTCCAACGAAGGCCACAAGATGTCAGCATATCCACTTACAGACTTTACAAACAGAGTGTTTCCTAACTGCTGTATGAAAAGAAAGGTTAAACTCCGTGAGTTGATCGAACACATCACAACGCAGTTTGAGGGAATGATTCTGTCTAGTTTTTATACGAAGATATTTCCTTTTCTGCCTTTGGCCTCAACGCGCTTGAAATCTCCACTTGAAAATTCCACATAAAGAGTTTTTCTAATCTGCTCTGTCTAAATGTAAGTTCAACTCTGTCAGTTGAATACACACAACACAAGGAAGTTACTGCGAATTCTTCTGTCTAGCACAGTATGAAGAAATCCCGTTTCCAACGAAGGCCTCAAAGGAGGTCTGAATATCCACTTGCAGAGTTTACAAACAGAGTGTTTCCTAACTGCTCTATGAAAAGAAAGGTTAAACTCTGTGAGTTGAACGCACACATCACAATGAAGTTTCTGAGAATCATTCTGTCTAGTTTTTATACGAAGATATTTCCTTTTCTGCCTTTGGCCTCAAAGCGCTTGAAATCTCCACTTGCAAATTCCACAAAGAGTGTTTCAAATCTGCTCTGTGTAAATGAAAGTTCAACTCTGTGAGTTGAACACACACAACACAAGGAAGTTACTGGGAATTCTTCTTTCTAGCATAATATGAAGAAATCCCGTTTCCAACGAAGGCCTCAAAGGGGTCTGAATATCCATTTGCAGACTTTATAAACTGAGTGTTTACTAACTGCTCTATGAAAAGAATGGTTAAACTCTGTGAGTTGAACACACACATCACAAAGGAGTTTCTGAGAATCATTCTGTCTAGTTTTTATAGGAAGATATTTCCTTTTCTACCTTTGACTTCAAAGCGGCTGAAATCTCCACTTGCAAATTCCACAAAAAGAGTGTTACAAGTCTGCTCTGTGTAAAGGATCGTTCAACTCTCTGAGTTGAATACACACAACACAAGGAAGTTACTGAGAATTCTTCTGTCTAGCAGAATGTGAAGATATCCCGTTTCCAACGAAGGCCACAAGATGTCAGAATATCCACTTACAGAATTTACAAACAGACTGTTTCCTAACTGCTCTATGAAAAGAAATGTTAAACTCTGTGAGTTGAACGAACACATCACAACGCAGTTTGTGGGAATGATTCTGTCTAGTTTTGAAACGAAGATATTTCCTTTTCTGCCATTGACCTTAAAGCGCTTGAAATCTCCACTTGCCAATTGCACAAAAAGAGTGTTTCAAATCTGCTCTGTTTAAGGGAACGTTCAACTCTGTGAGTTGAATGCACACAACACAAGGAAGTTACTGGGAATTCTTCTGTATAGCCTTACAGGAAAGAAAACCGTTTCCAACGAAGGCCTCTAAGTGGTCAAAATATCCACGTGCAGACTTTACAAACAGACTGTTTCCAAACTGCTGAATGAAAAGAAAAGTTAAACTCTGAGAGTTGAACGCACACATCGCAGAGCAGTTTCTGAGAATGATTCTGTCTACTTTTTATACGAAGATATTTCCTTTTCTGCCTTTGGCCTCAAAGCGCTTGAAATCTCCACTTGCAAATTCCACAAAAAGAGTGTTTCAAATCTGCTCTGTGTAAATGAAAGTTCAACTCTGTGAGTTGAACACACACAACACAAGGAAGTTACTGGGAATTCTTCTGTCTAGCATAATATAAAGAAATCCCGTTTCCAACGAAGGCCTCAAAGAGGTCTGAATATCCACTTGTAGACTTTACAAACAGAGTGTTTCCTAACTGCTCTATGAAAAGAAAGTTGAAACTCTGTGAGTTGAACGCACACATCACAAAGCAGTTTCTGAAAATCATTCTGTCTTGTCTTTATACGAAGATATTTACTTTTCTACCATTGACTTCAAAGCGGCTGAAATCTCCACTTGCAAATTCCACAAAAAGAGTGTTTCAAGTCTGCTCTGTGTAAAGGATCATTCAACTCTGTGAGTTGAATAAACACAACACAAGGTAAGTTACTGAGAATTCTTCTGTCTAGCAGAATATGAAGAAATCCCGTTTCCAACGAAGGCCACAAGATGTCAGAATATCCACTTACAGACTTTACAAACAGAGTGTTTCCTAACTGCTCTATGAACAGAAAGGTTAAACTCTGTGAGTTGAACGAACACATCACAACGCAGTTTGTGGGAATCATTCTGTCTAGTTTTGAAACGAAGATATTTCCTTTTCTGCCATTGACCTGAAAGCGCTTCAAATCTACACTTGCAAATTGCACAAATAGAGTGTTTCAAATCTGCTCTGTCTAAGGGAACGTTCAACTCTGTGAGTTGAATGCACACAACACAAGGAAGTTACTGGGAATTCTTCTGTCTAGCCTGACAGGAAAAAAACCCGTTTCCAACGAAGGCCTCTAAGTGGTCAAAATATCCACGTGCAGACTTTACAAACAGAGTGTTTCCACACTGCTGAATGAAAAGAAAAGTTAAACTCTGAGAGTTGAACGCACACATCGCAGAGCAGTTTCTGAGAATGATTGTGTCTAGTTTTCATACGAAGATATTTCCTTTTCTGCCTTTGGCCCCAAAGCGCTTGAAATCTCCACTTGCAAATTCCACAAAAACAGTGTTTCAAATCTGCTCTCTCTAAATGAAAGTTCAACTCTGTCAGTTGAATACACATAACACAAGGAAGTTACTGAGAATTCTTCTGTCTAGCCTTATATGAAAAAAACCCGTTTCCAACGAAGGCCTCAAAGAGGTCTGAATATCCACTTGCAGACTTTACAAACAGAGTGTTTCCTAACTGCTCTAAGAAAAGAAAGGTTAAACTCTGTGAGTTGAACGCACACATCACAAAGGAGTTTCTGAGAATCATTCTGTCTAGTTTTTATACGAAGATATTTCCTTTTCTACCATTGACTTCAAAGCGGCTGAAATCTCCACTTGCAAATTCCACAAAAAGAGTGTTTCAAGTCTACTCTGTGTAAAGGATCATTCAACTCTGTGAGTTGAAAACACACAACACAAGGAAGTTTCTGAGAATTCTTCTGTCTAGCAGAATATGAAGAAATCCCGTTTCCAACGAAGGCCACAAGATGTCAGAGTATCCACTTAGAGACTTTACAAACAGAGTGTTTCCTAACTGCTCTATGAACAGAAAGGTTAAACTGTGTGAGTTGAACGAACACATCACAACGCAGTTTGTGGGAATGATTCTGTCTAGTTTTGAAACGAAGATATTTCCTTTTCTGCCGTTGACCTTAAAGCGCTTGAAATCTACACTTGCAAATTGCACAAATAGAGTGTTTCCAATCTGCTCTGTCTAAGGGAACGTTCAACTCTGTGAGTTGAATGCACACAACACAAAGAAGTTACTGGGAATTCTTCTGTCTAGCATAATATGAAGAAATCCCGTTTCCAACGAAGGCCTCAAGGAGGTCTGAATATCCACTTGCAGACTTTACAAACAGAGTGTTTCCTAACTGCTCTGTGAAAAGAAAGGTTAAACTCTGTGAGTTGAACGCACACATCACAAAGGAGTTTCTCAGAATCATTCTGTCTAGTTTCTATAGGAAGATATTTCCTTTTCTACCATTGACCTCAAAGCGGCTGAAATCTCCACATGCAAATTCCACAAAAAGAGTGTTTCAAGTCTGCTCTGTGTAAAGGATCGTTCAATTCTGTGAGTTGAATACACACAACACAAGGAAGTTACTGAGAATTCTTCTGTCTAGCCTTATATGAAAAAAACCCGTTTCCAACGAAGGCCTCAAAGAGGTCTGAATATCCACTTGCAGACTTTACAAACAGAGTGTTTCCTAACTGCTCTATGAAAAGAAAGGTTAAAATCTGTGAGTTGAACACACACATCACAAAGGAGTTTCTGAGAATCATTCTGTCTAGTTTTGAAACGAAGATATTTCCTTTTCTACCATTGGCCTCAACGCGGCTGAAATCTCCATTTGCAAATTCCACAAAAAGAGTGTTTCAAATCTGCTCTGTGTAAATGAAAGTTCAACTCTGTGAGTTGAACACACACAACACAAGGGAAGTTACTGGGAATTCTTCTGTCTAGCAGAATATGAAGAAATCCCGTTTCCAACGAAGGCCACAAGATGTCAGAATATCCACTTACAGACTTTACAAACAGAGTGTTTCCTAACTGCTCTATGAACAGAAAGGTTAAACTCTGTGAGTTGAACGAACACATCACAACGCAGTTTGTGGGAATGATTTTCTGTCTAGTTTTGAAACGAAGATATTTCCTTTTCTGCCATTGACCTTAAAGCGCTGGAAATCTCCATTTGCCAATTGCACAAAAAGAGTGTTTCAAATCTGCTCTGTCTAAGGGAACGTTCAACTCTGTGAGTTGAATGTACACAACACAAGGAAGTTACTGGGAATTCTTCTGTCTAGCCTTACAAGAAAAAAACCCGTTTCCAACGAAGGTCTCTAAATGGTCAAAATATCCACGTGCAGACTTTACAAACAGAGTGTTTCCAAACTGCTGAATGAAAAGAAAAGTTAAACTCTGAGAGTTGAACGCACACATCGCAGAGCAGTTTCTGAGAATGATTCTGTCTAGTTTTGAAACGAAGATATTTCCTTTTCTGCCTTTGGCCTCAAAGCGCTTGAAATCTCCACTTGCAAATTCCACAGAAAGAGTGTTTCAAATCTGCTCTGTGTAAATGAAAGTTCAACTCTGTGAGTTGAACACACACAACACAAGGAAGTTACTGGGAATTCTTCTGTCTAGCAGAATATGAAGAAATCCCGTTTCCAACGAAGGCCTCAAGGAGGTCTGAATATCCACTTGCAGACTTTACAAACAGAGTGTTTCCTAACTGCTCTATGAACAGAAAGGTTAAACTCTGTGAGTTGAACGCACACATCACAAAGGACTTTCTGAGAATCATTCTGTCTAGTTTCTATAGGAAGATATTTCCTATTCTACTATTGACCACAAAGCGGCTGAAATCTCCACTTGCAAATTCCACAAAAAGAGTGTTTCAAGTCTGCTCTGTGTAAACGATCGTTCAACTCTGTGAGGTGAATTCACACAACACAAGGAAGTTACTGAGAATTCTTCTGTCTAGCATAATATGATGAAATCCCGTTTCCAACGAAGGCCTCAAGGAGGTCTGAATATCCACTTGCAGACTTTACAAACAGATTGTTTCCTAACTGCTCTATGAACAGAAAGGTTAAACTCTGTGAGTTGAACGAACACATCACAACGCAGTTTGTGGGAATGATTCTGTCTAGTTTTGAAACCAAGATATTTCCTTTTCTGCCGTTGACCTTAAAGAGCTTGAAAACTACACTTGCAAATTGCACAAATAGAGTGTTTCAAATCTGCTCTGTCTAAGGGAACGTTCAACTCTGTGAGTTGAATGCACACAACACAAGGAAGTTACTGGGAATTCTTCTGTCTACCCTTACAGGAAAGAAACCCGTTTCCAACGAAGGCCTCTAAGTGGTCAAAATATCCACGTGCAGACTTTACAAACAGATTGTTTCCAAACTGCTGAATGAAAAGAAAAGTTAAACTCTGAGAGTTGAACGCACACATCACAGAGCAGTTTCTGAGAATGATTCTGTCTAGTTTTTATACGAAGATATTTCCTTTTCTGCCTTTGGCCCCAAAGCGCTTGAAATCTCCACTTGCAAATTCCACAAAAAGAGTGTTTCAAATCTGCTCTCTCTAAATGAAAGTTCAACTCTGTCAGTTGAATACACACAACACAAGGAAAGTTACTGAGAATTCTTCTGTCTAGCATAATATGAAGAAATCCCATTTCCAACGAAGGCCTCAAAGGGGTCTGAATATCCACTTGCAGACTTTATAAACAGAGTGTTTACTAACTGCTCTATGAAAAGAAAGGTTAAACTCTGTGAGTTGAACACACACATCACAAAGGAGTTTCTGAGAATCATTCTGTCTAGTTTCTATAAGAAGATATTCCCTATTCTACCATTGACCTCAAAGCGGCTGAAATCTCCACTTGCAAATTCGACAAAAAGAGTGTTTCAAGCCTGCTCTCTGTAAAGGATCCTTCAACTCTGTGAGTTGAATACACACAACACAAGGAAGTTACTGAGAATTCTTCTGTCTAGCAGAATATGAAGAAATCCCGTTTCCAACGAAGGCCTCAAAGAGGTCTGAATATCCACTTGCAGACTTTACAAACAGAGTGTTTCCTAACTGCTCTATGAACAGAAAGGTTAAACTCTGTGAGTTGAACGAACACATCACAATGCAGTTTGTGGGAATGATTCTGTCTAGTTTTAAAACGAAGATATTTCCTTTTCTGCCATTGACGTTAAAGCGCTT
This sequence comes from Homo sapiens, assembly GCF_000001405.40. Classification (NCBI taxonomy): domain Eukaryota; kingdom Metazoa; phylum Chordata; class Mammalia; order Primates; family Hominidae; genus Homo; species Homo sapiens. Next base: position 123,339,601 of record NC_000001.11, on the reverse strand, counting down.
GAAATCTACACTTGCAAATTGCACAAATAGAGTGTTTCAAATCTGCTCTGTCTAAGGGAACGTTCAACTCTGTGAGTTGAATGCACACAACACAAGGATGTCACTGGGAATTCTTCTGTCTAGCCTTACATGAAAAAAACCCGTTTCCAACGAAGGCCTCTAAGTGGTCAAGTTATCCACGTGCAGACTTTACAAACAGAGTGTTTCCAAACTGCTGAATGAAAAGAAAAGTTAAACTCTGAGAGTTGAACGCACACATCGCAGAGCAGTTTCTGAGAATGATTCTGTCTAGTTTTCAAACGAAGATATTTCCTTTTCTGCTTTGGCCTCAAAGCGCTTGAAATCTCCACTTGCAAATTCCACAAAAAGAGTGTTTCAAATCTGCTCTGTGTAAATGAAAGTTCAACTCTGTGAGTTGAACACACACAACACAAGGAAGTTACTGGGAATTCTTCTTTCTGGCAGAATATGAAGAAATCCCGTTTCCAACGAAAGCCTCAAGGATGTCTGAATATCCACTTGCAGACTTTACAAACAGAGTGTTTCCTAACTGCTCTATGAAAAGAAAGGTTAAACTCTGTGAGTTAAACGCACACATCACAAAGGAGTTTCTGAGAATCATTCTGTCTAGTCTTTATACGAAGATATTTCCTTTTCTACCATTGACCTCAAAGCGGCTGAAATCTCCACTTGCAAATTCCACAAAAAGAGTGTTTCAAGTCTGCTCTGCGTAAAGGATCGTTCAACTCTGTGAGTTGAATACACACAAAACAAGGAAGGTACTGAGAATTCTTCTGTCTAGCAGAATATGAAGAAATCCCGTTTCCAACGAAGGCCACAAGATGTCAGAATATCCACTTACAGACTTTACAAACAGAGTGTTTCCAAACCGCTGAATGAAAAGAAAAGTTAAACTCTGAGAGTTGAACGCACACATCACGCAGCAGTTTCTGAGAATGATTCTGTCTAGTTTTGAAACGAAGATATTTCCTTTTCTGCCATTGACCTTAAAGCGCTTGAAATCTCCACTTGCCAATTGCACAAAAAGAGTGTTTCAAATCTGCTCTGTCTAAGGGAACGTTCAACTCTGTGAGTTGAATGTACACAACGCAAGGAAGTTCCTGGGAATTCTTCTGTCTAGCCTTACAGGAAAAAAACCCGTTTCCAACAAAGGCCTCTAAGTGGTCAAAATATCCACGTGCAGACTTTACAAACAGAGTGTTTACAAACTGCTGAATGAAAAGAAAAGTTAAACTCTGAGAGTTGAACGCACACATCGCAGAGCAGTTTCTGAGAATGATTCTGTCTAGTTTTTATACGAAGATATTTCCTTTTCTGCCTTTGGCCTCAAAGCGCTTGAAATCTCCACTTGCAAATTCCACAAAAAGAGTATTTCAAATCTGCTCTGTGTAAATGAAAGTTCAACTCTGTGAGTTGAACACACACAACACAAGGAAGTTACTGGGAATTCTTCTGTCTAGCAGAATATGAAGAAATCCCGTTTCCAACGAAGGCCTCAAAGAGGTCTGAATATCCACTTGCAGACTTTACAAACAGAGTGTTTCCTAACTGCTCTATGAAAAGAAAGGTTAAACTCTGTGAGTTGAACACACACATCACAAAGGAGTTTCTGAGAATCATTCTGTCTAGTTTCTATAGGAAGATATTTCCTATTCTACCATTGAACTCACAGCGGCTGAAATCTCCACTTGCAAATTCCACAAAAAGAGTGTTTCAAGTCTGCTCTGTGTAAAGGATCGTTCAACTCTGTGAGTTGAATACACACAACACAAGGAAGTTACTGAGAATTCTTCTGTCTAGCAGAATATGAAGAAATCCCGTTTCCAACGAAGGCCACAAGATGTCAGAATATCCACTTATAGACTTTACAAACAGAGTGTTTCCTAACTGCTCTATGAACGGAAAGGTTAAACACTGTGAGTTGAACGAACACATCACAACGCAGTTTGTGGGAATGATTCTGTCTAGTTTTGAAACGAAGATATTTCCTTTTCTGCCATTGACCTTAAAGCGCTTGAAATCTACACTTGCAAATTGCACAAATAGAGTGTTTCAAATCTGCTCTGTCTAAGGAACGTTCAACTCTGTGAGTTGAATGCACACAACACAAGGAAGTTACTGGGAATTCTTCTGCCTAGCCTTACATGAAAAAAACCCGTTTCCAACGAAGGCCTCTAAGTGGTCAAAATATCCACGTGCAGACTTTACAAACAGAGTGTTTCAGAACCGCTGAATGAAAAGAAAAGTTAAACTCTGAGAGTTGAACGCACACATCACGCAGCAGTTTCTGAGAATGATTCTGTCTAGTTTTTATACGAAGATATTTCGTTTTCTGCCTTTGGCCAAAAAGCGCTTGAAATCTCCACTTGCAAATTCCACAAAAACAGTGTTTCAAATCTGCTCTCTGTAAATGAAAGTTCAACTCTGTCAGTTGAATACAAACAACACAAGGAAGTTACTGAGAATTCTTCTGTATAGCAGAATATGAAGAAATCCCGTTTCCAACGAAGGCCTCAAGGAGGTCTGACTATCCACTTGCAGACTTTACAAACAGAGTGTTTCCTAACTGCTCTATGAAAAGAAAGGTTAAACTCTGTGAGTTGAACGCAGACATCACAAAGAAGTTTCTGAGAATCACTCTGTCTAGTTTCTATAGGAAGATATTTCCTATTCTACCATTGAACTCAAAGCGGCTGAAATCTCCCCTTGCAAATTCCACAAAAAGAGTGTTTCAAGTCTGCTCTGTGTAAAGGATCGTTCAACTACTGTGAGTTGAATACACACAACACAAGGAAGTTACTGAGAATTCTTCTGTCTAGCAGAATATGAAGAAATCCCGTTTCCAACGAAGGCCACAAGATGTCAGAATATCCACTTACAGAATTTACAAACAGACTGTTTCCTAACTGCTCTATGAAAAGAAAGGTTAAACTCTGTGAGTTGAACGAACACATCACAACGCAGTTTGTGGGAGTGATTCTGTCTAGTTTTGAAACGAAGATATTTCCTTTTCTGCCATTGACCTTAAAGCGCTTGAAATCTCCACTTGCCAATTGCACAAAAAGAGTGTTTCAAATCTGCTCTGTCTAAGGGAACGTTCAACTCTGTGAGTTGAATGTACACAACGCAAGGAAGTTACTGGGAATTCTTCCGTCTAGCCTTACATGAAAAAAACCCGTTTCCAACGAAGGCCTCTAAGAAGTCCAAATATCCACGTGCAGAATTTACAAACAGAGTGTTTCCTAACGGCTCTATGAAAAGAAAGGTTAAACTCTGTGAGTTGAACGCCCACATCACAAAGGAGTTTCTGAGAATCATTCTGTCTAGTTTTTATACGAAGATATTTCCTTTTCTGCCTTTGGCCCCAAAGCGCTTGAAATCTCCACTTGCAAATTCCACAAAAACAGTGTTTCAAATCTGCTCTCTCTAAATGAAAGTTCAACTGTGTCAGTTGAATACACACAACACAAGGAAGTTACTGAGAATTCTTCTGTCTAGCAGAATATGAAGAAATCCCGTTTCCAACGAAAGCCTCAATGATGTCTGAATATCCACCTGCAGACTTTACAAACAGAGTGTTTCCTAACTGCTCTATGAAAAGAAAGTTTAAACTCTGTGAGTTGAACGCACACAGCACAAAGGAGTTTCTGACAATCATTCTGTCTAGTTTTTATACGAAGATATTTCCTTTTCTACAATTGACCTCAAAGCGGCTGAAATCTCCACTTGCAAATTCCACAAAAGGGTGTTTCTAGTCTGCTCTGTGTAAAGGATCGTTGAACTCTGTGAGTTGAATACACACAACACAAGGAAGTTACTCAGAATTCTTCTGTCTAGCAGAATATGAAGAAATCCCGTTTCCAACGAAGGCCACAAGATGTCAGAATACCCACTTACAGACTTTACAAACAGAGTGTTTCCTCACTGCTCTATGAACAGAAAGGTTAAACTCTGTGAGTTGAACGAACACATCACAACGCAGTTTGTGGGAATGATTCTGTCTAGTTTTGAAACGAAGATATTCCCTTTTCTGCCATTGACCTTAAAGCGCTTGAAATCTACACTTGCAAATTGCACAAATAGAGTGTTTCAAATCTGCTCCGTCTAGGGAACGTTCAAATCTGTGAGTTGAATGCACACAACACAAGGAAGTTACTGGGAATTCTTCTGTCTAGCCTTACTTGAAAAAAACCCGTTTCCAAAGAAGGCCTCTAAGTGGTCAAAATATCCACGTGCAGACTTTACAAACAGAGTGTTTCCAAACCGCTGAATGAAAAGAAAAGTTAAACTCTGAGAGTTGAACGCACACATCACGCAGCAGTTTCTGAGAATGATTCTGTCTAGTTTTTATACGAAGATATTTCCTTTTCTGCCTTTGGCCCCAAAGCGCTTGAAATCTCCACTTGCAAATTCCACAAAAACAGTGTTTCAAATCTGCTCTCTCTAAATGAAAGTTCAACTCTGTCAGTTGAATACACACAACACAAAGAAGTTACTGAGAATTCTTCTGTCTAGCACAGTATGAAGAAATCCCGTTTCCAACGAAGGCCTCAAAGAGGTCTGAATATCCACTTGCAGAGTTTACAAACGGTGTTTCCTAACTGCTCTATGAAAAGAAAGGTTAAACTCTGTGAGTTGAACGCACACATCACAATGAAGTTTCTGAGAATCATTCTGTCTAGTTTTTATAGGAAGATATTTCCTTTTCTACCTTTGACTTCAAAGCGGCTGAAATCTCCACTTGCAAATTCCACAAAAAGAGTGTTACAAGTCTGCTCTGTGTAAAGGATCGTTCAACTCTGTGAGTTGAATACACACAACACAAGGAAGTTACTGAGAATTCTTCTGTCTAGCATAGTATGAAGAAATCCCGTTACCAACGAAGGCCTCAAAGAGGTCTGAATATCCACTTGCAGAGTTTACAAACAGAGTGTTTCCTAACTGCTCTGTGAAAAGAAAGGTTAAACTCTGTGAGTTGAACGCACACATCACAAAGAAGTTTCTGAGAATCATTCTGTCTAGTTTTTATACGAAGATATTTCCTTTTCTACCATTGACCTCAAAGCGGCTGAAATCACCACTTGCCAATTGCACAAAAAGAGTGTTTCAAATCTGCTCTGTCTAAGGGAACGTTCAACTCTGTGAGTTGAATGTACACAACACAAGGAAGTTACTGGGAATTCTTCTGTCTAGCCTTACATGAAAAAAACCCGTTTCCAAAGAAGGCCTCTAAGTTGTCAAATTATCCACGTGCAGACTTTACAAACAGAGTGTTTCCAAACTGCTGAATGAAAAGAAAAGTTAAACTCTGAGAGTTGAACGCACACATCGCAGAGCAGTTTCTGAGAATGATTCTGTCTAGTTTTTATACGAAGATATTTCCTTTTCTGCCTTTGGCCTCAAAGCGCTTGAAATCTCCACTTGCAAATTCCACAAAAAGAGTGTTTCAAATCTGCTCTGTGTAAATGAAAGTTCAACTCTGTGAGTTGAACACACACAACCCAAGGAAGTTACTGGGAATTGTTCTGTCTAGCATAATATGAAGAAATCCCGTTTCCAACGAAGGCCTCAAAGGGGTCTGAATATCCACTTGCAGACTTTATAAACAGAGTGTTTACTAACTGCTCTATGAAAAGAAAGGTTAAACTCTGTGAGTTGAACACACACATCACAAAGAAGTTTCTGAGAATCATTCTGTCTAGTTTTTCTACGAAGATATTTCCTTTTCTACTATTGACCTCAAAGCGGCTGAAATCTCCACTTGCAAATTCCACAAAAAGAGTGTTTCAAGTCTGCTCTGTGTAAAGGATCGTCCAACTCTGTGAGTTGAATACACACAACACAAGGAAGTTACTGAGAATTCTTCTGTCTAGCAGAATATGAAGAAATCCCGTTTCCAACGAACGCCACAAGATGTCAGAATATCCACTTACAGAATTTACAAACAGACTGTTTCCTAACTGCTCTATGAAAAGAAAGGTTAAACTCTGTGAGTTGAACGAACACATCACAACGCAGTTTGTGGGAATGATTCTGTCTAGTTTTTATACGAAGATATTTCCTTTTCTACCATTGACCTCAAAGCGGCTGAAATCACCACTTGCAAATTGCACAAAAAGAGTGTTTCAAATCTGCTCTGTCTAAGGGAACGTTCAACTCTGTGAGTTGAATGTACACAACACAAGGAAGTTACTGGGAATTCTTCTGTCTAGCCTTACATGAAAAAAACCCGTTTCCAACGAAGGCCTCTAAGTGGTCAAAATATCCACGTGCAGACTTTACAAACAGAGTGTTTCCAAACCGCTGAATGAAAAGAAAAGTTAAACTCTGAGAGTTGAACGCACACATCACGCCGCAGTTTCTGAGAATGATTCTGTCTAGTTTTTATACGAAGATATTTCCTTTTCTGCCTTTGGCCTCAAAGTGCATGAATTCTCCATTTGCAAATTCCACAAAAAGAGTGTTTCAAATCTGCTCTGTCTAAATGAAAGTTCAACTCTGTGAGTTCTACACACACAACACAAGGAAGTTACTGGGAATTCTTCTGTCTAGCATAATATGAAGAAATCCCGTTTCCAAAGAAGGCCTCAAGGAGATCTGAATATCCACTTGCAGACTTTACAAACAGAGTGTTTCCTAACTGCTCTATGAAAAGAAAGGTTAAACTCTGTGAGTTGAACGCACACATCACAAAGGAGTTTCTCAGAATCATTCTGTCTAGTTTTTATACGAAGATATTTCCTTTTCTACCATTGACCTCAACGCGGCTGAAATCTCCACTTGCAAATTCCACAAAAGAAGTGTTTCTAATCTGCTCTGTGTAAAGGATCGTTCAACTCTGTGAGTTGAATACACACAACACAAGGAAGTTACTGAGAATTCTTCTGTCTAGGAGAATATGAAGAAACCCCGTTTCCAACGAAGGCCACAAGATGTCAGAATATCCACTTACAGAATTGACAAACAGACTGTTTCCTAACTGCTCTATGAAAAGAAAGGTTAAACTCTGTGAGTTGAACGAACACATCACAACGCAGTTTGTGGGAATGATTCTGTCTAGTTTTGAAACGAAGATATTTCCTTTTCTGCCATTGACCTTAAAGCGCTTGAAATCTACACTTGCAAATTGCACAAATAGAGTGTTTCAATTCTGCTCTGTCTAAGGAAACGTTCAACTCTGTGAGTTGAATGCACACAACACAAGGAAGTTACTGGGAATTCTTCTGTCTAGCCTTACATGAAAAAAACCCGTTTCCAACGAAGGCCTCTAAGTGGTCAAATTATCCACGTGCAGACTTTACAAACAGAGTGTTTCCAAACTGCTGAATGAAAAGAAAAGTTAAAGTCTGAGAGTTGTACGCACACATCGCAGAGCAGTTTCTGAGAATGATTCTGTCTAGTTTCTATAGGAAGATATTTCCTATTCTACCATTGACCTCAAAGCGGCTGAAATCTCCACTTGCAAATTCCACAAAAAGAGTGTTTCAAGTCTGCTCTGTGTAAAGGATTGTTCAACTCTGTGAGTTGAATACACACAACACAAGGAAGTTACTGAGAATTCTTCTGTCTAGCATAATATGAAGAAATCCTGTTTCCAACGAAGGCCTCAAGGAGGTCTGAATATCCACTTGCAGTCTTTACAAACAGAGTGTTTCCTAACTGCTCTATGAAAAGAAAGGTTAAACTCTGTGAGTTGAACGCACACATCACAAAGGAGTTTCTGAGAATCATTCTGTCTAGTTTCTATAGGAAAATATTTCCTATTCTACCATTGACCTCAAAGCGGCTGAAATCTCCACTTGCAAATTCCACAAAAAGAGTGTTTCAAGTCTGCTCTGTGTAAAGGATCGTTCAACTCTGTGAGTTGAAAACACACAACACAAGGAAGTTTCTGAGAATTCTTGTGTCTAGCAGAATATGAAGAAATCCCGTTTCCAACGAAGGCCTCAAAGAGGTCTGAATATCCACTTGCAGACTTTACAAACAGAGTGTTTCCTAACTGCTCTATGAAAAGAAAGGTTAAACTCTGTGAGTTGAACGCACACATCACAAAGGAGTTTCTGAGAATCATTCTGTCTAGTTTCTATAGGAAGATATTTCCTATTCTACCATTGAACTCAAAGCGGCTGAAATCTCCACTTGCAAATTCCACAAAAAGAGTGTTTCAAATCTGCTCTCTCTAAAGCAAGGTTCAACTCTGTGAGTTGAATACACACAACACAAAAAAGTTACTGAGAACTCTTCTGTCTAGCAGAATATGAAGAAATCCCGTTTCCAACGAAGGCCTCAAGGAGGTCCGAATATCCACTGGCAGACTTTACAAACAGAGTGTTACCTAACTGCTCTATGAACAGAAAGGTTAAACTCTGTGAGTTGAACGAACACATCACAACGCAGTTTGTGGGAATGATACTGTCTAGTTTTGAAACGAAGATATTTCCTTTTCTGCCATTGACCTTAAAGCGCTTGAAATCTCCACTTGCCAATTGCACAAAAAGAGTGTTTCAAATCTGCTCTGTCTAAGGGAACGTTCAACTCTGTGAGTTGAATGTACACAACACAAGGAAGTTACTGGGAATTCTTCTGTCTAGCCTTACAGGAAAAAAACCCGTTTCCAACGAAGGCCTCTAAGTGGTCAAAATATCCACGTGCAGACTTTACAAACAGAGTGTTTCCAAACTGCTGAATGAAAAGAAAAGTTAAACTCCTGAGAGTTGAACGCACACATCGCAGAGCAGTTTCTGAGAATGATTTCTGCCTAGTTTTTCTACGAAGATATTTCCTTTTCTGCCTTTGGCCTCAAAGCGCTTGAAATCTCCACTTGCAAATTCCACAAAAAGAGTGTTTCAAATCTGCTCTGTGTAAATGAAAGTTCAACTCTGTGAGTTGAACACACACAACACAAGGAAGTTACTGGGAATTCTTCTCTCTAGCCTTATATGAAAAAAACCCGTTTCCAACGAAGGCCTCAAAGAGGGCTGAATATCCACTTGCAGACTTTAGAAACAGAGTGTTTCCTAACTGCTCTATGAAAAGAAAGGTTAAACTCTGTGAGTTGAACGCACACATCACAAAGGAGTTTCTGAGAATCATTCTGTCTAGTTTCTATAGGAAGATATTTCCTATTCTACCATTGACCTCAAAGCGGCTGAAATCTCCACTTGCAAATTCCACAAAAAGAGTGTTTCAAGTCTGCTCTGTGTAAAGGATCGTTCAACTCTGTGAGTTGAATACACACAACACAAAGATGTTACTGAGAATTCTTCTGTCTAGCAGAATATGAAGAAATCCCGTTTCCAACGAAGGCCACAAGATGTCAGAATATCCACATACAGACTTTACAAACAGAGTGTTTCCTAACTGCTCTATGAACAGAAATGTTAAACTCTGTGAGTTGAACGAACACATCACAACGCAGTTTGTGGGAATGATTCTGTCTAGTTTTGAAACGAACAATTTCCTTTTCTGCCATTGACCTTAAAGCGCTTGAAATCTCCATTTGCCAATTGCACAAAAAGAGTGTTTCAAATCTGCTCTGTCTAAGGGAACGTTCAACTCTGTGAGTTGAATGTACACAACACAAGGCAAGTTACTGGGAATTCTTCTGTCTAGCAGAATATGAAGAAATCCCGTTTCCAACGAAGGCCTCAAAGAGGTCTGAATATCCACTTGCAGACTTTACAAACAGAGTGTTTCCTAACTGCTCTATGAAAAGAAAGGTTAAACTCTGTGAGTTGTACGCACACATCACAAAGGAGTTTCGGAGAATCATTCTGTCTAGTTTTTATACGAAGATATTTCCTTTTCAACCATTGACCACAAAGCGGCTGAAATCTCCACTTGCAAATTCCACAAAAAGAGTGTTTCAAGTCTACTCTGTGTAAAGCATCGTTCAACTCTGTGAGTTGAAATCACACAACACAAGGAAGTTTCTGAGAATTCTTCTGTGTAGCAGAATATGAAGAAAACCCGTTTGCAACGAAAGCCTCAAAGATGTCTGAATATCCACTTGCAGACCTTACAAACAGAGTGTTTCCTAACTGCTCTATGAAAAGAAAGGTTAAACTCTGTGAGTTGAACGCACACATCACAAAGGAGTTTCTGAGAATCATTCTGTGTAGTTTTTCTACGAAGATATTTCCTTTTCTACTATTGACCTCAAAGCGGCTGAAATCTCCACTTGCAAATTCCACAAAAAGAGTGTTTCAAGACTGCTCTGTGTACAGGATCCTTCAACTCTGTGAGTTGAATACACACAACACAAGGAAGTTACTGAGAATTCTTCTGTCTAGCAGAATATGAAGAAATCCCGTTTCCAACGAAGGCCACAAGATGTCAGAATATCCACTTACAAAATTTACAAACAGACTGTTTCCTAACTGCTCTATGAAAAGAAAGGTTAAACTCTGTGAGTTGAACGAACACATCACAACGCAGTTTGTGGGAATGATTCTGTCTTGTTTTGAAACGAAGATATTTCCTTTTCTGCCATTGACCTTAAAGCGCTTGAAATCTCCACTTGCCAATTGCACAAAAAGAGTGTTTCAAATCTGCTCTGTCTAAGGGAACGTTCAACTCTGTGAGTTGAATGTACACAACACAAGGAAGTTACTGGGAATTCTTCTGTCTAGCCTTACAGGAAAAAAACCCGTTTCCAACGAAGGCCTCAAAGAGGTCTGAATATCCACTTGCAGTCTTTACAAACAGAGTGTTTCCTAACTGCTCTATGAAAAGAAAGGTTAAATTCTGTGAGTTGAACGCACACATCACAAAGGAGTTTCTGAGAATAATTCCGTTTAGTTTTTATACGAAGATATTTCCTTTTCTGCCTTTGGCCCCAAAGCGCTTGAAATCTCCACTTGCAAATTCCACAAAAACAGGTTTTCAAATCTGCTCTCTCTAAATGAAAGTTAAACTCTGTCAGTTGAATACACACAACACAAGGAAGTTACTGAGAATTCTTCTGTCTAGCCTTATATGAAAAAAACCCTTTTCCAACGAAGGCCTCAAAGAGGTCTGAATATCCACTTGCAGACTTTACAAACAGAGTGTTTCCTAACTGCTCTATGAAAAGAAAGGTTAAACTCTGTGAGTTGAACGCACACATCACAAAGGAGTTTCTGAGAATCATTCTGTCTAGTTTCTATAGGAAGATATTTCCTATTCTACCATTGACCTCAAAGCGGCTGAAATCTCCACTTGCAAATTCCACAAAAAGAGTGTTTCAAGTCTGCTCTCTGTAAAGGATCGTTCAACTCTGTCAGCTGAATAAACACAACACAAAGAAGTTACTGAGAATTATTCTGTCTAGCAGAATATGAAGAAATCCCGTTTCCAACGAAGGCCACAAGATGTCAGAATATCCACTTTCAGACTTTACAAACAGAGTGTTTCCTAACTGCTCTATGAACGGAAAGGTTAAACTCTGTGAGTTGAACGAACACATCACAACGCAGTTTGTGGGAATGATTCTGTCTAGTTTTGAAACGAAGATATTTCCTTTTCTGCCATTGACCTTAAAGCGCTTGAAATCTACACTTGCCAATTGCACAAATAGAGTGTTTCAAATCTGCTCTGTCTAAGGGAACGTTCAACTCTGTGAGTTGAATGCACACAACACGAGGAAGTTACTGGGAATTCTTTTGTCTAGCCTTACAGGAAAAAAACCCGTTTCCAACGAAGGCCTCTAAGTGGTCAAAATATCCACGTGCAGACTTTACAACCAGAGTGTTTCCAAACTGCTGAATGAAAAGAAAAGTTAAACTCTGAGAGTTGAACGCACACATCGCAGAGCAGTTTCTGAGAATGATTCTGTCTAGTTTTGAAACGAAGACATTTCCTTTTCTGCCTTTGGCCTCAAAGCCCTTGAAATCTCCACTTGCAAATTCCACAAAAAGAGTGTTTCAAATCTGCTCTGTGTAAATGAAAGTTCAACTCTGTGAGTTGAACACACACAACACAAGGGAAGTTACTGGGAATTCTTCTGTATAGCAGAATATGAAGAAATCCCGTTTACAACGAAAGCCTCAAAGATGTCTGAATATCCACTTGCAGACATTACAAACAGAGTGTTTCCTAACTGCTCTATGAAAACAAAGGTTAAACTCTGTGAGTTGAACGCACACATCACAAAGGAGTTTCTGAGAATCATTCTGTCTAGTTTCTATAGGAAGATATTTCCTATTCTACCATTGACCTCAAAGCGGCTGAAATCTCCACTTGCAAATTCCACAAAAAGAGTGTTTCAAGTCTGTTCTGTGTAAAGGATCATTCAACTCTGTGAGTTGAATACACACAACACAAGGGAAGTTACTGAGAATTCTTCTGTCTAGCAGAATATGAAGAAATCCCGTTTCCAACGAAGGCCTCAAAGAGGTCTGAATATCCACTTGCAGACTTTACAAACAGAGTGTTTCCCAACTGCTCTATGAACAGAAAGGTTAAACTCTGTGAGTTGAACGCACACATCACAAAGGAGTTTCTGAGAATCATTCTGTCTAGTTTTGAAACGAAGATATTTCCTTTTCTGCCATTGACCTTAAAGCGCTTGAAATCTCCACTTGCCAATTTCACAAAAAGAGTGTTTCAAATCTGCTCTGTCTAAGGGAACGTTCAACTCTGTGAGTTGAATGTACACAACACAAGGAAGTTACTGGGAATTATTCTGTCTAGCCTTACAGGAAAAAAACCCGTTTCCAACGAAGGCCTCTAAGTGGTCAAAATATCCACGTGCAGACTTTACAAACAGAGTGTTTCCAAACTGCTGAATGAAAAGAAAAGTTAAACTCCTGAGAGTTGAACGCACACATCGCAGAGCAGTTTCTGAGAATGATTTCTGTCTAGTTTTTATACGAAGATATTTCCTTTTCTGCCTTTGGCCTCAAAGCGCTTGAAATCTCCATTTGCAAATTCCACAAAAAGAGTGTTTCAAATCTGCTCTGTGTAAATGAAAGTTCAACTTTGTGAGTTGAACACACACAACACAAGGATGTTACTGGGAATTCTTCTTTCTAGCAGAATATGAAGAAATCCCGTTTCCAACGAAAGCCTCAAGGATGTCTGAATATCCACTTGCAGACGTTACAAACAGAGTGTTTCCCAACTGCTCTATGAAAAGAAAGGTTAAACTCTGTGAGTTGAACGCACACATCACAAAGGAGTTTCTGAGAATCATTCTGTCTAGTTTTTATACGAAGATATTTCCTTTTCTACCATTGACCTCAAAGCGGCTGAAATCTCCACTTGCAAATTCCACAAAAAGAGTGTTTCAAGTCTGCTCTGTGTAAAGGATCGTTGAACTCTGTGAGTTGAACACACACAACACAAGTAAGTTACTGAGAATTCTTCTGTCTAGCAGAATATGAAGAAATCCCGTTTCCAACAAAGGCCACAAGATGTCAGAATATCCACTTACAGACTTTACAAACAGAGTGTTTCCTAACTGCTCTATGAACAGAAAGGTTAAACTCTGTGAGTTGAACGAACACATCACAACGCAGTTTGTGGGAATGATTTCTGTCTAGTTTTGAAATGAAGGTATATCGTTTTCTGCCATTGACCTTAAATCGCTTGAAATCTCCACTTGCCAATTGCACAAAAAGAGTGTTTCAAATCTGCTCTGTCTAAGGGAACGTTCAACTCTGTGAGTTGAATGCACGCAACACAAGGAACTTACAGGAAATTCTTCTGTCTAGCCTTACATGAAAAAAACCCGTTTCCAACGAAGGCCTCTAAGTGGTCAAAATATCCACGTGCAGACTTTACAAACAGAGTGTTTCGAAACTGCTGAATGAAAAGAAAAGTTAAACTCTCAGAGTTGAATGCACACATCGCCGAGCAGTTTCTGAGAATGATTCTGTCTAGTTTTGAAACGAAGATATTTCCTTTTCTGCCTTTGGCCTCAAAGCGCTTGAAATCTCCACTTGCAAATTCCACAAAAAGAGTGTTTCAAATCTGCTCTGGGTAAATGAAAGTTCAACTCTGTGAGTTGAACACACACAACACAAGGAAGTTACTGAGAATTCTTCTGTCTAGCATAATATGAAGAAATCCCGTTTCCAACGAAGGCCTCAAAGGGGTCTGAATATCCACTTGCAGACTTTATAAACAGAGTGTTTACTAACTGCTCTATGAAAAGAAAGGTTAAACTCTGTGAGTTGGACACACACATCACAAAGGAGTTTCTGAGAATCATTCTGTCTAGTTTCTATAGGAAGATATTTCCTATTCTACCATTGACCTCAAAGCGGCTGAAATCTCCACTTGCAAATTCCACAAAAAGAGTGTTTCAAGGCTGCTCTGTGTAAAGGATCGTTCAACTCTGTGAGTTGAATACACACAACACAAGGAAGTTACTGAGAATTCTTCCGTCTAGCAGAATATGAAGAAATCCCGTTTCCAACGAAGGCCACAAGATGTCAGAATATCCACTTACAGAATTTACAAACAGACTGTTTCCTAACTGCTCTATGAAAAGAAAGGTTAAACTCTGTGAGATGAACGAACACATCACAACGCAGTTTGTGGGAATGATTCTGTCTAGTTTTGAAACGAAGATATTTCCTTTTCTCCCATTGACCTTAAAGCGCTTGAAATCTCCACTTGCCAATTGCACAAAAAGAGTGTTTCAAATATGCTCTGTCTAAGGGAACGTTCAACTCTGTGAGTTGAATGTACACAACACAAGGAAGTTACTGGGAATTCTTCTGTCTAGCCTTACATGAAAAAAACCCGTTTCCAACGAAGGCCTCTAAATGGTCAAAATTTCCACATGCAGACTTTACAAACAGAGTGTTTCCAAACCGCTGAATGAAAAGAAAAGTTAAACTCTGAGAGTTGAACGCACACATCACGCAGCAGTTTCTGAGAATGACTCTGTCTAGTTTTTATACGAAGATATTTCCTTTTCTGCCTTTGGCCTCAAAGGGCTTGAAATCTCCACCTGCAAATTCCACAAAAAGAGTGTTTCAAATCTGCTCTGTGTAAATGAAAGTTCAACTCTGTGAGTTGAACACACACAACACAAGGAAGTTACTGGGAATTCTTCTGTCTAGCATAATATGAAGAAATCCCGTTTCCAACGAAGGCCTCAAGGAGGTCTCAATATCCACTTGCAGACTTTACAAACAGAGTGTTTCCTAACTGCTCTATGAAAAGAAAGGTTAAACTCTGTGAGTTGAACGCACACATCACAAAGGAGTTTCTGAGAATCATTCTGTCTAGTTTTTATACGAAGATATTTCCTTTTCTACCATTGACCACAAAGCGGCTGAAATCTCCACTTGCAAATTCCACAAAAAGAGTGTTTCAAGTCTGCTCTGTGTAAAGGATCGTTCAACTCTGTGAGTTGAATACACACAACACAAGGAAGTTACTGAG
The DNA here is from genome assembly GCF_000001405.40 of Homo sapiens. Lineage (NCBI taxonomy): Eukaryota > Metazoa > Chordata > Mammalia > Primates > Hominidae > Homo > Homo sapiens. The sequence continues at coordinate 123,324,202 of NC_000001.11, read as the reverse complement.
AATTCTTCTGTCTAGCAGAATATGAAGAAATCCCGTTTCCAACGAAGGCCACAAGATGTCAGAATATCCACTTACAGACTTTACAAACAGAGTGTTTCCTAACTGCACTATGAACAGAAAGGTTAAACTCTGTGAGTTGAACGAACACATCACAACGCAGTTTGTGGGAATGATTCTGTCTAGTTTTGAAACGAAGATATTATCTTTTCTGCCGTTGACCTTAAAGCGCTTGAAATCTACACTTGGAGATTGCACAAATAGAGTGTTTCAAATCTGCTCTGTCTAAGGGAACGTTCAACTCTGTGACTTGAATGCACACAACACAAGGAAGTTACTGGGAATTCTTCTGTCTAGCCTTACAGGAAAAAAACCCGTTTCCAACGAAGGCCTCTGAGTGGTCAAAATATCCACCTGCAGACTTTACAAACAGAGTGTTTCCAAACTGCTGAATGAAAAGAAAAGTTAAACTCTGAGAGTTGAACGCACACATCGCAGAGCAGTTTCTGAGAATGATTATCTGTCTAGTTTTGAAACGAAGATATTTCCTTTTCTGCCTTTGGCCTCAAAGCGCTTGAAATCTCCACTTGCAAATTCCACAAAAAGAGTGTTTCAAATCTGCTCTGTGTAAATGGAAGTTCAACTCTGTGAGTTTAACACACACAACACAAGGAAGTTACTGGGAATTCTTCTGTCTAGCCTTATATGAAAAAAACCCGTTTCCAACGAAGGCCTCAAAGAGGTCTGAATATCCACTTGCAGACTTTACAAACAGAGTGTTTCCTAACTGCTCTATGAAAAGAAAGGTTAAACTCTGTGAGTTGAACACACACATCACAAAGGAGTTTCCTGAGAATCATTCTGTCTAGTTTTTATACGAAGATATTTCCTTTTCTACCATTGACCTCAAAGCGGCTGAAATCTCCACTTGCAAATTCCACAAAAAGAGTGTTTCAAATCTGCTCTGTGTAAACCATCGTTCAACTCTGTGAGTTGAATACACACCACACAAGGAAGATTCTGAGAATTCTTCTGTCTAGCATCATATGAAGAAATCCCGTTTCCAACGAAGGCCACAAAGAGGTCTGAATATCCACTTGCAGACTTTACAAACAGAGTGTTTCCTAACTGCTCTATGAAAAGAAAGGTTAAACTCTGTGAGTTGAACGCACACATCACAAATGAGTTTCTGAGAATCATTCTGTCTAGTTTCTATAGGAAGATATTTCCTATTCTACAATTGACCTCAAAGCGGCAGAAATCTCCACTTGCAAATTCCACAAAAAGAGTGTTTCAAGTCTGCTCTGTGTAAAGGATCGTTCCACTCTGTGAGTTGAATACACACAACACAAGGAAGTTACTGAGAATTCTTCTGTCTAGCCTTACAAGAATAAAACCCGTTTCCAACGAAGGCCTCTAAGTGGTCAAAATATCCACGTGCAGACTTCACAAAGAGAATGTTTCCAAACTGCTGAATGAAAAGAAAAATTAAACTCTGAGAGTTGAATGCACACATCGCAGAGCAGTTTCTGAGAATGATTCTGTCTAGTTTTTATACGAAGATATTTCCTTTTCTGCCTTTGGCCTCAAAGCGCTTGAAATCTCCATTTGCAAATTCCACAAAAAGAGTGTTTCAAATCTGCTCTGTGTAAATGAAAGTTCAACTCTGTGAGTTGAATACAAACAACACAAGGAAGTTACTGAGAATTCTTCTGTCTAGCCTTATATGAAAAAAACCCGTTTCCAACGAAGGCCTCAAAGAGGTCTGAATATCCACTTGCAGACTTTACAAACAGAGTGTTTCCTAACTGCTCTATGAAAAGAAAGGTTAAACTCTGTGAGTTGAACGTACACATCACAAAGGAGTTTTTGAGAATCATTCTGTCTAGTTTCTATAGGAAGATATTTCCTATTCTACCATTGAACTCAAAGCGGCTGAAATCTCCACTTGCAAATTCCACAAAAAGAGTTTTTCAAGTCTGCTCTGTGTAAAGGATCGTTCAACTCTGTGAGTTGAATACACACAACACAAGGAAGTTACTGAGAATTCTTCTGTCTAGCAGAATATGAAGAAATCCCGTTTCCAACTAAGGCCACAAGATGTCAGAATATCCACTTACAGAATTGACAAACAGACTGTTTCCTAACTGCTCTATGAAAAGAAAGGTTAAACTCTGTGAGTTGAACGAACACATCACAACGCAGTTTATGGGGATGATTCTGTCTAGTTTTTATACGAAGATATTTCCTTTTCTACCATTGACCTCAAAGCGGCTGAAATCACCACTTGCCAATTGCACAAAAAGAGTGTTTCAAATCTGCTCTGTCTAAGGGAACGTTCAACTCTTGTGAGTTGAATGTACACAACACAAGGAAGTTACTGAGAATTCTTCTGTCTAGCCTTATATGAAAAAAACCCGTTTCCAACGAAGGCCTCAAAGAGGTCTGAATATCCACTTGCAGACTTTACAAACAGAGTGTTTCCTAACTACTCTATGAAAAGAAAGGTTAAACTCTGTGAGTTGAAGGCACACATCACAAAGGAGTTTCTGAGAATCATTCTGTCTAGTTTTTATACGAAGATATTTCCTTTTCTGCCTTTGGCCCCAAAGCGCTTGAAATCTCCACTTGCAAATTCCACAAAAACAGTGTTTCAAATCTGCTCTCTCTAAATGAAAGTTCAACTCTGTCAGTTGAATACACACAACACAAGGAAGTTACTGAGAATTATTCTGTCTAGCAGAATATGAAGAAATCCCGTTTCCAAAGAAGGCCTCAAGGAGGTCTGAATATCCACTTGCAGACATTACAAACAGAGTGTTTCTTAACTGCTCTATGAAAAGAAAAGTTAAACTCTGTGAGTTGAACGCACACATCACAAAGGAGTTTCTGAGAATCATTCTGTCTAGTTTTTATAGAGAAGATATTTCCTTTTCTACCTTTGACTTCAAAGCGGCTGAAATCTCCACTTGCAAATTCCACAAAAAGAGTGTTACAAGTCTGCTCTGTGTAAAGGATCGTTCAACTCTGTGAGTTGAATACACACAACACAAGGAAGTTACTGAGAATTCTTCTGTCTAGCAGAATATGAAGAAATCCCGTTTCCAACGAAGGCCACAAGATGACAGAATATCCACTTACAGAATTGACAAACAGACTGTTTCCTAACTGCTCTATGAAAAGAAAGGTTAAAGTCTGTGAGTTGAACGAACACATCACAACGCAGTTTGTGGGAATGATTCTGTCTAGTTTTGAAACGAAGATATTTCCTTTTTCTGCCGTTGACCTTAAAGCGCTTGAAATCTACACTTGCAAATTGCACAAATAGAGTGTTTCAAATCTGCTCTGTCTAAGGGAACGTTCAACTCTGTGAGTTGAATGCACACAACACAAGGAAGTTACTGGGAATTCTTCTGTCTAGCCTTATATGAAAAAAACCCGTTTCCAACGAAGGCTTCTAAGTGGTCAAAATATCCAAGTGCAGACTTTACAAACAGAGTGTTTCCAAACCGCTGAATGAAAAGAAAAGTTAAACTCTGAGAGTTGAACGCACACATCATGCAGCAGTTTCTGAGAATGATTCTGTCTAGTTTTTATACGAAGATATTTAGTTTTCTGCCTTTGGCCCCAAAGTGCTTGAAATCTCCACTTGCAAATTCCACAAAAACAGTGTTTCAAATCTGCTCTCTCTAAATGAAAGTTTAACTCTGTCAGTTGAATACACACAACACAAGGAAGTTACTGAGAATTCTTCTGTCTAGCAGAATATGAAGAAATCCCGCTTCCAACGAAGGCCTCAAAGAAGTCTGAATATCCACTTGCAGACTTTACAAACAGAGTGTTTTCCAACTACTCTATGAAAAGAAAGGTTGAACTCTGTGAGTTGAACGCACACATCACAAAGGAGTTTCTGAGAATCATTCTGTCTAGTTTTTATAGGAAGATATTACCTTTTCTACCATTGACTTAAAAGCGGCTGAAAACTCCACTTGCAAATTCCACAAAAAGAGTGTTACAAGTCTGCTCTGTCTAAGGGAACGTTCAACTCTGTGAGTTGAATGTACACAACACAAGGAAGTTACTGGGAATTCTTCTGTCTAGCAGAATATGAAGAAATCCCGTTTCCAACGAAGAGCCACAAGATGTCAGAATATCCACTTACAGAATTGACAAACAGACTGTTTCCTAACTGCTCTATGAAAAGAAAGGTTAAACTCTGTGAGTTGAACGAACACATCACAACGCAGTTTGTGGGAATGATTCTGTCTAGTTTTGAAACGAAGATATTTCCTTTTCTGCCATTGACCTTAAAGCGCTTGAAATCTACACTTGCAAATGGCACAAATAGAGTGTTTCAAATCTGCTCTGTCGAAGGGAACTTTCATCTCTGTGAGTTGAATGCACACAACACAAGGAAGTTACTGGGAATTCTTCTGTCTAGCCTTACATGAAAAAAACCCGTTTCCAACGAAGGCCTCTAAGTGGTCAAAATTTCCACGTGCAGACTTTACAAACAGAGTGTTTCCAAACCGCTGAATGAAAAGAAAAGTTAAACTCTGTGAGTTGAACGCACACATCACGCAGCAGTTTCTGAGAATGATTCTGTCTAGTTTTTATACGAAGATATTTCCTTTTCTGCCTTTGGCCCCAAAGCGCTTGAAATCTCCACTTGCAAATTCCACAAAAAAAAGTGTTTCAAAACTACTCTCTCTAAATGAAAGTTCAACTCTGTCAGTTGAATACACACAACACAAGGAAGTTACTGAGAATTCTTCTGTCTAGCAGAATATGAAGAAATCCCGTTTCCAACGAAGGCCTCAAGGAGGTCTGAATATCCACTTGCAGACGTTACAAACAGAGTGTTTCCTAACTGCTCTATGAAAAGAAAAGTTAAACTCTGTGAGTTGAACGCACACATCACAAAGGATTTTCTGAGAATCATTCTGTCTAGTTTTTCTACGAAGATATTTCCTTTCTACTATTGACCTCAAAGCGGCTGAAATCTCCACTTGCAAATTCCACAAAAAGAGTGCTTCAAGTCTGCTCTGTGTAAAGGATCGTTCAACTCTGTGAGTTGAATACACACAACACAAGGAAGTTACTGAGAATTCTTCTGTCTAGCAGAATATGAAGAAATCCCGTTTCCAACGAAGGCCTCAAGGAGGTCTGAATATCCACTTGCAGACTTTACAAACAGAGTGTTTCCTAACTGCTCTATGAACAGAAAGGTTAAACTTTGTGAGTTGAACGCACACATCACTAAGGAGTTTCTGAGAATCATTCTGTCTAGTTTTGAAACGAAGATATTTCCTTTTCTGCCATTGACCTTAAAGCGCTTGAAATCTCCATTTGCCAATTGCACAAAAAGAGTGTTTCAAATCTGCTCTGTCTAAGGGAACGTTCAACTCTGTGAGTTGAATGTACACAACACAAGGAAATTACTGGGAATTCTTCTGTCTAGCCTGACAGGAAAAAAACCCTTTTCCAACGAAGGCCTCTAAGTGGTCCAATTATCCACGTGCAGAGTTTACAAACAGAGTGTTTCAAACTGCTGAATGAAAAGAAAAGTTAAACTCTGAGAGTTGAACGCACACATCACAGAGCAGTTTCTGAGAATGATTCTGTCTAGTTTTTATACGAAGATATTTCCTTTTCTGCCTTTGGCCCCAAAGCGCTTGAAATCTCCATTGGAAATTCGACAAAAACAGTGTTTCAAATCTGCTCTCTCTAAATGAAAGTTCAACTCTGTCAGTTGAATACACACAACACAAGGAAGTTACTGAGAATTCTTCTGTCTAGCCTTATATGAAAAAAACCCGTTTCCAACGAAGGCCTCAAAGAGGGCTGAATATCCACTTGCAGACTTTACAAGCAGAGTGTTTCCTAACTGCTCTATGAAAAGAAAGGTTAAACTCTGTGAGTTGAACGGCACACATCACAAAGGAGTTTCTGAGAATCATTCTGTCTAGTTTTTATAGGAAGATATTTTTTTTCTACCTTTGACTTCAAAGCGGCTGAAATCTCCACTTGCAAATTCCACAAAAAGAGTGTTACAAGTCTGCTCTGTGTAAAGGATCGTTCAACTCTGTGAGTTGAATACACACAACACAAGGAAGTTACTGAGAATTCTTCTGTCTAGCAGAATATGAAGAAATCCCGTTTCCAACGAAGGCCACAAGATGTCAGAATATCCACTTACAGACTTTACAAACAGAGTGTTTCCTAACTGCTCTATGAACAGAAAGGTTAAACTCTGTGAGTTGAACGTACACATCACAACGCAGTTTGTGGGAATGATTCTGTCTAGTTTTTATAGGAAGATATTTCCTTTTCTACATTTGACTTCAAAGCGGCTGAAATCTCCACTTGCCAATTGCACAAAAAGAGTGTTTCAAATCTGCTCTGTCTAAGGGAACGTTCAACTCTGTGAGTTGAATGTACACAACACAAGGAAGTTACTGGGAATTCTTCTGTCTAGCCTTACATGAAAAAATCCCGTTTCCAACGAAGGCCTCTAAGTGGTCAAAATATCCACGTGCAGACTTTACAAACAGAGTGTTTCCAAACCGCTGAATGAAAAGAAAAGTTAAACTCTGAGAGTTGAACGCACACATCACACAGCAGTTTCTGAGAATGATTCTGTCTAGTTTTTATACGAAGATATTTCCTTTTCTGCCTTTGGCCTCAAAGCGCTTGAAATCTCCATTTGCAAATTCCACAAAAAGAGTGTTTCAAATCTGCTCTGTGTAAATGAAAGTTCAAATCTGTGAGTTGAACACACACAACACAAGGAAGGTACTGGGAATTCTTCTCTCTAGCCTTATATGAAAAAAACCCTTTTCCAACGAAGGCCTCAAAGAGGTCTGAATATCCACTTGCAGACTTTAAAAACAGAGTGATTCCTAACTGCTCTATGAAAAGAAAGGTTAAACTCTGTGAGTTGAACACACACATCTCAAAGGAGTTTCTGAGAATCATTCTGTCTAGTTTTTCTACGAAGATATTTCCTTTTCTACTATTGACCTCAAAGCGGCTGAAATCTCCACTTGCAAATTCCACACAAAGAGTGTTTCAAGTCTGCTCTGTGTAAAGGATCGTTCAACTCTGTGAGTTGAATACACACAACACAAGGAAGTTACTGAGAATTCTTCTGTCTAGCAGAATATGAAGAAATCCCGTTTCCAACGAAGGCCACAAGATGTCGGAATATCCACTTACAGAATTTACAAACAGACTGTTTCCTAACTGCTCTATGAAAAGAAAGGTTAAACTCTGTGAGATGAACGAACACATCACAACGCAGTTTGTGGGAATGATTCTGTCTAGTTTTGAAACGAAGATATTTCCTTTTCTGCCATTGACCTTAAAGCGCTTGAAATCTCCACTTGCCAATTGAACAAAAAGAGTGTTTCAAATCTGCTCTGTCTAAGGGAACGTTCAACTCTGTGAGTTGAATGTACACAACGCAAGGAAGTTACTGGGAATTCTTCTGTCTAGCCTTACATGAAAAAAACCCGTTTCCAACGAAGGCCTCTAAGTGGTCAAAATTTCCACGTGCAGACTTTACAAACAGAGTGTTTCCAAACCGCTGAATGAAAAGAAAAGTTAAACTCTGAGAGTTGAACGCACACATCACGCAGCAGTTTCTGATAATGATTCTGTCTAGTTTTTGTACGAAGATATTTCCTTTTCTGCCTTTGGCCCCAAAGCGCTTGAAATCTCCACTTGCAAATTCCACAAAAACAGAGTTTCAAATCTGCTCTCTCTAAATGAAAGTTCAACTCTGTCAGTTGAATACACACAACACAAGGAAGTTACTGAGAATTCTTCTGTCTAGCAGAACATGAAGAAATCCCGTTTCCAACGAAGGCCTCAAAGATGTCTGAATATCCACTTGCAGACTTTACAAACAGAGTGTTTCCTAACTGCTCTATGAGAAGAAAGGTTAAACTCTGTGAGTTGAACGCACACATCACAAAGGAGTTTCTGAGAATCATTCTGTCTAGTTTTTCTACGAAGATATTTCCTTTTCTACTATTGACCTGAAAGCGGCTGAAATCTCCACTTGCAAATTCCACAAAAAGAGTGTTTCAAGTCTGCTCTGTGTAAAGGATCGTTCAACTCTGTGAGTTGAATACACAAAACACAAGGGAAGTTACTGAGAATTCTTCTGTCTAACAGAATATGAAGAAATCCCGTTTCCAACGAAGGCCTCAAAGAGGTCTGAATATCCACTTGCAGACTTTACAAACAGAGTGTTTCCTAACTGCTATATTAAAAGAAAAGTTAAACTCTGTGAGTTGAACGCACACATCACAAAGGAGTTTCTGAGAATCGTTCTGTCTAGTTTTTCTACGAAGATATTTCCTTTTCTACCATTGACCTCAAAGCGGCTGAAATCTCCACTTGCAAATTCCACAAAAAGAGTGTTTCAAGTCTGCTCTGTGTAAAGGATCGTTCAACTCTGTGAGTTGAATACACACAACACAAGGAAGTTACTGAGAATTCTTCTGTCTAGCAGTATATGAAGAAGTCCGGTTTCCAAACAAGGCCACAAGATGTCAGAATATCCACTTACGGACTTTACAAACAGAGTGTTTCCTAACTGCTCTATGAACAGAAAGGTTAAACTCTGTAAGTTGAACGAACACATCACTACGCAGTTTGTGGGAATGATTCTGTCTAGTTTTGAAACGAAGATATTTCCTTTTCTGCCATTGACCTTAAAGCGCTTGAAATCTACACTTGCAAATTGCACAAATAGAGTGTCTCAAATCTGCTCTGTCTAAGGGAACGTTCATCTCTGTGAGTTGAATGCACACAACACAAGGAAGTTACTGGGAATGCTTCTGTCTAGCCTTACAGGAAAAAAACCCGTTTCCAACGAAGGCCTCTAAGTGGTCAAAATATCCACGTGCAGACTTTACAAACAGAGTGTTTCCAAATTGCTGAATGAAAAGAAAAGTTAAAGTCTGAGAGTTGAACGCACACATCGCAGAGCAGTTTCTGAGAATGATTCTGTCTAGTTTTGAAACGAAGATATTTCCTTTTCTGCCTTTGGCCTCAAAGCGCTTGAAATCTCCACTTGCAAATTCCACAGAAAGAGTGTTTCAAATCTGCTCTGTGTAAATGAAAGTTCAACTCTGTGAGTCGAACACCCACAACACAAGGAAGTTACTGGGAATTCTTCTGTCTAGCATAATATGAAGAAATCCCGTTTCCAACGAAGACCTCAAAGAGGTCTGAATATCCACTATCCACTTGCAGACTTTACAAACAGAGTGTTTCCTAACTGCTCTATGAGAAGAAAAGTTAAACTCTGTGAGTTGAACGCACACATCACAAAAGATTTTCTGAGAATCATTCTGTCTAGTTTTTCTACGAAGATATTTCCTTTTCTACTATTGACCTCAAAGTGGCTGAAATCTCCACTTGCAAATTCCACAAAAAGAGTGTTTCAAGTCTGCTCTGTGTAAAGGATCGTTCAACTCTGCGAGTTCAATACACACAACACAAGGAAGTTACTGAGAATTCTTCTGTCTAGCAGAATATGAAGAAATCCCGTTTCCAACGAAGGCCACAAGATGTCAGAATATCCACTTACAGACTTTACAAACAGAGTGTTTCCTAACTGCTCTATGAACAGAAAGGTTAAACTCTGTGAGTTGAACTGAACACATCACAACGCAGTTTGTGGGAATGATTCTGTCTAGTTTTTATACGAAGATATTTCCTTTTCTACCATTGACCTCAAAGCGGCTGAAATCACCACTTGCCAATTGCACAAAAAGAGTGTTTCAAATCTGCTCTGTCTAAGGGAACGTTCAACTCTGTGAGTTGAATGTACACAACACAAGGAAGTTCCTGGGAATTCTTCTGTCTAGCCTTACAAGAAAAAAACCCGTTTCCAACGAAGGCCTCTAAGTGGTCAAGTTATCCACGTGCAGACTTTACAAACAGAGTGTTTCCAAACTGCTGAATGAAAAGAAAAGTTAAACTCTGAGAGTTGAACGCACACATCGCAGAGCAGTTTCTGAGAATGATTCTGTCTAGTTTTTATACGAAGATATTTCCTTTTCTGCCTTTGGCCCAAAAGCGCTTGAAATCTCCACTTGCAAATTCCACAAAAACAGTGTTTCAAATCTGCTCTCTCTAAATGAAAGTTCAACTCTGTCAGTTGAATACACACAACACAAGGAAGTTACTGAGAATTCTTCTGTCTAGCCTTATATGAAAAAAACCCGTTTCCAACGAAGGCCTCAAAGAGGTCTGAATATCCACTTGCAGACTTTACAAACAGAGTGTTTCCTAACTGCTCTATGAAAAGAAAGGTTAAACTCTGTGAGTTGAACGCACACATCACAAAGGAGTTTCTGAGAATCATTTCTGTCTAGTTTTTATAGGAAGATATTTCCTTTTCTACCTTTGACTTCAAAGCGGCTGAAAATTCCAATTGCAAATTCCACAAAAAGAGTGTTACAAGTCTGCTCTGTGTAAAGGTTCGTTCAACTCTGTGAGTTGAATACACACAACACAAGGAAGTTACTGAGAATTCTTCTGTCTAGCAGAATATGAAGAAATCCCGTTTCCAACGAAGGCCACAAGATGTCAGAATATCCACTTACAGAATTTACAAACAGACTGTTTCCTAACTGCTCTACGAAAAGAAAGGTTAAACTCTGTGAGATGAACGCACACATCACAAAGGAGTTTCTGAGAATCATTCTGTCTAGTTTTGAAACGAAGATATTTCCTTTTCTGCCATTGAACTTAAAGCGCTTGAAATCTCCATTTGCCAATTGCACAAAAAGAGTGTTTCAAATCTGCTCTGTCTAAGGGAACGTTCAACTCTGTGAGTTGAATGTACACAACACAAGGAAGTTACTGGGAATTCTTCTGTCTAGCCTTACATGAAAAAAACCCGTTTCCAACGAAGGCCTCTAAGTGGTCAAATTATCCACGTGCAGACTTTACAAACAGAGTGTTTCCAAACTGCTGAATGAAAAGAAAAGTTAAACTCTGAGAGTTGAACGCACACATCACAGAGCAGTCTCTGAGAATGATTCTGTCTAGTTTTTATACGAAGATATTTCCTTTTCTGCCTTTGGCCTCAAAGCGCTTGAAATCTCCACTTGCATATTCCACAAAAAGAGTGTTTCAAATCTGCTCTGTGTAAATGAAAGTTCAACTCTGTGAGTTGAACACACACAACACAAGGAAGTTACTGGGAATTCTTCTGTCTAGCAGAATATGAAGAAATCCCGTTTCCAACGAAGGCCTCAAAGAGGTCTGAATATCCACTTGCAGACTTTACAAACAGAGTGTTTCCTAACCGCTCTATGAAAAGAAAAGTTAAACTCTGTGTGTTGAACGCACACATCACAAAGGAGTTTCTGAGAATCATTCTGTCTAGTTTTTATAGGAAGATATTCCCTTTTCTACCTTTGACTTCAAAGCGGCTGAAATCTCCACTTGCAAATTCCACAAAAAGAGTGTTACAAGTCTGCTCTGTGTAAAGGATCGGTGAACTCTGTGAGTTGAATACACACAACACAAGGAAGTTACTGAGAATTCTTCTGTCTAGCAGAATATGAAGAAATCCCGTTTCCAACGAAGGCCACAAGATGTCAGAATAACCACTTACAGAATTTACAAACAGACTGTTTCCTAACTGCTCTAAGAAAAGAAAGGGTAAACTCTGTGAGTTGAACGAACACATCACAACGCAGTTTGTGGGAATGATTCTGTCTAGTTTTGAAACGAAGATATTTCCTTTTCTGCCATTGACCTTAAAGCGCTTGAAATCTACACTTGCAAATTGCACAAATAGAGTGTTTCAAATCTGCTCTGTCTAAGGAACGTTCAACTCTGTGAGTTGAATGCACACAACACAAGGAAGTTACTGGGAATTCTTCTGTCTAGCCTTACAGGAAAAAAACCCGTTTCCAACGAAGGCCTCTAAGTGGTCAAAATATCCACGTGCAGAGTTTACAAACAGAGTGTTTCCACACTGCTGAATGAAAAGAAAAGTTAAACTCTGAGAGTTGAACGCACACATCGCAGAGCAGTTTCTGAGAATGATTCTGTCTAGTTTTTATACGAAGATATTTCCTTTTCTGTCTTTGGCCTCAAAGCGCTTGAAATCTCCATTTGCAAATTCCACAAAAAGAGTGTTTCAAATCTGCTCTGTGTAAATGAAAGTTCAACTCTGTGAGTTGAACACACACAACACAAGGAAGTTACTGGGAATTCTTCTGTCTAGCATAGTATGAAGAAATCCCGTTTCCAACGAAGGCCTCAAAGAGGTCTGAATATCCACTTGCAGAGTTTACAAACAGAGTGTTTCCTAACTGCTCTATGAAAAGAAAGGTTAAACTCCGTGAGTTGAACGCACACATCACAAAGAAGTTTCTGAGAATCATTCTGTCTAGTTTCTATAGGAAGATATTTCCTATTCTACCATTGACCTCAAAGCGGCTGAAATCTCCACTTTCAAATTCCACAAAAAGAGTGTTTCAAGTCTGCTCTGTGTAAAGGATCGTTCAACTCTGTGAGTTGAATACACACAACACAAGGAAGTTACTGAGAATTCTTCTGTCAAGCAGAATATGAAGAAAACCCGCTTCCAACGAAGGCCTCAAAGAAGTCTGAATATCCACTTGCAGACTTTACAAACAGAGTGTTTCCCAACTGCTCTATGAAAAGAAAGGTTGAACTCTGTGAGTTGAACGCACACATCACAAAGGAGTTTCTGAGAATCATTCTGTCTAGTTTCTATAGGAAGATATTTCCTATTCTACCATTGACCTCAAAGCGGCTGAAATCTCCACTTGCAAATACCAGAAAAAGAGTGTTTCAAGTCTGCTCTGTGTAAAGGATCGTTGAAATCTGTGAGTTGAATACACACAACACAATGAAGTTACTGAGAATTCTTCTGTCTAGCCTTACATGAAAAAAAACCCGTTTCCAAGGAAGGCCTCTAAGTGGTCAAAATATCCACGTGCAGACTTTACAAACAGAGTGTTTCCAAACCGCTGAATGAAAAGAAAAGTTAAACTCTGAGAGTTGAACGCACACATCATGCAGCAGTTTCTGAGAATGATTCTGTCTAGTTTTTATACGAAGATATTTCCTTTTCTGCCTTTGGCCCCAAAGCACTTGAAATCTCCACTTGCAAATTCCACAAAAACAGTGTTACAAATCTGCTCTCTCTAAATGAATGTTCAACTCTGTCAGTTGAAAACACACAACACAAGGAAGTTACTGAGAATTCTTCTGTCTAGCATAATATGAAGAAATCCCGTTTCCAACGAAGGTCTCAAAGGGGTCTGAATATCCACTTGCAGACTTTATAAACAGAGTGTTTACTAACTGCTCTATGAAAAGAAAGGTTAAACTTTGTGAGTTGAACACACACATCACAAAGGAGTTTCTGAGAATCATTCTGTCTAGTTTTATACGAAGATATTTCCTTTTCTACCATGGACCTCAAAGCGGCTGAAATCTCAACTTGCAAATTCCACAAAAAGAGTGTTTCAAGTCTGCTCTGTGTAAAGGATCGTTCAACTCTGTGAGTTGAATACACACAACACAAGGAAGATTCTGAGAATTCTTCTGTCTAGCAGAATATGAAGAAATCCCGTTTCCAACGAAGGCCACAAGATGTCAGAATATCCACTTACAGAATTTACCAACAGAGTGTTTCCTAACTGCTCTATGAAAAGAAAGGTTAAACTCTGTGAGTTGAACGAACACATCACAACGCAGTTTGTGGGAATGATTCTGTCTAGTTTTGAAACGAAGATATTTCCTTTTCTGCCATTGACCTTAAAGCGCTTGAAATCTACACTTGCAAATTGCACAAATAGAGTGTTTCAAATCTGCTCTGTCTAAGGGAACGTTCATCTCTGTGAGTTGAATGCACACAACACAAGGAAGTTACTGGGAATTCTTCTGTCTAGCCTTACATGAAAAAAACCCGTTTCCAACGAAGGCCTCTAAGTAGTCAAAATATCCACGTGCAGACTTTACAAACAGAGTGTTTCCAAACTGCTGAATGAAAAGAAAAGTTAAACTCTGAGAGTTGAACGCACACATCACAGAGCAGTTTCAGAGAATGATTCTGTCTAGTTTTTATACGAAGCATATTTCCTTTTCTGCCTTTGGCCCCAAAGCGCTTGAAATCTCCACTTGCAAATTCCACAAAAACAGTGTTTCAAATCTGCTCTCTCTAAATGAAAGTTCAACTCTGTCAGTTGAATACACACAACACAAGGAAGTTACTGAGAATTCTTCTTTCTAGCAGAATATGAAGAAATCCCGTTTCCAACGAAAGCCTCAAGGATGTCTGAATATCCACTTGCAGACTTTACAAACAGAGTGTTTCCTAACTGCTCTATGAAAAGAAAGGTTGAACTCTGTGAGTTGAACGCACACATCACAAAGGAGTTTCTGAGAATCATTCTGTCTAGTCTTTATACGAAGATATTTCCTTTTCTACCATTGACCCCAAAGCGGCTGAAATCTCCACTTGCAAATTCCACAAAAAGAGTGTTTCAAGTCTGCTCTGTGTAAAGGATCGTTCAACTCCGTGAGTTGAATACACACAACACAAGGAAGTTACTGAGAATTCTTCTGTCTAGTATTATAGGAAGAAATCCCGTTTCCAACGAAGTCCACAAAAAGGTCAGAATATCCACTTGCAGACTTGACAAACAGAGCGCTTACAGACGGCTCTATGAAAAGAAAGGTTAAACTCTGTGAGTTTAACGCACACATCACAACGCAGTTTGTGTGAATGATTCTGTCTAGTTTTGAAACGAAGATATTTCCTTTTCTGCCATTGACCCTAAAGCGCTTGAAATCTCCACTTGCAAATTGCACAAAAAGAGTGTTTCAAATCTGCTCTTTCTAAAGGAACGTTCAACTCTGTGAGTTGAATGCACACAACACAAAGAAGTTACTGGGAATTCTTCTGTCGAGCCTTACATGAAAAAAACCCGTTTCCAACGAAGGCCTCTAAGTGGTCAAAATATCCACGTGCAGACTTTACAAACAGAGTGTTTCCAAACCGCTGAATGAAAAGAAAAGTTAAACTCTGAGAGTTGAACGCACACATCACGCAGCAGTTTCTGAGAATGATTTCTGTCTAGTTTTTATACGAAGATATTTCCTTTTCTGCCTCTGGCCTCAAAGCGCTTGAAATCTCCATTTGCAAATTCCACAAAAAGAGTGTTTCAAATCTGCTCTGTGTAAATGAAAGTTCAACTCTGTGAGTTGAACACAAACAACACATGGAAGTTACTGGGAATTCTTCTGTCTAGCATAGTATGAAGAAATCCCAGTTTCCAACGAAGGCCTCAAAGAGGTCTGAATATCCACTTGCAGAGTTTACAAACAGAGTGTTTCCTAACTGCTCTATGAAAAGAAAGGCTAAACTCTGTGAGTTGAACGCACACATCACAAAGAAGTTTCTGAGAATCATTCTGTCTAGTCTTTATACGAAGATATTTCCTTTTCTACCATTGACCTCAAAGCGGCTGAAATCTCCACTTGCAAATTCCACAGAAAGAGTGTTTCAAGTCTGCTCTGTGTAAAGGATCGTTCAACTCTGTGAGTTGAATACACACAACACAAGGAAGTTACTGAGAATTCTTCTGTCTAGCAGAATATGAAGAAATCCCGTTTCCAACGAAGGCCACAAGCATGTCAGAATATCCACTTACAGAATTGACAAACAGACTGTTTCCTAACTGCTCTATGAAAAGAAAGGTTAAACTCTGTGAGTTGAACGAACACATCACAACGCAGTTTGTGGGAATGATTCTGTCTAGTTTTGAAACGAAGATATTTTCTTTTCTGCCGTTGACCTTAAAGCGCTTGAAATCTACACTTGCAAATTGCACAAATAGAGTGTTTCAAATCTGCTCTGTCTAAGGGAACGTTCAACTCTGTGAGTTGAATGCACACAACACAAGGAAGTTACTGGGAATTCTTCTGTCTAGCCTTACATGAAAGAAACCCGTTTCCAACGAAGGCCTCTAAGTGGTCAAAATATCCACGTGCAGACTTTACAAACAGAGTGTTTCCAAACCGCTGAATGAAAAGAAAAGTTAAACTCTGAGAGTTGAACGCACACATCACGCAGCAGTTTCTGAGAATGATTCTGTCTAGTTTTTATACGAAGATATTTCCTTTTCTGCCTTTGGCCCCATAGCGCTTGAAATCTCCACTTGCAAATTCCACAAAAACTGTGTTTCAAATCTGCTCTCTCTAAATGAAAGTTCAACTCTGTCAGTTGAATACACACAACACAAGGAAGTTACTGAGAATTCTTCTGTCTAGCAGAACATGAAGAAATCCCGCTTCCAACGAAGGCCTCAAAGAAGTCTGAATATCCACTTGCAGACTTTACAAACAGAGTGTTTCCCAACTGCTCTGTGAAAAGAAAGGTTGAACTCTGTGAGTTGAACGCACACATCACAAAGGAGTTTCTGAGAATCATTCTGTCTAGTTTTTATACGAAGATATTTCCTTTTCTACCATTGACCTCAAAGCGGCTGAAATCTCCACTTGCAAATTCCACAAAAAGAGTGTTTCAAGTCTGCTCTGTGTAAACGATCGTTCAACTCTGTGAGTTGAATACACACAACACAAGGAAGTTTCTGAGAATTCTTCTGTCTAGCATAATATGAAGAAATCCCGTTTCCAACGAAGGCCCCAAAGGGGTCTGAATACCCACTTACAGACTTTATAAACAGAGTGTTTACTAACTGCTCTATGAAAAGAAAGGTTAAACTCTGTGAGTTGAACACACACATCACAAAGGAGTTCCTGAGAATCATTCTGTCTAGTTTTTATACAAAGATATTTCCTTTTCTACCATGGACCTCAAAGCGGCTGAAATCTCCACTTGCAAATTCCACAAAAAGAGTGTTTCAAGTCTGCTCTGTGTAAAGGATCGTTCAACTCTGTGAGTTGAATACACACAACACAAGGAAGATTCTGAGAATTCTTCTGTCTAGGAGAATATGAAGAAATCCCGTTTCCAACGAAGGCCACAAGATGTCAGAATATCCACTTACAGAATTGACAAACAGACTGTTTCCTAACTGCTCTATGAAAAGAAAGTTTAAACTCTGTGAGTTGAACGAACCATCACAACGCAGTTTGTGGGAATGATTCTGTCTAGTTTTGAAACGAAGATATTTCCTTTTCTGCCATTGACCTTAAAGCCCTTGAAATCTCCATTTGCCAATTGCACAAAAAGAGTGTTTCAAATCTGCTCTGTCTAAGGGAACGTTCAACTCTGTGAGTGGAATGTACACAACACAAGGAAGTTACTGGGAATTCTTCTGTCTAGCCTTACATGAAAAAACCCGTTTCCAACGAAGGCCTCTAAGTGGTCAAAATATCCACGTGCAGACTTTACAAACAGAGTGTTTCCAAACCGCTGAATGAAAAGAAAAGTTAAACTCTGAGAGTTGAACGCACACATCACGCAGCAGTTTCTGAGAATGATTCTGTCTAGTTTTTATACGAAGATATTTCCTTTTCTGCCTTTGGCTCCAAAACGCTTGAAATCTCCACTTGCAAATTCCACAAAAACAGTTTTTCAAATCTGCTCTCTCTAAATGAAAGTTCAACTCTGTCAGTTGAAAACACACAACACAGGGAAGTTACTGAGAATTCTTCTGTCCAGCCTTATATGAAAAAAACCCGTTTCCAACGAAGGCCTCAAAGAGGTCTGAATATCCACTTGCAGACTTTACAAACAGAGTGTTTCCTAACTGCTCTATGAAAAGAAAGGTTAAACTCTGTGAGTTGAACGCACACATCACAAAGGAGTTTCTGAGAATTATTCTGTCTAGTTTCTATAGGAAGATATTTTCTATTCTACCATTGACCTCAAATCGGCTGAAATCTCCACTTGCAAATTCCACAAAAAGAGTGTTTCAAGACTGTTCTGTGTAAAGGATCATTCAAGTCTGTGAGTTGAATACACACAACACAAGGAAGTTACTGAGAATTCTTCTGTCTAGCAGAATATGAAGAAATCCCGTTTCCAACGAAGGCCTCAAGGAGGTCTGAATATCCATTTGCAGACTTTACAAACAGAGTGTTTCCTAACTGCTCTATGAAAAGAATGGTTAAACTCTGTGAGTTGAACGCACACATCACAAAGGAGTTTCTGAGAATCATTCTGTCTAGTTTCTATAGGAAGATATTTCCTATTCTACCATTGACCTCAAAGCGGCTGAAATCTCCACTTGCAAATTCCACAAAAAGAGTGTTTCAAGTCTGCTCTCTGTAAAGGATCGTTGAACTCTGTGAGTTGAATACACACAACACAAGGAAGTTACTGAGAATTATTCTGTCTAGCATAATATGAAGAAATCCCGTTTCCAACGAAGGCCTCAAAGAGGTCTGAATATCCACTTGCACACTTTACAAACAGAGTGTTTCCTAACTGCTCTATGAAAAGAAAAGTTAAACTCTGTGAGTTGAACGCACAAATCACAAAGGAGTTTCTGAGAATCATTCTGTCTAGTTTTGAAACGAAGATATTTCCTTTTCTGCCGTTGACCTTAAAGCGCTTGAAATCTACACTTGCCAATTGCACAAATAGAGTGTTTCAAATCGGCTCTGTCTAAGGGAACGTTCAACTCTGTGAGTTGAATGCACACAACACAAGGAAGTTACTGGGAATTCTTCTGTCTAGCCTTACAGGAAAGAAACCCGTTTCCAACGGAGGCCTCTAAGTGGTCAAAATATCCACGTGCAGACTTTACAAACAGAGTGTTTCCAAACTGCTGAATGAAAAGAAAAGTTAAACTCTGAGAGTTGAACGCACACATCGCAGAGCAGTTTCTGAGAATGATTCTGTCTAATTTTTATACGAAGATATTTCCTTTTCTGCCTTTGTCCTCAAAGCGCTTGAAATCTCCACTTGCAAATTCCACAAAAAGAGTGTTTCCAATCTGCTCTGTGTAAATGAAAGTTCAACTCTGTGAGTTGAACACACACAACACAAGGAAGTTACTGGGAATTCTTCTGTCTAGCCTTATATGAAAAAAACCCGTTTCCAACGAAGGCCTCAAAGAGGTCTGAATATCCACTTGCAGACTTTACAAACAGAGTGTTTCCTAACTGCTCTATGAAAAGAAAGGTTAAACTCTGTGAGTTGAAGGCACACATCACAAAGAAGTTTCTGAGAATCATTCTGTCAATTTTTGTACGAAGATATTTCCTTTTCTAACATGGACCTCAAAGCGGCTGAAATCTCCACTTGCAAATTCCACAAAAAGAGTGTTTCAAGTCTGCTCTGTGTAAAGGATCGTTCAACTCGGTGAGTTGAATACACACAACACAAGGAAGATTCTGAGAATTCTTCTGTCTAGCAGAATATGAAGAAATCCCGTTTCCAACGAAGGCCTCAAGGAGGTCTGAATATCCACTTGCAGACTTTACAAATAGAGTGTTTCCTAACTGCTCTATGAACAGAAAGGTTAAACTCTGTGAGTTGAACGAACACATCACAACGCAGTTTGTGGGAATGATTCTGTCTAGTTTTGAAACCAAGATATTTCCTTTTCTGCCGTTGACCTAAAAGAGCTTGAAAACTACACTTGCAAATTGCACAAATAGAGTGTTTCAAATCTGCTCTGTCTAAGGGAACGTTCAACTCTGTGAGTTGAATGCACACAACACAAGGGAAGTTACTGGGAATTCTTCTGTCTAGCCTTACATGAAAAAAACCCGTTTCCAACGAAGGCCTCTAAGTGGTCAAAATTTCCACGTGCAGACTTTACAAACAGAGTGTTTCCAAACTGCTGAATGAAAAGAAAAGTTAAACTCTGAGAGTTGAACGCACACATCACGCAGCAGTTTCTGAGAATGATTCTGTCTAGTTTTTATACGAAGATATTTCCTTTTCTGCCTTTGGCCCCAAACCGCTTGAAATCTCCACTTGCAAATTCCACAAAAACAGTGTTTCAAATCTGCTCTCTCTAAATGAAAGTTCAACTCTGTCAGTTGAATACACACAACACTAGGAAGTTACTGAGAATTCTTCTGTCTAGCATAATATGAAGAAATCCCGTTTCCAAGGAAGGTCTCAAGGAGGTCTGAATATCCACTTGCAGAGTTTACAAACGGAGTGTTTCCAAACTGCTCTATGAAAAGAAAGGTTAAACTCTGTGAGTTGAACGCACACATCACAAAGGAGTTTCTCAGAATCATTCTGTCTAGTTTCTATAGGAAGATATTTCCTATTCTACCATTGACCTCAAAGAGGCTGAAATCTCCACTTGCAAATTCCACAAAAAGAGTGTTTCAAGTCTGCTCTGTGTAAAGGATCGTTCAACTCTGTGTGTTGAATACACACAACACAAGGAAGTTACTGAGAATTCTTCTGTCTAGCAGAATATAAAGAAATCCCGTTTCCAACGAAGGCCTCAAGGAGGTCTGAATATCCACTTGCAGACTTTACAAACAGAGTGTTTCCTAACTGCTCTATGAACAGAAAGGTTAAACTCTGTGAGTTGAACGCACACATCACAAAGGAGTTTCTGAGAATCATTCTGTCTAGTTTTGAAACGAAGATATTTCCTTTTCTGCCATTGACCTTAAAGCGCTTGAAATCTCCACTTGCCAATTGCACAAAAAGAGTGTTTCAAATCTGCTCTGTCTAAGGGAACGTTCAACTCTGTGAGTTGAATGTACAGAACACAAGGAAGTTACTGGGAATTCTTCTGTCTAGCCTTACATGAAAAAAACCCGTTTCCAACGAAGGCCTCTAAGTGGTCAAATTATCCACGTGCAGACTTTACAAACAGAGTGTTTCCAAACTGCTGAATGAAAAGCAAAGTTAAACTCTGAGAGTTGAACGCACCCATCGCAGAGCAGTTTCTGAGAATGATTCTGTCTAGTTTTTATACGAAGATATTTCCTTTTCTGCCTTCGGCCCCAAAGCGCTTGAAATCTCCAATTGCAAATTCCACAAAAACAGTGTTTCAAATCTGCTCTCTCTAAATGAAAGTTCAACTCTGTCACTTGAATACACACAACACAAGGAAGTTACTGAGAATTCTTCTGTCTAGCCTTATATGAAAAAAACCCGTTTCCAACGAAGGCCTCAAAGAGGGCTGAATATCCACTTGCAGACTTTACAAGCAGAGTGTTTCCTAACTGCTCTATGAAAACAAAGGTTAAACTCTGTGAGTTGAACGCACACATCACAAAGGAGTTTCTGAGAATCATTCTGTCTAGTTTTTATAGGAAGTTATTTCCTTTTCTACCTTTGACTTCAAAATGGCTGAAATCTCCACTTGCAAATTCCACAAAAAGAGTGTTACAAGTCTGTTCTGTGTAAAGGATCGTTCAACTCTGTGAGTTGAATACACACAACACAAGGAAGTTACTGAGAATTCTTCTGTCTAGTTTTGAAACGAAGATATTTCCTTTTCTTCCATTGACCTTAAAGCGCTTGAAATCTCCACTTGCCAATTGCACAAAAAGAGTGTTTCAAATCTGCTCTGTCTAAGGGAACGTTCAACTCTGTGAGTTGAATGCACACAACACAAGGAAGTTACTGGGAATTCTTCTGTCTAGCCTTACATGAAGAAAACCCGTTTCCAACGAAGGCCTCTAAGTGGTCAAAATATCCACGTGCAGACTTTACAAACAGAGTGTTTCCAAACCGCTGAATGAAAAGAAAAGTTAAACTCTGAGAGTTGAACGCACACACCACGCAGCAGTTTCTGAGAATGATTCTGTCTAGTTTTTATACGAAGATATTTCCTTTTCTGCCTTTGGCCCCAAAGCGCTTGAAATCTCCACTTGCAAATTCCGCAAAAACCGTGTTTCAAATCTGCTCTCTCTAAATGAAAGTTCAACTCTGTCAGTTGAATACACACAAAACAAGGAAGTTACTGAGAATTCTTCTGTCTAGCAGAATATGAAGAAATCCCGTTTCCAACGAAAGCCTCAAAGATGTCTGAATATCCACTTGCAGACTTTACAAACAGAGTGTTTCCTAACTGCTCTATGACAAGAAAGGTTAAACTCTGTGAGTTGAACGCACACATCACAAAGGAGTTTCTGAGAATCATTCTGTCTAGTTTTTATAGGAAGATATTTCCTTTTCTACTTTGACTTCAAAGCGGCTGAAATCTCCACTTGCAAATTCCACAAAAAGAGTGTTACAAGTCTGCTCTGTGTAAAGGATCGTTCAACCGTGTGAGTTGAATACACACAACACAAGGAAGTTACTGAGAACTCTTCTGTCTAGCAGAATATGAAGAAATCCCGTTTCCAACGAAGGCCACAAGATGTCAGAATATCCACTTACAGACTTTACAAACAGAGTGTTTCCTAACTGCTCTATGAACAGAAAGGTTAAACTGTGTGAGTTGAACGCACACATCACAAAGGAGTTTCTGAGAATCATTCTGTCTAGTTTTGAAACGAAGATATTTCCTTTTCTGCCATTGACATTAAAGCGCTTGAAATCTCCATTTGCCAATTGCACAAAAAGAGTGTTTCAAATCTGCTCTGTCTAAGGGAACGTTCAACTCTGTGAGTTGAATGTACACAACACAAGGAAGTTACTGGGAAATCTTCTGTCTAGCCTTACATGAAAAAACCCGTTTCCAACGAAGGCCTCTAAGTGGTCAAATTATCCACGTGAAGACTTTACAAACAGAGTGTTTCCAAACTGCTGAATGAAAAGAAAAGTTAAACTCTGAGAGTTGAACGCACACATCGCAGAGCAGTTTCTGAGAATGATTCTGTCTAGTTTTGAAACGAAGTATATTTCCTTTTCTGCCTTTGGCCTCAAAGTGCTTGAAATCTCCACTTGCAAATTCCACAAAAAGAGTGTTTCAAATCTGCTCTGTGTAAATGAAAGTTCAACTCTGTGAGTCGAACACACACAACACAAGGAAGTTACTGGGAATTCTTCTGTCTAGCAGAATATGAAGAAATCCCGTTTCCAACGAAGGCCTCAAAGGGGTCTGAATATCCACTTGCAGACTTTATAAACAGAGTGTTTACTAACTGCTCTATGAAAAGAAAGGTTAAACTCTGTGAGTTGAACGCACACATCACAAAGGAGTTTCTGAGAATCATTCTGTCTCGGCTTTATACGAAGATATTTCCTTTTCTACCATTGACATCAAAGCGGCTGAAATCTCCACTTGCAAATTCCACAAAAAGAGTGTTTCAAGTCTGCTCTGTGTAAAGGATCGTTCAACTCTGTGAGTTGAATACACACAACACAAGGAAGTTACTGAGAATTCCTCTGTCCAGCAGTATATGAAGAAATCCCGTTTCCAACGAAGGCCTCAAAGAGGTCTGAATATCCACTTGCAGACTTTACAAACAGAGTGTTTCCTAACTGCTCTATGAAAAGAAAGGTTAAACTCTGTGAGTTGAACGAACACATCACAACGCAGTTTGTGGGAATGATTCTGTCTAGTTTTGAAACGAAGATATTTCCTTTTCTGCCGTTGACTTTAAGCGCTTGAAATCTACACTTGCAAATTGCACAAATAGAGTGTTTCAAATCTGCTCTGTCTAAGGGAACGTTCAACTCTGTGAGTTGAATGCACACAACACAAGGAAGTTACTGGGAATTCTTCTGTCTAGCCTTACATGAAAAAAAACCGTTTCCAACGAAGGCCTCTAAGTGGTCAAATTATGCACGTGCAGACTTTACAAACAGAGTGTTTCCAAACTGCTGAATGAAAAGAAAAGTTAAACTCTGAGAGTTGAACGCACACATCGCAGAGCAGTTTCTGAGAATGATTCTGTCTAGTTTTTATACGAAGATATTTCCTTTTCTGCCTTTGGCCCCAAAGCGTTTGAAATCTCCACTTGCAAATTCCACAAAAACAGTGTTTCAAATCTGCTCCCTCTAAATGAAAGTTCAACTCTGTCAGTTGAATACACACAACACAAGGGAGTTACTGAGAATTCTTCTGTCTAGCATAATAGGAAGAAATCCCGTTTCCAACGAAGGCCTCAAGGAGGTCTGAGTATCCACTTGCAGACTATACAAGCACAGTGTTTCCTAACTGCTCTATGAAAAGAAAGGTTAAACTCTGTGAGTTGAATGCACACATCACAAAGGAGTTTCTCAGAATCATTCTGTCTAGTTTCTATAGGAAGATATTTCCTATTCTACCATTGACCTCAAAGCGGCTGAAATCTCCACTTGCAAATTCCACAAAAAGTGTGTTTCAAGTCTGCTCTGTGTAAAGGATCGTTCAACTCTGTGAGTTGAATACACAAAACACAAGGAAGTTACTGAGAATTCTTCTGTCTAGCAGAATATGAAGAAATCCCGTTTCCAACGAAGGCCTCAAAGACGTCTGAATATCCACTTGCAGACTTTACAAACAGAGTGTTTCCTAACTGCTCTATGAAAAGAAAAGTTAAACTCTGTGAGTTGAACGCACACATCACAAAGGAGTTTCTGAGAATCATTCTGTCTAGTTTTGAAACGAAGATATTTCCTTTTCTGCGATTGACCTTAAAGTGCTTGAAATCTCCATTTGCCAATTGCACAAAAAGAGTGTTTCAAATCTGCTCTGTCTAAGGGATCGTTCAACTCTGTGAGTTGAATGTACACAACACAAGGAAGTTACTGGGAATTCTTCTGTCTAGCCTTACAGGAAAAAAACCCGTTTCCAACGAAGGCCTCTAAGTGGTCAAAATATCCACGTGCAGACTTTACAAACAGAGTGTTTCCAAACTGCTGAATGAAAAGCAAAGTTAAACTCTGAGAGTTGAACGCACACATCGCAGAGCAGTTTCTGAGAATGATTCGGTCTAGTTTTTATACGAAGATATTTCCTTTTCTGCCTTTGGCCTCAAAGCGCTTGAAATCTCGACTTGCAAATTCCACAAAAAGCGTGTTTCAAATCTGCTCTGTCTAAATGAAAGTTCAACTCTATCAGTTGAATACACACAACGCAAGGAAGTTACTGAGAATTCTTCTGTCTAGCATAATATGAAGAAATCCCGTTTCCAACGAAGGCCTCAAAGAGGTCTGAATATCCACTTGAAGACTTTACAAACAGAGTGTTTCCTAACTGCTCTATGAAAAGAAAAGTTAAACTCTGTGAGTTGAACGCACACATCACAAAGGATTTTCTGAGAATCATTCTGTCTAGTTTTTCTACGAAGATATTTCCTTTTCTACTATTGACCCCAAAGCGGCTGAAATCTCCACTTGCAAATTCCACAAAAAGAGTGTTTAAAGTCTGCTCTGTGTAAAGGATCGTTCAACTCTGTGAGTTGAATACACACAACACAAGGAAGTTACTGAGAATTCTTCTGTCTAGCATAATATGAAGAAATCCCGTTTCCAACGAAGGCCTCAAAGAGGTCTGAATATCCACTTGCAGACTTTACAAACAGAGTGTTTCCTAACTGCTCTATGAAAAGAAAGGTTAAACTCTTTGAGTTGAACGCACACATCACAAAGGAGTTTCTGAGAATCATTCTGTCTAGTTTTGAAACGAAGATATTTCCTTTTCTGCCTTTGAACTTAAAGCGCTTGAAATCTCCATTTGCCAATTGCACAAAAAGAGTGTTTCAAATCTGCTCTGTCTAAGGGAACGTTCAACTCTGTGAGTTGAATGTACACAACACAAGGAAGTTACTGGGAATTCTTCTGTCTAGCCTTACAGGAAAAAAACCCGTTTCCAACGAAGGCCTCTAAGTGGTCAAAATATCCACGTGCAGACTTTACATACAGAGTGTTTCCAAACTGCTGAATGAAAAGAAAAGTTAAACTCTGAGAGTTGAACGCACACATCGCAGAGCAGTTTCTGAGAATGATTCTGTCTAGTTTTTATACGAAGATATTTCCTTTTCTGCCTTTGGCCCCAAAGCGCTTAAAATCTCCACTTGCAAATTCCACAAAAACAGTGTTTCAAATCTGCTCTCTCTAAATGAAAGTTCAACTCTGTCAGTTGAATACACACAACACAAGGAAGTTACTGAGAATTCTTCTTTCTAGCAGAATATGAAGAAATCCCGTTTCCAACGAAAGCCTCAAGGATGTCTGAATATCCACATGCAGACTTTACAAACAGAGTGTTTCCCAACTGCTCTATGAAAAGAAAGGTTGAACTCTGTGAGTTGAACGCACACATCACAAAGGAGTTTCTGAGAATCATTCTGTCAATTTTCTATAGGAAGATATTTCCTATTCTACCATTGACCTGAAAGCGGCTGAATTCTCCACTTCCAAATTCCACAAAAAGACTGTTTCATGTCTGCTCTGTGTAAAGGATCGTTCACCTCTGTGAGTTGAAAACACACAACACAAGGAAGTTTCTGAGAATTCTTCTGTCTAGCAGAATATGAAGAAATCTCGTTTCCAACGAAGGCCACAAGATGTCAGAATATCCACTTACAGAATTTACAAACAGACTGTTTCCTAACTGCTCTATGAAAAGAAAGGTTAAACTCTGTGAGTTGAACGAACACATCACAACGCAGTTTGTGGGAATGATTCTGTCTAGTTTTGAAACGAAGATATTTCCTTTTCTGCCATTGACCTTAAAGCGCTTGAAATCTCCACTTGCCAATTGCACAAAAAGAGTGTTTCAAATCTGCTCTGTCTAAGGGAACGTTCAACTCTGTGAGTGGAATGTACACAACACAAGGAAGTTACTGGGAATTCTTCTGTCTAGCCTTACATGAAAAAAACCCGTTTCCAATGAAGGCCTCCAAGTGGTCAAAATATCCACGTGCAGACTTTACAAACAGAGTGTTTCCAAACTGCTGAATGAAAAGAAAAGTTAAACTCTGAGAGCTGAACGCACACATCGCAGAGCAGTTTCTGAGAATGATTCTGTCTAGTTTTTATACGAAGATATTTCCTTTTCTGCCTTTGGCCTCAAAGCGCTTGAAATCTCCACTTTCAAATTCCACAAAAAGAGTGTTTCAAATCTGCTCTGTGTAAATGAAAGTTCAACTCTGTGAGTTGAACACACACAACACAAGGGAAGTTACTGGGAATTCTTCTGTCTAGCAGAATATGAAGAAATCCCGTTTCCAACGAAGGCCTCAAGTAGGTCTGAATATCCACTTGCAGACTTTACAAACAGAGTGTTTCCTAACTGCTCTATGAAAAGAAAGGTTAAACTCTGTGAGTTGAACGCACACATCACAAAGGAGTTTATGAGAATCATTTTGTCTAGTTTCTATAAGAAGATATTTCCTATTCTACCATTGACCTCAAAGCGGCTGAAATCTCCACTTGCAAATTCGACAAAAAGAGTGTTTCAAGCCTGCTCTCTGTAAAGGATCCTTCAACTCTGTGAGTTGAATACACACAACACAAGGAAATTACTGAGAATTATTCTGTCTAGCAGTAATATGAAGAAATCCCGTTTCCAACGAAGGCCACAAGATGTCAGAATATCCACTTACAGACTTTACAAACAGAGTGTTTCCTAACTGCTCTATGAACAGAAAGGTTAAACTCTGTGAGTTGAAAGAACACATCACAACGCAGTTTGTGGGAATGATTCTGTCTAGTTTTGAAACGAAGATATTTCCTTTTCTGCCGTTGACCTTAAAGCGCTTGAAATCTACACTTGCAAATTGCACAAATAGAGTGTTTCAAATCTGCTCTGTCTAAGGGAACGTTCAGCTCTGTGAGTTGAATGCACACAACACAAGGAAGTTACTGGGAATTCTTCCGTCTAGCCTTACATGAAAAAAACCCGTTTCCAACGAAGGCCTCAAAGAAGTCCAAATATCCACGTGCAGACTTTACAAACAGAGTGTTTCCTAACGGCTCTATGAAAAGAAACGTTAAACTCTGTGAGTTGAACGCCCACATCACAAAGGAGTTTCTGAGAATCATTCTGTCTAGTTTTTATACGAAGATATTTCCTTTTCTGCCTTTGGCCTCAAAGCGCTTGAAATCTCCACCTGCAAATTCCACAAAAAGAGTGTTTCAAATCTCCTCTGTGTAAATGAAAGTTCAACTCTGTGAGTTGAACACACACAACACAAGGAAGTTACTGGGAATCCTTCTGTCTAGCATAATATGCAGAAATCCCGTTTCCAACGAAGGCCTCAAAGAGGTCTGAATATCCACTTGCTGACTTTACAAACAGAGTGTTTCCTAACTGCTCAATGAAAAGAAAAGTTAAACTCTGCGAGTTGAACGCACACATCAGAAAGGAGTTTCTGAGAATCATTCTGTCTAGTTTTTATACGAAGATATTTCCTTTTCTACCATTGACCTCAACGCGGCTGAAATCTCCACTTGCAAATTCCACAAAACGAGTGTTTCAAGTCTGCTCTGTGTAAAGGATCGTTCAACTCTGTGAGTTGAATACACACAACACAAGGAAGTTACTGAGAATTCTTCTGTCTAGCAGAATATGAAGAAATCCCGTTTCCAACGAAGGCCACAAGATGTCAGAATATCCACTTACAGAATTTACAAACAGACTGTTTCCTAACTGCTGTATGAAAAGAAAGGTTAAACTCTGTGAGTTGAACGAACACATCACAACGCAGTTTGTGGGAATGATTCTGTGTAGTTTTGAAACGAAGATATTTCCTTTTCTGCCATTGACCTTAAAGCGCTTGAAATCTACACTTGCAAATTGCACAAATACAGTGTTTCAAATCTGCTCTGTCTAAGGGAACGTTCAACTCTGTGAGTTGAATGCACACAACACAAGGAAGTTACTGGGAATTCTTCTGTCTAGCCTTACATGAAAAAAACCCGTTTCCAAGGAAGGCCTCTAAGTGGTCAAATTATCCACGTGCAGACTTTACAAACAGAGTGTTTCCAAACTGCTGAATGATAAGAAAAGTTAAACTCTGAGAGTTGAACGCACACATCGCAGAGCAGTTTCTGAGAATGATTCTGTCTAGTTTTTATACGAAGATATTTCCTTTTCTGCCTTTGGCCCCAAAGCGCTTGAAATCTCCACTGGCAAATTCCACAAAACCAGTGTTTCAAATCTGCTCTCCATAAATGAAAGTTCAACTCTGTCAGTTGAATACACACAACACAAGGAAGTTACTGAGAATTCTTCTGTCTAGCAGAATATGAAGAAATCCCGTTTCCAACGAAGGCCTCAAAGAGGTCTGAATATCCACTTGCAGACTTTACAAACAGAGTGTTTCCTAACTGCTCTATGAAAAGAAAGGTTAAACTCTGTTAGTTGAACGCACACATCACAAAGGAGTTTCTGAGAATCATTCTGTCTAGTCTTTATAAGAAGATAGTTTCCTTTTCTACCATTGACCTCAAAGCGGCTGAAATCTCCACTTGCAAATTCCAGAAAAAGAGTGTTTCAAGTCTGCTCTGTGTAAAGGATCGTTCAACTCTGTGAGTTGAATACACACAACACAAGGAAGTTACTGAGAATTCTTCTGTCTAGCAGAATATGAAGAAATCCCGTTTCCAACGAAGGCCACAAGATGTCAGAATATCCACTTACAGAATTTACAAACAGACTGTTTCCTAACTGCTCTATGAAAAGAAAGGTTAAACTCTGTGAGTTGAACGAACACATCACAACGCAGTTTGTGGGAATAATTCTGTCTAGTTTTGAAACGAAGATATTTCCTTTTCTGCCATTGACCTTAAAGCGCTTGAAATCTACACTTGCAAATTGCACAAATAGAGTGTTTCAAATCTGCTCTGTCTAAGGGAACGTTCAACTCTGTGAGTGGAATGCACACAACACAAGGAAGTTACTGGGAATTCTTCTGTCTAGCCTTACAGGAAAAAAACCCGTTTCCAACGAAGGCCTCTAAGTGGTCAAAATATCCACGTGCAGACTTTACAAACAGAGTGTTTCCAAACTGCTGAAGGAAAAGAAAAGTTAAACTCTGAGAGTTGAACGCACACATCGCAGAGCAGTTTCTGAGAATGATTCTGTCTAGTTTTTATACGAAGATATTTCCTTTTCTGCCTTTGGCCTCAAAGCGCTTGAAATCTCCATTAGCAAATTCCACAAAAAGAGTGTCTCAAATCTGCTCTGTGTAAATGAAAGTTCAACTCTGTGAGTTGAACACACACAACACAAGGAAGTTACTGGGAATTCTTCTGTCTAGCCTTATATGAAAAATCCCGTTTCCAACGAAGGCCTCAAAGAGGTCTGAATATCCACTTGCATACTTTACAAACAGAGTGTTTCCTAACTGCTCTATGAAAAGAAAGGTTAAACTCTGTGAGTTGAACACACACATCACAAAGGAGTTTCTGAGAATCATTCTGTCTACTTTCTATAGGAAGATATTTCCTATTCTACCATTGACCTCAAAGCGGCTGAAATCTCCACTTGCAAATTCCAAAAAAAGAGTGTTTCAAGTCTGCTCTGTGTAAAGGATCGTTCAACTCTGTGAGTTGAATACACACAACACAAGGCAGTTACAGAGAATTCTTCTGTCTAGCAGAATATGAAGAAATCCCGTTTCCAACGAAGGCCACAAGATGTCAGAATATCCACTTACAGAATTTTCAAACAGACTGTTTCCTAACTGCTCTATGAAAAGAAAGGTTAAACTACTGTGAGTTGAACGAACACATCACAACGCAGTTTGTGGGAATGATTATCTGTCTAGTTTTGAAACGAAGATATTTCCTTTTCTTCCATTGACCATAAAGCGCTTGAAATCTCCACTTGCAAATTGCACAAATAGAGTGTTTCAAATCTGCTCTGTCTAAGGGAACGTTCAACTCTGTGAGTTGAGTGCACACAACACAAGGAAGTTACTGGGAATTCTTCTGTCTAGCCTTACATGAAAAAAACCCGTTTCCAACGAAGGCCTCTAAGTGGTCAAGTTATCCACGTGCAGACTTTACAAACAGAGTGTTTCCAAACTTCTGAATGAAAAGAAAAGTTAAACTCTGAGAGTTGAACGCACACATCGCAGAGCAGTTTCTGAGAATGATTCTGTCTAGTTTTTATACGAAGATATTTCCTTTTCTGCCTTTGGCCCCAAAGCGCTTGAAATCTCCACTTGCAAATTCCACAAAAACAGTGTTTCAAATCTGCTCTCTCTAAATGAAAGTTCAACTCTGTCAGTTGAATACACACAACACAGGGAAGTTACTGAGAATTCTTCTGTCTAGCATAATATGTAGAAATCCCGTTTCCAACGAAGGCCTCAATGAGGTCTGAATATCCACTTGCAGACTTTACAAACAGAGTGTTTCCTAACTGCTCTATGAAAAGAAAGGTTAAACTCTGTGAGTTGAACGCACACATCACAAAGGAGTTTCTGAGAATCATTCTGTCTAGTTTCTATAGGAAGATATTTCCTATTCTACCTTTGACTTCAAAGCGGCTGAAATCTCCACTTGCAAATTCCACAAAAAGAGTGTTTCAAGTCTGCTCTCTGTAAAAGATCGTTCAACTCTGTGAGTTGAATACACACAACACAAGGAAGTTACTGAGAATTCTTCTGTCTAGCAGAATATGAAGAAATCCCGTTTCCAACGAAGGCCACTAGATGTCAGAATATCCACTTACAGAATTGACAAACAGACTCTTTCCTAACTGCTCTATGAAAAGAAAGGTTAAACTCTGTGAGTTGAACGAACACATCACAACGCAGTTTGTGGGAATGATTCTGTCTAGTTTTGAAACGAAGATATTTCCTTTTCTGCCATTGACCATAAAGCGCTTGAAATCTCCACTTGCCAATTGCACAAAAAGAGTGTTTCAAATCTGCTCTGTCTAAGGGAACGTTCAACTCCTGTGAGTTGAATGTACACAACACAAGGAAGTTACTGGGAATTCTTCTGTCTAGCCTTACAAGAAAGAAACCCGTTTCCAACGAAGGCCTCTAAGTGATCAAAATATCCACGTGCAGACTTTACAAACAGAGTGTTTCCAAACTGCTGAATGAAAAGAAAAGTTAAACTCTGAGAGTTGAACGCACACATCGCAGAGCAGTTTCTGAGAATGATTCTGTCTAGTTTTTATACGAAGATATTTCCTTTTCTGCCTTTGGCCTCAAAGCGCTTGAAATCTCCACTTGCAAATTCCACAAAAAGAGTGTTTCAAATTTGCTCTGTGTAAATGAAAGTTCAACTCTGTGAGTTGAATACACACAACACAAGGAAGTTACTGGGAATTCTTCTGTCTAGCAGAATATGAAGAAATCCCATTTCCGACGAAGGCCTCAGGGAGGTCTGAATATCCACTTGCAGAGTTTACAAACAGAGTGTTTCCTAACTGCTCTATGAAAAGAAAGGTTAAACTCTGTGAGTTGAACGCACACATCACAAAGGAGTTTCTGAGAATCATTCTGTCTAGTTTCTATAGGAAGATATCTCCTATTCTACCATTGACCTCAAAGCGGCTGAAATCTCCAGTTGCAAATTCCACAAAAAGAATGTTTCAAGTCTGCTCTGTGTAAAGGATCGTTCAACTCTGTGAGTTGAATACACACAACACAAGGAAGTTACTGAGAATTATTCTGTCTAGCAGAATATGAAGAAATCCCGTTTCCAACGAATGCCTCAAGGAGGTCTGAATATCCAATTGCAGACTTTACAAACAGAGTGTTTCCTAACTGCTCTATGAACAGAAAAGTTAAACTCTGTGAGTTGAACGAACACATCACAACGCAGTTTGTGGGAATGATTCTGTCTAGTTTTAAAACGAAGATATTTCCTTTTCTGCCATTGACCTTAAAGCGCTTGAAATCTACACTTGCAAATTGCACAAATAGAGTGTTTCAAGTCTGCTCTGTTTAAAGGATCGTTCAACTCTGTGAGTTGAATACACACAACACAAGGAAGTTACTGAGAATTCTTCTGTCTACCCTTACATGAAAAAAACCCGTTTCCAACGAAGGCCTCTAAGTGGTCAAAATATCCACGTGCAGACTTTACAAACAGAGTGTTTCCAAACTGCTGAATGAAAAGAAAAGTTAAACTCTGAGAGTTGAACGCACACATCACAGAGCATTTTCTGAGAATGATTCTGTCTAGTTTCTATAGGAAGATATTTCCTATTCTACCATTGACCTCAAAGCGGCTGAAATCTCCACTTGCAAATTCCACAAAAAGAGTGTTTCACGTCTGCTCTGTGTAAAGGATCGTTCAACTCTGTGAGTTGAATACGCACAACACAAGGAAGTTACTGAGAATTCTTCTGCCTAGCATAATATGAAGAAATCCCGTTTCCAACGAAGGCCTCAAGGAGGTCTGAATATCCACTTGCAGACTTTACAAAGAGAGTGTTTCCTAACTGCTCTATGAAAAGAAAGGTTAAACTCTGTGAGTTGAACGCACACATCACAAAGGAGTTTCTGAGAATCAATCTGTCTAGTTTCTATAAGAAGATATTTCCTATTCTACCATTGACCTCAAAGCGGCTGAAATCTCCACTTGCAAATTCGACAAAAAGTGTGTTTCAAGCCTGCTCTCTGTAAAGGATCCTTCAACTCTGTGAGTTGAATACACACAACACAAGGAAGTTACTGAGAATTATTCTGTCTAGCAGAATAGGAAGAAATCCCGTTTCCAACGAAGGCCACAAGATGTCAGAATATCCACTTACAGACTTTACAAACAGAGTGTTTCCTAACTGCTCTATGAACAGAAAGGTTAAACTCTGTGAGTTGAACGAACACATCACAACGCAGTTTGTGGGAATGATTCTGTCTAGTTTTGAAACGAAGATATTTCCTTTTCTGCCGTTGACCTTAAAGCGCTTGAAATCTACACTTGCAAATTGCACAAATAGAGTGTTTCAAATCTGCTCTGTCTAAGGGAACGTTCAACTCTGTGAGTTGAATGCACACAACAGAAGGAAGTTACTGGGAATTCTTCTGTCTAGCCTTACATGAAAAAAAACCCGTTTCCAACGAAGGCCTCTAAGTGGTCAAAATATCCACGTGCAGACTTTACAAACAGAGTGTTTCCAAACCGCTGAATGAAAAGAAAAGTTAAACTCTGAGAGTTGAACGCACACATCACGCAGCAGTTTCTGAGAATGATTCAGTCTAGTTTTTATACGAAGATATTTCCTTTTCTGCCTTTGGCACCAAAGCGCTTGAAATCTCCATTTGCAAATTCCACAAAAACAGTGTTTCAAATCTGCTCTCTCTAAATGAAAGTTCAACTCTGTCAGTTGAATACACACAACACAAGGAAGTTACTGAGAATTCTTCTGTCTAGCATAATATGAAGAAATCCCTTTTCGAACGAAGGCCTCAAAGAGGTCTGAATATCCACATGCAGACTTTACAAACAGAGTGTTTCCTAACTGCTCTATGAAAAGAAAAGTTAAACTCTGTGAGATGAACGCACACATCACAAAGGAGTTTCTGAGAATCATTCTGTCTAGTTTCTATAGGAAGATATTTCCTATTCTGCCATTGACCTCAAAGCGGCTGAAATCTCCACTTGCAAATTCCACAAAAAGAGTGTTTCAAGTCTGCTCTGTGTAAAGGATCGTTCAACTCTGTGAGTTGAATACACACAACACAAGGAACTTACTGAGAATTCTTCTGTCTAGCAGAATATGAAGAAATCCCATTTCCAACGAAGGCCACAAAATGTCAGAATATCCACTTACAGACTTTACAAACAGAGTGTTTCCTAACTGCTGTATGAACAGAAAGGTTAAACTCTGTGAGTTGAACGAACACATCACAACGCAGTTTGTGGGAATGATTCTGTCTAGTTTTTATAGGAAGATATTTCCTTTTCTACCTTTGACCTGAAAGCGGCTGAAATCACCACTTGCCAATTGCACAAAAAGAGTGTTTCAAATCTGCTCTGTCTAAGGAAACGTTCAACTCTGTGGGTTGAATGTACAAAACACAAGGAAGTTACTGGGAATTCTTCTGTCTAGCCTTACATGCAAAAAACCCGTTTCCAACGAAGGCCTCTAAGTGGTCAAAATATCCACGTGCAGACTTTACAAACAGAGTGTTTCCAAACCGCTGAATGAAAAGAAAAGTTAAACTCTGAGAGTTGAACGCACACATCACGCAGCAGTTTCTGAGAATGATTCTGTCTAGTTTTTCTACGAAGATATTTCCTTTTCTACTATTGACCTCAAAGCGGCTGAAATCTCCACTTGCAAATTCCACAAAAAGAGTGTTTCAAGTCTGCTCTGTGTAAAGGATCGTTCAACTCTGTGAGTTGAATAAACACAACACAAGGAAGTTACTGAGAATTCTTCTGTCTAGCAGAATATGAAGAAATCCCGTTTCCAACGAAGGCCTCAAGGAGGTCTGAATATCCACTTGCAGACTTTACAAACAGAGTGTTTCCTAACTGCTCTATGAAAAGAAAGGTTAAACTCTGTGAGTTGAACACACACATCACAAAGGAGTTTCTGAGAATCATTCTGTCTAGTTTCTATACGAAGATATTTCGTTTTCTACCATTGACCTCAAAGCGGCTGAAATCTCCACTTGCAAATTCCACAAAAAGAGTGTTTCAAGTCTGCTCTGTGTAAAGGATCGTTCAACTCTGTGAGTTGAATGCACACAACACAAGGAAGTTACTGAGAATTCTTCTGTCTAGCAGAATAGGAAGAAATCCCGTTTCCAACGAAGGCCACAAGATGTCAGAATATCCACTTACAGACTTTACAAACAGAGTGTTTCCTAACTGCTCTATGAATAGAAAGGTTAAACTGCTGTGAGTTGAACGAACACATCACAACGCAGTTTGTGGGAATGATTCTGTCTAGTTTTGAAACGAAGATATTTCCTTTTCTGCCATTGACCTTAAAGCGCTTGAAATCTCCATTTGCCAATTGCACAAAAAGAGTGTTTCAAATCTGCTCTGTCTAAGGGAACGTTCAACTCTGTGAGTTGAATGTACACAACACAAGGGAAGTTACTGGGAATTCTTGTGTCTAGCCTTACATGGAAAAAACCCGTTTCCAACGAAGGCCTCTAAGTGGTCAAATTATCCACGTGCAGACTTTACAAACAGAGTGTTTCCAAACTGCTGAATGAAAACAAAAGTTAAACTCTGAGAGTTGAACGCACACATCGCAGAGCAGTTTCTGAGAATGATTCTGTCTAGTTTTGAAACGAAGATATTTCCTTTTCTGCCTTTGGCCTCAAAGCGCTTGAAATCTCCACTTGCAAATTCCACAAAAAGAGTGTTTCAAATGTGCTCTGTGTAAATGAAAGTTCAACTCTGTGAGTTGAACACACACAACACAAGGAAGTTACTGGGAATTCTTCTGTCTAGCATAATATGAAGAAATCCCGTTTCCAACGAAGGCCTCAAGGAGGTCTGTATATCCACTTGCAGACTTTACAAACAGAGTGTTTCCTAACTGCTCTATGAAAAGAAAGGTTAAACTCTGTGAGTAGAACGCACACATCACAAAGGAGTTTCTGAGAATCATTCTGTCTAGTTTCTATAGGAAGATATTTCCTATTCTACCATTGACCTCAAAGCGGCTGAAATCTCCACTTGCAAATTCCACAAAAAGAATGTTTCAAGGCTGCTCTGTGTAAAGGATCGTTCAACTCTGTGAGTTGAATACACACAACACAAGGAAGTTACTGAGAATTCTTCTGTCTAGCATAATATGAAGAAATCCCGTTTCCAACGAAGGCTTCAAAGAGGTCTGAATATCCACTTGCAGACTTTACAAACAGAGTGTTTCCTAACTGCTCTATGAAAAGAAAAGTTAAACTCTGTGATTTGAACGCACACTTCACAAAGGAGTTTATGAGAATCATTCTGTCTAGTTTTTATACGAACATATTTCCTTTTCTACCATTGACCTCAACGCGGCTGAAATCTCCACTTGCAAATTCCACAAAAAGAGTGTTTCAAGTCTGCTCTGTGAAAAGGATCGTTCAACTCTGTGAGTTGAATACACACAACACAAGGAAGATTCTGAGAATTCTTCTGTCTAGCCTTATATGAAAAAAACCCGTTTCCAACGAAGGCCTCAAAGAGGGCTGAATATCCACTTGCAGACTTTACAAGCAGAGTGTTTCCTAACTGCTCTGTGAAAAGAAAGGTTAAACTCTGTGAGTTGAACGCACACATCACAAAGGAGTTTCTGAGAATCATTCTGTCTACTTTCTATAGGAAGATATTTCCTATTCTACCTTTGACCTCAAAGCGGCTGAAATCTCCACTTGCAAATTCCACAAAAGGAGTGTTTCAAGTCTGCTCTGTGTAAAGGATCGTTCAACTCTGAGAGTTGAAAACACACAACACAAGTAAGTTTCTGAGAATTCTTCTGTCTGGCAGAATATGTAGAAATCCCGTTTCCAACGAAGGCCACAAGATGTCAGAATATCCACTTACAGAATTTACCAACAGAGTGTTTCCTACCTGCTCTATGAAAAGAAAGGTTAAACTCTGTGAGTTGAACGAACACATCACAACGCAGTTTGTGGGAATGATTCTGTCTAGTTTTGAAACGAAGATATTTCCTTTTCTGCCATTGACCTCAAAGCGCTTGAAATCTCCACTTGCCAATTGCACAAAAAGAGTGTTTCAAATCTGCTCTGTCTAAGGGAACGTTCAACTCTGTGAGTTGAATGTACACAACACAAGGAAGTTACTGGGAATTCTTCTGTCTAGCCTTACAGGAAAAAAACACGTTTCCAACGAAGGCCTTTAAGTGGTCAAAATATCCACGTGCAGACTTTACAAACAGAGTGTTTCCAAACTGCTGAATGAAAAGAAAAGTTAAACTCTGAGAGTTGAACGCACACATCACAGAGCAGTTTCCGAGAATGATTCTGTCTAGTTTTGAAACGAAGATATTTCCTTTTCTGCCTTTGGCCTTAAAGCGCTTGAAATCTCCACTTGCAAATTCCACAAAAAGAGTGTTTCAAATCTGCTCTGTGTAAATGAAAGTTCAGCTCTGTGAGTTGAACACACACAACACAAGGAAGTTACTGGGAATTCTTCTGTCTAGCCTTATATGAAAAAAACCCGTTTCCAAGGAAGGTCTCAAAGAGGTCTGAATATCCACTTGCAGAATTTACAAACAGAGTGTTTCCTAACTGCTCTATGAAAAGAAAGGTTAAACTCTGTGAGTTGAACGCACACATCACAAAGGAGTTTCTGAGAATCATTCTGTCTACTTTCTATAGGAAGATATTTCCTATTCTACCATTGACCTCAAAGCGGCTGAAATCTCCACTTGCAAATTCCACAAAAGGAGTGTTTCAAGTCTGCTCTGTGTAAAGGATCGTTCAACTCTGTGAGTTGAAAACCCACAGCACAAGGAAGTTTCTGAGAATTCTTCTGTCTAGCAGAATATGAAGAAATCCCGTTTACAACGAAGGCCACAAGATGTCAGAATATCCACTTACAGAATTTACAAACAGACTGTTTCCTAACTGCTCTATGAAAAGAAAGGTTAAACTCTGTGAGTTGAACGAACACATCACAACGCAGTTTGTGGGAATGATTCTGTCTAGTTTTGAAACGAAGATATTTCCTTTTCTGCCATTGACCTTAAAGCGCTTGAAATCTCCACTTGCCAATTGCACAAAAAGAGTGTTTCAAATCTGCTCTGTCTAAGGGAACGTTCAACTCTGTGAGTTGAATGTACACAACACAAGGAAGTTACTGGGAATACTTCTGTCTAGCCTTACAGGAAAGAAACCCGTTTCCAACGAAGGCCTCTATGTGGTCAAAATATCCACGTGCAGAGTTTACAAACAGAGTGTTTCCAAACTGCTGAATGAAAAGAAAAGTTAAACTCTGAGAGTTGAACGCACACATCGCAGAGCAGTTTCTGAGAATGATTCTGTCTAGTTTTTATACGAAGATATTTCCTTTTCTGCCTTTGGCCTCAAAGCGCTTGAAATCTCCACTTGCAAATTCCACAAAAACAGAGTTTCAAATCTGCTCTCTCTAAATGAAAGTTCAACTCTGTCAGTTGAATACACACAACACAAGGAAGTTACTGAGAATTCTTCTATCTAGCAGAATACGAAGAAATCCCGTTTCCAACGAAGGCCTCAAAGAGGTCTGAATATCCCCTTGCAGACTTTACAAACAGAGTGTTTCCTAACTGCTCTATGAAAAGAAAGGTTAAACTCTGTGAGTTGAACGCACACATCACAAAGGAGTTTCTGGGAATCATTCTGTCTAGTCTTTATACGAAGATATTTCCTTTTCTACCATTGACCACAAAGAGGCTGAAATCTCCACTTGCAAATTCCACAAAAAGAGTGTTTCAAGTCTGCTCTGTGTAAAGGATCGTTCAACTCTGTGAGTTGAATACACACAACACAAGGAAGTTACTGAGAATTCTTCTGTCTAGCAGAATATGAAGAAATCCCGTTTCCAACGAAGGCCACAAGATGTCAGAATATCCACTTACAGACTTTACAAACAGAGTGTTTCCTAACTGCTCTATGAACAGAAAGGTTAAACTCTCTGAGTTGAACGAACACATCACAACGCAGTTTGTGGGAATGATTCTGTCTAGTTTTGAAACCAAGATATTTCCTTTTCTGCCGTTGACCTTAAAGAGCTTGAAAACTACACTTGCAAATTGCACAAATAGAGTGTTTCAAATCTGCTCTGTCTAAGGGAACGTTCAACTCTGTGAGTTGAATGCACACAACACAAGGAAGTTACTGGGAATTCTTCTGTCTAGCCTTACATGAAAAAATCCCGTTTCCAACGAAGGCCTCTAAGTGGTCAAAATTTCCACGTGCAGACTTTACAAACAGAGTGTTTCCAAACCGCTGAATGAAAAGAAAAGTTAAACTCTGAGAGTTGAACGCACACATCACGCAGCAGTTTCTGAGAATGATTCTGTCTAGTTTTTATACGAAGATATTTCCTTTTCTGCCTTTGGCCTCAAAGCGCTTGAAATCTCCACTTGCAAATTCCACAAAAAGAGTGTTTCAAATCTGCTCTCTCTAAATGAAAGTTCAACTCTGTCAGTTGAATACACACAACACAAGGAAGTTACTGAGAATTCTTCTGTCTAGCATA
Organism: Homo sapiens; assembly: GCF_000001405.40. Taxonomy (NCBI): domain Eukaryota; kingdom Metazoa; phylum Chordata; class Mammalia; order Primates; family Hominidae; genus Homo; species Homo sapiens. The sequence continues at coordinate 123,284,235 of NC_000001.11, read as the reverse complement.
ATATGAAGAAATCCCGTTTCCAACGAAGGCTTCAAAGAGGTCTGAATATCCACTTGCAGACTTTACAAACAGAGTGTTTCCTAACTGCTCTATGAGAAGAAAAGTTAAACTCTGTGAGTTGAACGCACACATCACAAAAGATTTTCTGAGAATCATTCTGTCGAATTTCCATAGGAAGATATTTCCTATTCTACCATTGACCTCAAAGCGGCTGAAATCTCCACTTGCAAATTCGACAAAAAGAGTGTTTCAGGTCAGCTCTGTGTAAAGGATCGGTAAACTCTGTGAGTTGAATACACACAACACAAAGAAGTTACTGAGAATTCTTCTGTCTAGCATAATATGAAGAAATCCCGTTTCCAACGAAGTCCTCAAAGAGGTCTGAATATCCACTTGCAGAGTTTACAAACAGAGTGTTTCCTAACTGCTCTATGAAAAGAAAGGTTAAACTCCGTGAGTTGATCGAACACATCACAACGCAGTTTGAGGGAATGATTCTGTCTAGTTTTTATACGAAGATATTTCCTTTTCTGTCTTTGGCCTCAAAGCGCTTGAAATCTCCACTTGCAAATTCCACATAAAGAGTTTTTCAAATCTGCTCTGTCTAAATGAAAGTTCAACTCTGTCAGTTGAATACACACAACACAAGGAAGTTACTGAGAATTCTTCTGTCTAGCCTTACATGATAAAAACCCGTTTCCAACGAAGACCTCTAAGTGGTCAAATTATCCACGTGCAGACTTTACAAACAGAGTGTTTCCAAACTGCTGAATGAAAAGATAAGTTAAACTCTGAGAGTTGAACGCACACATCGCAGAGCAGTTTCTGAGAATGATTCTGTCTAGTTTTTAGACGAAGATATTTCCCTTTCTGCCTTTGGCCTCAAAGCGCTTGAAATCTCCATTTGCAAATTCCACAAAAAGAGTGTTTCAAATCTGCTCTGTGTAAATGAAAGTTCAACTCTGTGAGTTGAACACACACAACACATGGAAGTTACTGGGAATTCTTCTGTCTAGCACAGTATGAAGAAATCCCGTTTCCAAAGAAGGCCTCAAAGAGGTCTCAATATCCACTTGCACAGTTTAAAAACACAGTGTTTCCTAACTGCTCTATGAAAAGAAAGGTTAAACTCTGTGAGTTGAACGCACACATCACAAAGAAGTTTCTGAGAATCATTCTGTCTAGTTTCTATAAGAAGATATTTCCTCTTCTACCATTGACCTCAAAGCGGCTGAAATCTCCATTTGCAAATTCGACAAAAAGAGTGTTTCAAGCCTGCTCTCTGTAAAGGATCCTTCAACTCTGTGAGTTGAATACACACAACACAAGGAAGTTACTGAGAATTCTTCTGTCTAGCAGAATATGAAGAAATCCCGTTTCCAACGAAGGCCTCAAAGAGGTATGCATATCCACTTGCAGACTTTACAAACAGAGTGTTTCCTAACTGCTCTATGAGAAGAAAAGTTAAACTCTGTGAGTTGAACGCACACATCACAAAAGATTTTCTGAGAATCATTCTGTCTAGTTTTGAAACGAAGATATTTCCTTTTCTGCCGTTGACCTTAAAGCGCTTGAAATCTACACTTGCAAATTGGACAAATAGAGTGTTTCAAATCTGCTCTGTCTAAGGGAACGTTCAACTCTGTGAGTTGAATGCACACAACACAAGGAAGTTACTGGGAATTCTTCTGTCTAGCCTTATATGAAAAAAACCCGTTTCCAACGAAGGCCTCTAAGTGGTCAAAATTTCCACGTGCAGACTTTACAAACAGAGTGTTTCCAAACCGCTGAATGAAAAGAAAAGTTAAACTCTGAGAGTTGAACGCACACATCACGCAGCAGTTTCTGAGAATGATTCTGTCCAGTTTTTATACGAAGATATTTCCTTTTCTGCCTTTGGCCTCAAAGCGCTTGAAATCTCCACTTGCAAATTCCACAAAAAGAGTGTTTCAAATCTGCTCTGTGTAAATGAAAGTTCAACTCTGTGAGTTGAACACACACAACACAAGGAAGTTACTGGGAATTCTTCTGTCTAGCATAATATGAAGAAATCCCGTTTCCAACGAAGGCCTCAAAGAGGTCTGAATATCCACTTGCAGACTTTACAAACAGAGTGTTTCCTAACTGCTCTATGAAAAGAAAGGTTAAACTCTGTGAGTTGAACACACACATCACAAAGGAGTTTCTGAGAATCATTCTGTCTAATTTCTATAGGAAGATATTTCCTATTCCACCATTGACCTCAAAGCGGCTGAAATCTCCACTTGCAAATTCCACAAAAAGAGTGTTTCAAGACTGTTCTGTGTAAAGGATCATTCAACTCTGTGAGTTGAATACACACAACACAAGGAAGTTACTGAGAATTCTTCTGTCTAGCCTTACATGAAAAAACCCGTTTCCAACGAAGGCCTCAAAGAGGTCTGAATATCCACTTGCAGAGTTTACAAACAGAGTGTTTCCTAACTGTTCTATGAAAAGAAAGGTTAAACTCTGTGAGTTGAACGCACACATCACAATGAAGTTTCTGAGAATCATTCTGTCTAGTTTTTATAGGAAGATATTTCCTTTTCTACCATTGACTTCAAAGCGGCTGAAATCTCCACTTGCAAATTCCACAAAAAGAGTGTTTCAAGTCTGCTCTGTGTAAAGGATCGTTCAACTCTCTGAGTTGAATACACACAACACGCGGATGTTACTGAGTATTCTTCTCTCTAGCAGAATATGAAGAAATCCCGTTTCCAACGAAGGCCACAAGATGTCAGAATATCCACTTACAGACTTTACAAACAGAGTGTTTCCTAACTGCTCTATGAACAGAAAGGTTAAACTCTGTGAGTTGAACGAACACATCACAACGCAGTTTGTGGGAATGATTCTGTCTAGTTTTGAAACGAAGATATTTCCTTTTCTGCCATTGACCTCAAAGCGCTTGAAATCTCCACTTGCCAATTGCACAAAAAGAGTGTTTCAAATCTGCTCTGTCTAAGGGAACGTTCAACTCTGTGAGTTGAATGTACACAACACAAGGAAGTTACTGGGAATTCTTCTGTCTAGCCTTACAAGAAAAAAACCCGTTTCCAACGAAGGCCTCTAAATGGTCAAAATATCCACGTGCAGACTTTACAAACAGAGTGTTTCCAAACTGCTGAATGAAAAGAAAAGTTAAACTCTGAGAGTTGAACGCACACATCGCAGAGCAGTTTCTGGGAATGATTCTGTCTAGTTTTTATACGAAGATATTTCCTTTTCTGCCTTTGGCCTCAAAGCGCTTGAAATCTCCATTTGCAAATTCCACAAAAAGAGTGTTTCAAATCTGCTCTGTGTAAATGAAAGTTCAACTCTGTGAGTTGAACACACAAAACACAAGGAAGTTACTGGGAATTCTTCTGTCTAGCCTTACATGAAAATACCCCGTTTCCAACGAAGGCCTCAAAGAAGTCCAAATATCCACGTGCAGACTTTACAAACAGAGTGTTTCCTAACTGCTCTATGAAAAGAAAGGTTAAACTCTGTGAGTTGAACGCACACATCACAAAGGAGTTTCTGAGAATCATTCTGTCTAGTCTTTATACGAAAATAGTTTCCTTTTCTACCATTGACCTCAAAGCGGCTGAAATCTCCACTTGCAAATTCCACAAAAAGAGTGTTTCAAGTCTGCTCTGTGTAAAGGATCGTTCAACTCAGTGAGTTGAATACACACAACACAAGGAAGTTACTGAGAATTCTTCTGTCTAGCAGAATGTGAAGAAATCCCGTTTCCAACGAAGGCCTCAAGGAGGTGTGAATATCCACTTGCAGACTTTACAAACAGAGTGTTTCCTAACTGCTCTATGAAAAGAAAGGTTAAACTCTGTGAGTTGAACGCACACATCACAAAGGAGTTTCTGAGAATCATTCTGTCTAGTTTTGAAACGAAGATATTTCCTTTTCTGCCGTTGACCTTAAAGCGCTTGAAATCTACACTTGCAAATTGGACAAATAGAGTGTTTCAAATCTGCTCTGTCTAAGGGAACGTTCAACTCTGTGAGTTGAATGCACACAACACAAGGAAGTTACTGGGAATTCTTCTTTCTAGCCTTACAAGAAAAAAACCCGTTTCCAACGAAAGCCTCTATCAAAATATCCACGTGCAGACTTTACAAACAGAGTGTTTCCAAACTGCTGAATGAAAAGAAAAGTTAAACTCTGAGAGTTGAACGCACACATCGCAGAGCAGTTTCTGAGAATGATTCTGTCTAGTTTTGAAACGAAGATATTTCCTTTTCTGCCTTTAGCCTCAAAGCGCTTGAAATCTCCACTTGCAAATTCCACAAAAAGAGTGTTTCAAATCTGCTCTGGGTAAATGAAAGTTCAACTCTGTGAGTTGAACACACACAACACAAGGAAGTTACTGGGAATTCTTCTGTTTAGCCTTATATGTAAAAAACCCGTTTCCAACGAAGGCCTCAAAGAGGTCTGAATATCCACTTGCAGACTTTACAAACAGAGTGTTTCCTAACTGCTCTATGAAAAAAAAGGTTAAACTCTGTGAGTTGAACGCACACATCACAAAGGAGTTTCTGAGAATCATTCTGTCTAGTTTCTATAGGAAGATATTTCCTATTCTACCATTGACCTCAAAGCGGCTGAAATCTCCACTGGCAAATTCCACAAAAACAGTGTTTCAAGTCTGCTCTGTGTAAAGGATCGTTCAACTCTGTGAGTTGAATTCACACAACACAAGGAAGTTACTGAGAATTCTTCTGTCTAGCAGAATATGAAGAAATCCCGTTTCCAACGAAGGCCACAAGATGTCAGAATATCCACTTACAGAATTGACAAACAGACTGTTTCCTAACTGCTCTATGAAAAGAAAGGTTAAACTCTGTGACTTGAACGAACACATCACAACGCAGTTTGTGGGAATGATTCTGTCTAGTTTTGAAACGAAGATATTTCCTTTTCTGCCATTGACCTTAAAGCGCTTGAAATCTACACTTGCAAATTGCACAAATAGAGTGTTTCAAATCTGCTCTGTCTAAGGGAACGTTCAACTCTGTGAGTGGAATGCACACAACACAAGGAAGTTACTGGGAATTCTTCTGTCTAGCCTTACATGAAAAAAACCCGTTTCCAACGAAGGCCTCTAAGTGGTCAAAATATCCACGTGCAGACTTTACAAACACAGTGTTTCCAAACCGCTGAATGAAAAGAAAAGTTAAACTCTGAGAGTTGAACGCACACATCACGCAGCAGTTTCTGAGAATGATTCTGTCTAGTTTTTATACGAAGATATTTCCTTTTCTGCCTTTGGCCCCAAAGCGCTTGAAATCTCCACTTGCAAATTCCACAAAAACAGTGTTTCAAATGTGCTCTCTCTAAATGAAAGTTCAACTCTGTCAGTTGAATACACACAACACAAGGAAGTTACTGAGAATTCTTCTGTCCAGCATAATATGAAGAAATCCCGTTTCCAACGAAGGCCTCAAAGAGGTCGGAATATCCACTTGCAGACTTTACAAACAGAGTGTTTCCTAACTGCTCTATGAAAAGAAAAGTTAAACTCTGTGAGTTGAACGCACACATCACAAAGGAGTTTCTGAGAATCATTCTGTCTAGTCTTTATATGAAGATATTTCCTATTCTACCATTGACCTCAAAGCGGCTGAAATCTCCACTTGCAAATTCGACAAAAAGAGTGTTTCAAGCCTGCTCTCTGTAAAGGATCCTTCAACTCGGTGAGTTGAATACACACAACCCAAGGAAGTTACTGAGAATTCTTCTGTCTAGCAGAATATGAAGAAATCCCGTTTCCAACGAAGGCCACAAGATGTCAGAATATCCACTTACAGACTTTACAGAGTGTTTCCTAACTGTTCTATGAACAGAAAGGTTAAACTCTGTGAGTTGAACGAACACATCACAACGCAGTTTGTGGGAATGATTCTGTCTAGTTTTGAAACGAAGATATTTCCTTTTCTGCCGTTGACCATAAAGCGCTTGAAATCTACACTTGCAAATTGCACAAATAGAGTGTTTCAAATCTGCTCTGTCTAAGGGAACGTTCAACTCTGTGAGTTGAATGCACACAACACAAGGAAGTTACTGGGAATTCTTCTGTCTAGCCTTACAGGAAAAAAACCCGTTTCCAACGAAGGCCTCTAAGTGGTCAAAATATCCACGTGCAGACTTTACAAACAGAGTGTTTCCAAACTGCTGAATGAAAAGAAAAGTTAAACTCTGAGAGTTCAACGCACACATCGCAGAGCAGTTTCTGAGAATGATTCTGTCTAGTTTTGAAACGAAGATATTTCCTTTTCTGCCTTTGGCCTCAAAGAGCTTGAAATCTCCAATTGCCAATTCCACATAAATAGTGTTTCAAATCTGCTCGGTCTAAATGAAAGTTCAACTCTGTCAGTTGAATACACACAACACAAGGAAGTTACTGAGAATTCTTCTGTCTAGCCTTATATGAAAAAATCCCGTTTCCAAGGAAGGCCTCAAAGAGGTCAAAATATCCACGTGCAGACTTTAAAAACAGAGTGTTTCCTAACTGCTCTATGAAAAGAAAGGTTAAACTCTGTGAGTTGAACGCACTCATCACAAAGGAGTTTCTGAGAATCATTCTGTCTACTTTCTATAGGAAGATATTTCCTATTCTACCATTGACCTCAAAGCGGCTGAAATCTCCACTTGCAAATTCCACAAAAGGAGTGTTTCAAGTCTGCTCTGTGTAAAGGATCGGTTCAACTCTGTGAGTTGAAAACACACAACACAAGGAAGTTTCTGAGAATTCTTCTGTCTAGCAGAATATGAAGAAATCCCGTTTCCAACGAAGGCCACAAGATGTCAGAATATCCACTTACAGAATTTACAAACAGAGTGTTTCCTAACTGCTCTATGAAAAGAAAGGTTAAACTCTGTGAGATGAACGAACACATCACAGCGCAGTTTGTGGGAATGATTCTGTCTAGTTTTTATACGAAGATATTTCCTTTTCTACCATTGACCTCAAAGCGGCTGAAATCACCACTTGCCAATTGCACAAAAAGAGTGTTTCAAATCTACTCTGTCTAAGGGAACGTTCAACTCTGTGAGTTGAATGTACACAACACAAGGAAGTTCCTGGGAATTCTTCTGTCTAGCCTTACATGCAAAAAACCCGGTTCCAACGAAGGCCTCTAAGTGGTCAAAATATCCACGTGCAGACTTTACAAACAGAGTGTTTCCAAACCGCTGAATGAAAAGAAAAGTTAAACTCTGAGAGTTGAACGCACACATCACGCAGCAGTTTCTGAGAATGATTCCGTCTAGTTTTTATACGAATATATTTTCTTTTCTGCCTTTGGCCCCAAAGCGTTTGAAATCTCCACTTCCAAATTCCACAAAAACAGTGTTTCAAATCTGCTCTCTCTAAATGAAAGTTCAACTCTGTCAGTTGAATACACACAACACAAGGAAGTTACTGAGAATTCTTCTGTCTAGCAGAATATGAAGAAATTCCGTTTCCAACGAAAGCCTCAAAGATGTCTGAATATCCACTTGCAGACTTTACAAACAGAGTGTTTCCTAACTGCTCTATGAAAAGAAAGGTTAAACTGTGAGTTGAACGCACACATCACAAAGGAGTTTCTGAGAATCATTCTGTCTAGTTTTTATACGAAGATATTTCCTTTTCTACCATGGACCTCAAAGCGGCTGAAATCTCCACTTGCAAATTCCACAAAAAGAGTGTTTCAAGTCTGCTCTGTGTAAAGGATCGTTCAATTCTGTGAGTTGAATACACACAACACAAGGAAAGATTCTGAGAATTCTTCCGTCTAGCAGAATATGAAGAAATCCCGTTTCCAACGAAGGCCACAAGATGTCAGAATATCCACTTACAGAATTGACAAACAGACTGTTTCCTAACTGCTCTATGAAAAGAAAGGTTAAACTCTGTGAGTTGAACGAACACATCACAACGCAGTTTGTGGGAATGATTCTGTCTAGTTTTTATAGGAAGTTATTTCCTTTTCTAACTTTGACTTCAAAGCGGCTGAAATCTCCACTTGCAAATTCCACAAAAAGAGTGTTACAAGTCTGCTCTGTGTAAAGGATCGTTCAACTCTGTGAGTTGAATACACACAACACAAGGAAGTTACTGAGAATTCTTCTGTCTAGCCTTACATGAAAAAAACCCGTTTCCAACGAAGGCCTCTAAGTGGTCAAGTTATCCACGTGCAGACTTTACAAACAGAGTGTTTCCCAACTGCTGAATGAAAAGAAAGGTTAAACTCTGAGAGTTGAACGCACACATCGCAGAGCAGTTTCTGAGAATGATTCTGTCTAGTCTTTATACGAAGATAGTTTCCTTTTCTTCCATTGACCTCAAAGCGGCTGAAATCTCCACTTGCAAATTCCACAAAAAGAGTGTTTCAAGTCTGCTCTCTGTAAAGGATCGTTCAACTCTGTGAGTTGACTACACACAACACAAGGAAGTTACTGAGAATTCTTCTGTCTAGCAGAATATGAAGAAATCCCGTTTCCAACGAAGGCCTCAAAGGGGTCTGAATATCCACTTGCAGACTTTATAAACAGAGTGTTTACTAACTGCTCTATGAAAAGAAAGGTTAAAATCTGTGAGTTGAACACACACATCACAAAGGAGTTTCTGAGAATCATTCTGTCTAGTTTCTATAGGAAGATATTTCCTATTCTACCATTGACCTCAAAGCGGCTGAAATCTCCAATTGCAAATTCCAGAAAAAGAGTGTTTCAAGTCTGCTCTGTGTAAAGGATCGTTGAAATCTGTGAGTTGAATACACACAACACAATGAAGTTACTGAGAATTCTTCTGTCTAGCACAGTATGAAGAAATCCCGTTTCCAACGAAGGCCTCAAAGACGTCTGAATATCCACTTGCAGAGTTTACAAACAGAGTGTTTCCTAACTGCTCTATGAAAAGAAAGGTTAAACTCTGTGAGTTGAACGCACACATCACAAAGAAGTTTCTGAGAATCATTCTGTCTAGTTTTGAAACGAAGATATTTCCTTTTCTGCAATTGACCTTAAAGCGCTTGAAATCTCCACTTGCCAATTGCACAAAAAGAGTGTTTCAAATCTGCTCTGTCTAAGGGAACGTTCAACTCTGTGAGTTGAATGTACACAACGCAAGGAAGTTCCTGGGAATTCTTCTGTCTAGCCTTACATGAAAAAAAAACACGTTTCCAACGAAGGCTTCTAAGTGGTCAAAATATCCACGTGGAGACTTTACAAACAGAGTGTTTCCAAACTGCTGAATGAAAAGAAAAGTTAAACTCTGAGAGTTGAACGCACACATCACAGAGCGGTTTCTGAGAATGATTCTGTCTAGTTTTTATACGAAGATATTTCCTTTTCTGCCTTTGGCCTCAAAGCGCTTGAAATCTCCACTTGCAAATTCCACAAAAAGAGTGTTTCAAATCTGCTCTGTGTAAATGAGAGTTCAACTCTGTGAGTTGAACACACACAACACAAGGAAGTTACTGGGAATTCTTCTGTCTAGCAGAATATGAAGAAATCCCGTTTCCAACGAAGGCCTCAAAGAGGTCTGAATATCCACTTGCAGACTTTACAAACAGAGTGTTTCCTAACTGCTCTATGAAAAGAAAAGATAAACTCTGTGAGTTGAACGCACACATCACAAAGGAGTTTCTGAGAATCATTCTGTCTAGTTTTTATAGGAAGATATTTCCTTTTCTACCTTTGACTTCAAAGCGGCTGAAATCTCCACTTGCAAATTCCACAAAAAGAGTGTTACAAGTCTGCTCTGTGTAAAGGATCGTTCAAGTCTGTGAGTTGAATACACACAACACAAGGAAGTTACTGAGAATTCTTCTGTCTAGCAGAATATGAAGAAATCCCGTTTCCAACGAAGGCCACAAGATGTCAGAATATCCACTTACAGAATTTACAAACAGACTGTTTCCTAACTGCTCTATGAAAAGAAAGGTTAAACTCTGTGAGTTGAACGAACACATCACAACGCAGTTTGAGGGAATGATTCTGTCTAGTTTTGAATCGAAGATATTTCCTTTTCTGCCATTGACCTTAAAGCGCTTGAAATCTACACTTGCAAATTGCACAAATAGAGTGTTTCAAATCTGCTCTGTCTAAGGGAACGTTCAACTCTGTGAGTTGAATGCACACAACACAAGGAATTTACTGGGAATTCTTCTGTCTAGCCTTACAGGAAAAAAACCCGTTTCCAACGAAGGCCTCTAAGTTGTCAAAATATCCACGTGCAGACTTTACAAACAGAGTGTTTCCAAACTGCTGAATGAAAAGAAAAGTTAAACTCTGAGAGTTGAACGCACACATCGCAGAGCAGTTTCTGAGAATGATTCTGTCTAGTTTTTATACGAAGATATTTCCTTTTCTGCTTTTGGCCCCAAAGCGCTTGAAATCTCCACTTGCAAATTCCACAAAAACAGTGTTTCAAATCTGCTCTCTCTAAATGAAAGTTCAACTCTGTCAGTTGAATACACACAACACAAGGAAGTTACTGAGAATTCTTCTGTCTAGCATAATATGAAGAAATCCCGTTTCCAACGAAGGCCTCAAAGAAGTCTGAATATCCACTTGCAGACTTTACAAACAGAGTGTTTCCCAACTGCTCTATTAAAAGAAAGGTTGAACTCTGTGAGTTGAACACACACATCACAAAGGAGTTTCTGAGAATCATTCTGTCTAGTTTCTATAGGAAGATATTTCCTATTCTACCATTGACCTCAAAGCGGCTGAAATCTCCACTTGCAAATACCACAAAAAGAGTGTTTCAAGTCTGCTCTGTGTAAAGGATCGTTCAACTCTGTGAGTTGAATACACACAACACAAGGAAGTTACTGAGAATTCTTCTGTCTAGCAGTAATATGAAGAAATCCCGTTTCCAACGAATGCCACAAGATGTCAGAATATCCACTTACAGAATTGACAAACAGACTGTTTCCTAACTGCTCTATGAAAAGAAAGGTTAAACTCTGTGAGTTGAACGAACACATCACAACGCAGTTTGTGGGAATGATTCTGTCTAGTTTTCAAACGAAGATATTTCCTTTTCTGCCATTGACCTTAAAGCGCTTGAAATCTCCACTTGCCAATTGCACAAAAAGAGTGTTTCAAATCTGCTCTGTCTAAGGGAACGTTCAACTCTGTGAGTTGAATGTACACAACACAAGGAAGTTACTGGGAATTCTTCTGTCTAGCCTTACAGGAAAAAAACCCGTTTCCAACGAAGGCCTCTAAGTGGTCAAAATATCCACGTGCAGACTTTACAAACAGAATGTTTCCAAACTGCTGAATGAAAAGAAAAGTTAAACTCTGAGAGTTGAACGCACACATCGCAGAGCAGTTTCTGAGAATGATTCTGTCTAGTTTTGAAACGAAGATATTTCCTTTTCTGCCTTTGGCCTCAAAGCGCTTGACATCTCCACTTGCAAATTCCACAAAAAGAGTGTTTCAAATCTGCTCTGTGTAAATGAAAGTTCAACTCTGTGGGTTGAACACACACAACACAAGGAAGTTACTGGGAATTCTTCTGTCTAGCATAATATGAAGAAATCCCGTTTCCAACGAAGGCCTCAAAGGGGTCTGAATATCCACTTGCAGACTTTATAAACAGAGTGTTTACTAACTGCTCTATGAAAAGGAAGGTTAAACTCTGTGAGTTGAACACACACATCACAAAGCCGTTTCTGAGAATCATTCTGTCTAGTTTTTATACGAAGATATTTCCTTTTCTACTATTGACCTCAAAGCGGCTGAAATCTCCACTTGCAAATTCCACAAAAAGAGTGTTTGTAATCTGCTCTGTGTAAAGGATCGTTCAACTCTGTGAGTTGAATACACACAACACAAGGAAGTTACTGAGAATTCTTCTGTCTAGCACAGTATGAAGAAATCCCGTTTCCAACGAAGGCCTCAAAGAGGTCTGAATATCCACTTGCAGACTTTACAAACAGGGTGTTTCCTAACTGCTCTATGAAAAGAAAGGTTAAACTCTGTGAGTTGAACGCACACGTCACAATGAAGTTTCTGAGAATCATTCTGTCTAGTTTTTATACGAAGATATTTCCTTTTCTACCATTGACCTCAAAGCGGCTGAAATCACCACTTGCCAATTGTACAAAAAGAGTGTTTCAAATCTGCTCTGTCTAAGGGAACGTTCAACTCTGTGAGTTGAATGTACACAACACAAGGAAGTTCCTGGGAATTCTTCTGTCTAGCCTTACAGGAAAAAAACCCGTTTCCAACGAAGGCCTCTAAGTGGTCAAGTTATCCACGTGCAGACTTTACAACCAGAGTGTTTCCAAACTGCTGAATGAAAAGAAAAGTTAAACTCTGAGAGTTGAACGCACACATCGCAGAGCAGTTTCTGAGAATGATTCTGTCTAATTTTTATACGAAGATATTTCCTTTTCTGCCTTTGGCCTCAAAGCGCTTGAAATCTCCACTTGCAAATTCCACAAAAAGAGTGTTTCAAATCTGCTCTGTGTAAATGAAAGTTCAACTCTGTGAGTTGAACACACACAACACAAGGAAGTTACTGGGAATTCTTCTGTGTAGCCTTATATGAAAAAAACCCGTTTCCAACGAAGGCCTCAAAGAGGTCTGAATATCCACTTGCAGACTTTACAAACAGAGTGTTTCCTAACTGCTCTATGAAAAGAAAGGTTAAACTCTGTGAGTTGAACACACACATCACAAAGGAGTTTCTGAGAATCATTCTGTCTAGTTTCTATAGGAAGATATTTCCTATTCTACCATTGACCTCAAAGCGGATGAAATCTCCACTTGCAAATTCCACAAAAAGAGTGTTTCAAGTCTGCTCTCTGTAAGGATCGTTCAACTCTGTGAGTTGAATACACACAACACAAGGAAGTTACTGAGAATTCTTCTGTCTAGCATAATATGAGGAAATCCCTTTTCCAACGAAGGCCTCAAGGAGGTCTGAATATCCACTTGCAGACTTTACAAACTGAGTGTTTCCTAACTGCTCTATGAAAAGAAAAGTTAAACTCTGTGAGTTGAACGCACACATCACAAAGGAGTTTCTGAGAATCATTCTGTCTAGTTTTTATAGGAAGATATTTCCTTTTCTACCTTTGACTTCAAAGCGGCTGAAATCTCCACTTTCAAATTCCACAAAAAGAGTGTTACAAGTCTGCTCTGTGTAAAGGATCGTTCAACTCTGTGAGTTGAATACACACAACACAAGGAAGTTACTGAGAATTCTTCTGTCTAGCCTTACAGGAAAAAAACCCGTTTCCAACGAAGGCCTCTAAGTGGTCAAAATATCCACGTGCAGACTTTACAAACCGAGTGTTTCCAAACTGCTGAATGAAAAGAAAAGTTAAACTCTGAGAGTTGAACGCACACATCGCAGAGCAGTTTCTGAGAATGATTCTGTCTAGTTTTTATACGAAGATATTTCCTTTTCTGCCTTTGGCCGCAAAGCGCTTGAAATCTCCATTTGCAAATTCCACAAAAAGAGTGTTTCAAATCTGCTCTGTGTAAATGAAAGTTCAACTCTGTGAGTTGAACACACACAACACAAGGAAGTTACTGGGAATTCTTCTGTCTAGCAGAATAGGAAGAAATCCCGTTTCCAACGAAGGCCTCAAAGGGGTCTGAATATCCACTTGCAGACTTTACAAACAGACTGTTTCCTAACTGCTCTATGAAAAGAAAGGTTAAACTCTGTGAGTTGAACGCACACATCACAAAGGAGTTTCTGAGAATCGTTCTGTCTAGTTTTTATAGGAAGATATTTCCTTTTCTACCTTTGACTTCAAAGCGGCTGAAATCTCCACTTGCAAATTCCACAAAAAGAGTTTTACAAGTCTGCTCTGTGTAAAGGATCGTTCAACTCTGTAAGATGAATACACACAACACAAGGAAGTTACTGAGAATTCTTCTGTCTAGCAGAATATGAAGAAATCCCGTTTCCAACGAAGGCCACAAGATGTCTGAATATCCACTTACAGACTTTACAAACAGAGTGTTTCCTAACTGCTCTATGAACAGAAAGGTTAAACTCTGTGAGTTGAACGAACACATCACAACGCAGTTTGTGGGAATGATTCTGTCTAGTTTTGAAACGAAGATATTTCCTTTTCTGCCTTTGAACTTAAAGCGCTTGAAATCTCCATTTGCCAATTGCACAAAAAGAGTGTTTCAAATCTGCTCTGTCTAAGGGAACGTTCAACTCTGTGAGTTGAATGTACACAACACAAGGAAGTTACTGGGAATTCTTCTGTATAGCCTTACATGAAAAAAACCCGTTTCCAACGAAGGCCTCTAAGTGGTCAAGTTATCCACGTGCAGACTTTACAAACAGAGTGTTTCCAAACTGCTGAATGAAAAGAAAAGTTAAACTCTGAGAGTTGAACGCACACATCGCAGAGCAGTTTCTGAGAATGATTCTGTCCAGTTTTTATACGAAGATATATCCTTTTCTGCCTTTGGCCCCAAAGCGCTTGAAATCTCCACTTGCAAATTCCACAAAAACAGTGATTCAAATCTGCTCTCTCTAAATGAAAGTTCAACTCTGTCAGTTGAATACACACAACACAAGGAAGTGACTGAGAATTCTTCTGTCTAGCAGAATATGAAGAAATACCGTTTCCAACGAAGGCCTCAAGGAGGTCTGAATATCCACTTGCAGACTTTACAAACAGAGTGTTTCCTAACTGCTCTATGAACAGAAAGGTTAAACTCTGTGAGTTGAACGCACACATCACAAAGGAGTTTCTGAGAATCATTCTGTCTAGTTTTTCTACGAAGATATTTCTTTTTCTACTATTGACCTCAAAGCGGCTGAAATCTCCACTTGCAAATTCCACAAAAAGAGTGTTTCAAGTCTGCTCTGTGTAAAGGATCGTTCAACTCTGTGAGTTGAATACACACAACACAAGGAAGTTACTGAGAATTCTTCAGTCTAGCAGAATATGAAGAAATCCCGTTTCCAATGAAGGCCTCAAGGAGGTCTGAATATCCACTTGCATACTTTACAAACAGAGTGTTTCCTAACTGCTCTATGAACAGAAAGGTTAAACTCTGTGAGTTGAACGAACACATCACAACGCAGTTTGTGGGAATGATTCTGTCTAGTTTTGAAACGAAGATATTTCCTTTTCTGCCTTTGACCTTAAAGCGCTTGAAATATACACTTGCAAATTGCACAAATAGAGTGTTTCAAATCTGCTCTGTCTAAGGGAACGTTCAACTCTGTGAGTTGAATGCACACAACACAAGGAAGTTACTGGGAATTCTTCTGTCTAGCCTTACAGGAAAAAAACCCGTTTCCAACGAAGGCCTCTAAGTGGTCAAATTATCCACGTGCAGACTTTAGAAACAGAGTGTTTCCAAACTGCTGAATGAAAAGCAAAGTTAAACTCTGAGAGTTGAACGCACACATCGCAGAGCAGTTTCTGAGAATGATTCTGTCTAGTTTTTATACGAAGATATTTCCTTTTCTGCCTTTGGCCTCACAGCGCTTGAAATCTCCACTTGCAAATTCCACAAAAAGAGTGTTTCAAATCTGCTCTGTGTAAATGAAAGTTCAACACTGTGAGTTGAACACACACAACACAAGGAAGTTACTGGGAATTCTTCTGTCTAGCCTTATATGAAAAAAACCCGTTTCCAACGAAGACCTCAAAGAGGTCTGAATATCCACTTGCAGACTTTAGAAACAGAGTGTTTCCTAACTGCTCTATGAAAAGAAAGGTTAAACTCTGTGAGTTGAACACACACATCACAAAGGAGTTTCTGAGAATCATTCTGTCTAGTTTTTATAGGAAGATATTTCCTTTTCTACCTTTGACTTCAAAGCGGCTGAAATCTCCACTTGCAAATTCCACAAAAAGAGTGTTACAAGTCTGCTCTGTGTAAAGGATCGGTCAACTCTGTAAGTTGAATACACACAACACAAGGAAGTTACTGAGAATTCTTCTGTCTAGCATCATATGAAGAAATCCCGTTTCCAACGAAGGCCTCAAAGAGGTCTGAATATCCACTTGCAGACTTTACAAACAGAGTGTTTCCTAACTGCTCTATGAACAGAAAGGTTAAACTCTGTGAGTTGAACGAACACATCACAACGCAGTTTGTGGGAATGATTCTGTCTAGTTTTGAAACGAAGATATTTCCTTTTCTGCCATTGACCTTAAAGCGCTTGAAATCTACACTTGCAAATTGCACAAATAGAGTGTTTCAAATCTGCTCTGTCTAAGGGAACGTTCAACTCTGTGAGCTGAATGCACACAACACAAGGAAATTACTGGGAATTCTTCTGTCTAGCCTTACATGAAAAAATCCCGTTTCCAACGAAGGCCTCTAAGTGGTCAAAATATCCACGTGCAGACTTTACAAACAGTGTGTTTCCAAACCGCTGAATGAAAAGAAAAGTTAAACTCTGAGAGTTGAACGCACACATCACGCAGCAGTTTCTGAGAATGATTCTGTCTAGTTTTTATACGAAGATATTTCCTTTTCTGCCTTTGGCCTCAAAGCGCTTGAAATCTCCATTTGCAAATTCCACAAAAAGAGTGTTTCAAATCTGCTCTCTGTAAATGAAAGTTCAACTGTGTGAGTTGAACACACACAACACAAGGAAGTTACTGGGAATTCTTCTGTCTAGCCTTATATGAAAAAAACCCGTTTCCAACGAAGGCCTCAAAGAGGTCTGAATATCCTCTTGCAGACTTTACAAACAGAGTGTTTGCTAACTGCTCTATGAAAAGAAAGGTTAAACCCTGTGAGTTGGACACACACATCACTAAGGAGTTTCTGAGAATCATTCTGTCTAGTTTTTCTACGAAGATATTTCCTTTTCTACTATTGACCTCAAAGCGGCTGAAATCTCCACTTGCAAACTCCACAAAAAGAGTGTTTCAAGTCTGCTCTGTGTAAAGGATCGTTCAACTCTGTGAGTTGAATACACACAACACAAGGAAGTTACTGAGAATTCTTCTGTCTAGCAGAATATGAAGAAATCCCGTTTCCAACGAAGGCCTCAAGGAGGTCTGAATATCCACTTGCAGACTTTACAAACAGAGTGTTTCCTAACTGCTCTATGAAAAGAAAGGTTAAACTCTTTGACTTGAACTCACACATCACAACGCAGTTTGTGGGAATGATTCTGTCTAGTTTTGAAACGAAGATATTTCCTTTTCTGCCATTGACCTTAAAGCGCTTGAAATCTCCACTTGCAAATTGCACAAAAAGAGTGTTTCCAATCTGCTCTGTCTAAAGGAACCTTCAACCCTGTGAGGTGAATGCACACAACACAAGGAACTTACTGTGAATTCTTCTGTCTAGCCTTACAGGAAAGAAACCCGTTTCCAACGAAGGCCTCTAAGTGGTCAAAATATCCACGTGCAGACTTTACAAACAGAGTGTTTCCAAACTGCTGAATGAAAAGAAAAGTTAAACTCTGAGAGTTGATCGCACACATCGCAGAGCAGTTTCTGAGAATGATTCTGTCTAGTTTTTATATGAAGATATTTCCTTTTCTGCCTTTGGCCTCAAAGCGCTTGAAATCTCCACTTGCAAATTCCACAAAAAGAGTGTTTCCAATCTGCTCTGTGTAAATGAAAGTTCAACTCTGTGAGTTGAACACACACAACACAAGGAAGTTACTGGGAATTCTTCTGTCTAGCATAATATGAGGAAATCCCGTTTCCAACGAAGGCCTCAAAGGGGTCTGATTATCCACTTGCAGACTTTATAAACAGAGTGTTTACTAACTGCTCTATGAAAAGAAAGGTTAAACTCTGTGATTTGAACACACACATCACAAAGGACTTTCTGAGAATCATTATCTGTCTAGTTTTTATACGAAGATATTTCCTTTTCTACCATTGACCTCAAAGCGGCTGAAATCTCCACTTGCAAATTCCACAAAAAGAGTGTTTCAAGTCTGCTCTGTGTAAAGGATCGTTCCACTCTGTGAGTTGAATACACACAACCCAAGGAAGTTACTAAGAATTCTTCTGTCTAGCAGAATATGAAGAAATCCCGTTTCCAACGAAGGCCTCAAAGAGGTCTGAATATCCACTTGCAGACTTTACAAACAGAGTGTTTCCTAACTGCTCTATGAAAAGAAAGGTTAAACTCTGTGAGTTAAACGCACACATCACAAAGGAGTTTCTGAGAATGATTCTGTCTAGTTTTGAAACGAAAATATTTCCTTTTCTGCCATTGACCTTAAAGCGCTTGAAATCTACACTTGCAAATTGCACAAATAGAGTGTTTCAAATCTGCTCTGTCTAAGGGAACGTTCAACTCTGTGAGTTGAATGCACACAACACAAGGAAGTTACTGGGAATTCTTCTGTCTAGCCTTAAATAAAAAAAACCCGTTTCCAAAGAAGGCCTCTAAGTGGTCAAAGTGTCCACGTGCAGACTTTACAAACAGAGTGTTTCCAAACCGCTGAATGAAAAGAAAAGTTAAACTCTGAGAGTTGAACGCACACATCACGCAGCAGTTTCTGAGAATGATTCTGTCTAGTTTTGAAACGAAGATATTTCCTTTTCTGCCTTTGGCCTCAAAGCGCTTGAAATCTCCACTTGCAAATTCCACAAAAAGAGTGTTTCAAATCTTCTCTGTGTAAAGGAAAGTTCAACTCTGTGACTTGAACACACACAACACAAGGAAGTTACTGGGAATTCTTCTGTCTAGCCTTATATGAAAAAAACGCGTTTCCAACGAAGGCCTCAAAGAGGTCTGAATATCCACTTGCAGACTTTACAAACAGAGTGTTTCCTAACTGCTCTATGAAAAGAAAGGTTAAACTCTGTGAGTTGAACACACACATCACAAAGGAGTTTCTGAGAATCATTCTGTCTAGTTTCTATAGGAAGATATTTCCTATTCTACCATTGACCTCAAAGCGGCTGAAATCTCCACTTGCAAATTCCACAAAAAGAGTGTTTCAAGTCTGCTGAGTGTAAAGGATCGTTCAACTCTGTGAGTTGAATACACACAACACAAGGAAGTTACTGAGAATTCTTCTTTCTAGCAGAATATGAAGAAATCCCGTTTCCAACGAAAGCCTCAAGGATGTCTGAATATCCACTTGCAGACTTTACAAACAGAGTGTTTCCTATCTGCTCTATGAAAAGAAAGGTGAAACTCTGTGAGTTGAACGCACACATCACAAAGGAGTTTCTGAGAATCATTCTGTCTAGTTTTTATAGGAAGTTATTTCCTTTTCTACCTTTGACTTCAAAGTGGCTGAAATCTCCACTTGCAAATTCCACAAAAAGAGTGTTAAAAGTCTGCTCTGTGTAAAGGATCGTTCAACTCTGTGAGTTGAATACACACAACACAAGGAAGTTACTGAGAATTCTTCTGTCTAGCCTTACATGAAAAAAACCCGTTTCCAACAAAGGCCTCTAAGTGGTCAAGTTATCCACGTGCAGACTTTACAAACAGAGTGTTTCCAAACTGCTGAATGAAAAGAAAAGTTAAACACTGAGAGTTGAACGCACACATCGCAGAGCAGTTTCTGAGAATGATTCTGTCTAGTTTCTATAGGAAGATATTTCCTATTCTACCATTGACCTCAAAGCGGCTGAAATCTCCACTTGCAAATTCCACAAAAGGAGTGTTTCAAGTCTGCTCTGTGTAAAGGATCGTTCAACTCTGTGAGTTGAATACACACAACACAAGGAAGTTTCTGAGAATTCTTCTGTCTAGCTGAACATGAAGAAATCCCGCTTCCAACGAAGGCCTCAAAGAAGTCTGAATATCCACTTGCAGACTTTACAAACAGAGTGTTTCCCAACTGCTCTATGAAAAGAAAGGTTGAACTCTGTGAGTTGAACGCACACATCACAAAGGAGTTTCTGAGAATCATTCTGTCTAGTTTTTATATGAAGATATTTCCTTTTCTACCATTGACCTCAAAGCGGCTGAAATCTCCACTTACAAATTCCACAAAAAGAGTGTCTCAAGTCTGCTCTGTGTAAACGATCGTTCAACTCTGTGAGTTGAATACACACAACAGAAGGAAGTTTCTGAGAATTCTTCTGTCTAGCAGAATATGAAGAAATCCCGTTTCCAACGAAGGCTTCAAGGAGGTCTGAATATCCACTTGCAGACTTTACAAACAGAGTGTTTCCTAACTGCTCTATGAAAAGAAAGGTTAAACTCTTTGAGTTGAACGCACACATCACAACGCAGTTTGTGGGAATGATTCTGTATAGTTTTGAAACGAAGATATTTCCTTTTCTGCCATTGACCTTAAAGCGCTTGAAATCTCCATTTGCCAATTGCACAAAAAGAGTGTTTCAAATCTGCTCTGTCTAAGGGAACGTTCAACTCTGTGAGTTGAATGTACACAACACAAGGAAGTTCCTGGGAATTCTTCTGTCTAGCCTTACATGAAAAAAACCCGTTTCCAACGAAGGCCTCTAAGTGGTCAAAATATCCACGTGCAAACTTTACAAACAGAGTGTTTCCAAACCGCTGAATGAAAAGAAAAGTTAAACTCTGAGAGTTGAACGCACACATCACGCAGCAGTTTATGAGAATGATTTCTGTCTAGTTTTTATACGAAGATATTTCCTTTTCTGCGTTTGGCCCCAAAGCGCTTGAAGTCACCACTTGCAAATTCCACAAAAACAGTGTTTCAAATCTGCTCTCTCTAAATGAAAGTTCAACTCTGTGAGTTGAATACACACAACACAAGGAAGTTACTGAGAATTCTTCTGTCTAGAATAATATGAAGAAATCCCGTTTCCAACGAAGGCCTCAAAGGGGTCTGAATATCCACTTGCAGACTTTATAAACAGAGTGTTTACTAACTGCTCTAGGAAAAGAAAGGTTAAACTCTGTGAGTTGAACACACACATCACAAAGGAGTTTCTGAGAATCATTCTGTCTAGTTTCTATAAGAAGATATTTCCTATTCTACCATTGACCTCAAAGCGGCTGAAATCTCCACTTGCAAATTCGACAAAAAGAGTGTTGCAAGCCAGCTCTCTGTAAAGGATCCTTCAACTCTGTGAGTTGAATACACACAACACAAGGAAGTTACTGAGAATTATTCTGTCTAGCAGAATATGAAGAAATCCCGTTTCCAACGAAGGCCTCAAGGAGGTCTGAATATCCACTTGCAGACTTTACAAACAGAGTGTTTCCTAACTGCTCTATGAACAGAAAGGTTAAACTCTGTGAGTTGAACGAACACATCACAACGCAGTTTGTGGGAATGATTTCTGTCTAGTTTTGAAACGAAGATATTTCCTTTTCAGCCGTTGACCTTAAAGCGCTTGAAATCTACACTTGCAAATTGCACAAATAGGCTGTTTCAAATCTGCTCTGTCTAAGGGAACGTTCAACTCTGTGAGTTGAATGCACACAACACAAGGAAGTTACTGGGAATTCTTCTGTCTAGCCTTACAGGAAAGAAACCCGTTTCCAACGAAGGCCTCTAAGTGGTCAAAATATCCACGTGCAGACTTTACAAACAGAGTGTTTCCAAACTGCTGAATGAAAAGAAAACTTAAACTCTGAGAGTTGAACGCACACATCGCAGAGCAGTTTCTGAGAATGATTCTGTCTAGTTTTTATACGAAGATATTTCCTTTTCTGCCTTTGGCCTCAAAGCGCTTGAAATCTCCACTTGCAAATTCCACAAAAAGAGTGTTTCAAATCTGCTCTGTGTAAATGAAAGTTCAACTGCTGTGAGTTGAACACACACAACACAAGGAAGTTACTGGGAATTCTTCTGTCTAGCCTTATATGAAAAAAACCCGTTTCCAACGAAGGCCTCAAAGAGGTCTGAATATCCACTTGCAGACTTTACAAACAGAGTGTTTCCTAACTGCTCTATGAAAAGAAAGGTTAAACTCTGTGAGTTGAACGCACACATCACAAAGAAGTTTCTGAGAATCATTCTGTCTAGTTTTTATACGAAGATATTTCCTTTTCTACCATTGACCTCAAAGCGGCTGAAATCTCCACCCTGCCAATTCCACAAAAAGAGTGTTTCAAGTCTACTCTGTGTAAAGGATCGTTGAACTCTGTGATTTGAAAACACACAACACATCGAAGTTTCTGAGAATTCTTCTGTCTAGCAGAATATGAAGAAATCCCGCTTCCAACGAAGGCCTCAAAGAAGTCTGAATATGCATTTGCAGAATTTACAAACAGAGTGTTTCCCAACTGCTCTATGAAAAGAAAGGTTGAACTCTGTGAGTTGAACGCACACATCACAAAGGAGTTTCTCAGAATCATTCTGTCTAGTTTTTATACGAAGATATTTCCTTTTCTACCATTGACCTCAAAGCGGCTGAAATCACCACTTGCCAATTGCACAAAAAGAGTGTTTCAAATCTGCTCCTGTCTAAGGGAACGTTCAACTCTGTGAGTTGAATGTACACAACACAAGGAAGTTACTGGGAATTCTTCTGTCTAGCCTTACATGAAAAAAACCCGTTTCCAACGAAGGCCTCTAAGTGGTCAAAATATCCACGTGCAGACTTTGCAAACAGAGTGTTTCCAAACTGCTGAATGAAAAGAAAAGTTAAACTCTGAGAGTTGAACGCACACATCGCAGAGCAGTTTCTGAGAATGATTCTGTCTAGTTTTTATACGAAGATATTTCCTTTTCTGCCTTTGGCCCCAAAGCGCTTGAAATCTCCACTTGCAAATTCCACAAAAACAGTGTTTCAAATCTGCTCTCTCTAAATGAAAGTTCAAATCTGTCAGTTGAATACACACAACACAAGGAAGTTACTGAGAATTCTTCTGTCTAGCCTTATATGAAAAAAAACCGTTTCCAACGAAGGCCTCAAAGAGGTCTGAATATCCACTTGCAGACTTTGCAAACAGAGTGTTTCCTAACTGCTCTATGAAAAGAAAGGTTAAACTCTGTGAGTTGAACGCACACATCACAAAGGAGTTTCTGAGAATCATTCTGTCTAGTTTTTATACGAAGATATTTCCTTTTCTACCATTGACCTCAAAGCGGCTGAAATCTCCACTTACAAATTCCACAAAAAGAGTGTCTCAAGTCTGCTCTGTGTAAATGATCGTTCAACTCTGTGAGTTGAATACACACAACACAAGGAAGTTTCTGAAAATTCTTCTTTCTAGCAGAATATGAAGAAATCCCGTTTCCAACGAAAGCCTCAAGGATGTCTGAATATCCACTTGCAGACTTTACAAACAGAGTGTTTCCCAACTGCTCTATGAAAAGAAAGGTTAAACTCTGTGAGTTGAACGCACACATCACAAAGGAGATTCTGAGAATCATTCTGTCTAGTTTCTATAGGAAGATATTCCCTATTCTACCATTGACCTCAAAGCGGCTGAAATCTCTACTTGCAAATTCCACAAAAAGAGTGTTTCAAGTCTGCTCTGTGTAAAGGATCGTTCAACTCTGTGAGTTGAATTCACACAACACAGGGAAGTTTCTGAGAATTCTTCTTTCTAGCAGAATATGAAGAAATCCCGTTTGCAACGAAAGCCTCAAGGATGTCTGAATATACACTTGCAGACTTTAAAAACAGAGTGTTTCCTAACTGCTCTATGAAAAGAAAGGTTAAACTCTGTGAGTTGAACGCACACATCACAAAGGAGTTTCTGAGAATCATTCTGTCTAGTTTCTATAGGAAGATATTTCCTATTCTACTATTGACCACAAAGCGGCTGAAATCTCCACTTCCAAATTCCACAAAAAGAGTGTTTCAAGTCTGCTCTGTGTAAAGGATCGTTCAAATCTGTGAGGTGAATTCACACAAAACAAGGAAGTTACTGAGAATTCTTCTGTCTAGCCTTATATGAAAAAAACCCGTTTCCAACGAAGGCCTCAAAGAGGTCTGAATATCCACTTGCAGACTTTACAGACAGAGTGTTTCCTAACTGCTCTATGAAAAGAAAGGTTAAACTCTGTGAGTTGAACGCACACATCACAATGAAGTTTCTGAGAATCATTCTGTCTAGTTATTATACGAAGATATTTCCTTTTCTATCATTGACCTCAAAGCGGCTGAAATCACCACTTGCCAATTGCACAAAAAGAGTGTTTCAAATCTGCTCTGTCTAAGGGAACGTTCAACTCTGTGAGTTGAATGTACACAACACAAGGAAGTTACTGGGAATTCTTCTGTCTAGCCTTACAGGAAAAAAAACCGTTTCCAACGAAGGCCACTAAGTGGTCAAAATATCCACGTGCAGACTTCACAAACAGAGTGTTTCCAAACTGCTGAATGAAAAGAAAAGTTAAACTCTGAGAGTTGAACGCACACATCGCAGAGCAGTTTCTGAGTATGATTCTGTCTAGCAGAATATGAAGAAATCCCTTTTCCAACGAACGCCTCAAGGAGGTCAGAATATCCACTTGCAGACTTTACAAACAGAGTGTTTCCTAACTGCTCTATGAAAAGAAAGGTTAAACTCTGTGAGTTGAACGCACACATCACAAAGGAGTTTCTGAGAATCATTCTGTCTACTTTCTATAGGAAGATATTTCCTATTCTACCATTGAACTCACAGCGGCTGAAATCTCCACTTGCAAATTCCACAAAAAGAGTGTTTCAAGTCTGCTCTGTGTAAAGGATCGTTCAACTCTGTGAGTTGAATACACACAACACAAGGAAGTTACTGAGAATTCTTCTGTCTAGCAGAATATGAAGAAATCCCGTTTCCAACGAAGGCCTCAAGGAGGTCTGAATATCCACTTGCAGACTTCACAAACAGAGTGTTTCCTAACTGCTCTATGAAAAGAAAGGTTAAACTCTGTGAGTTGAACGCACACATCACAAAGGAGTTTCTGAGAATCATTCTGTCTAGTTTTGAAACGAAGATATTTCCTTTTCTGCCATTGAACTTAAAGCGCTTGAAATCTCCATTTGCCAATTGCACAAAAAGAGTGTTTCAAATCTGCTCTGTCTAAGGGAACGTTCAACTCTGTGAGTTGAATGTACACAACACAAGGAAGTTACTGGGAATTCTTCTGTCTAGCCTTACATGAAAAAAACCCGTTTCCAACGAAGGCCTGTAAGTGGTCAAAATATCCACGTGCAGACTTTACAAACACAGTGTTTCCAAACCGCTGAATGAAAAGAAAAGTTAAACTCTGAGAGTTGAACGCACACATCACGCAGCAGTTTCTGAGAATGATTCTGTCTAGTTTTGAAACGAAGATATTTCCTTTTCTGCCTTTGGCCTCAAAGCGCTTGAAATCTCCACTTGCAAATTCCACAAAAAGAGTGTTTCAAATCTGCTCTGTGTAAATGAAAGTTCAACTCTGTGAAGTTGAACACACACAACACAAGGAAGTTACTGGGAATTCTTCTGTCTAGCAGAATATGAAGAAATCCCGTTTCCAACGAAAGCCTCAAAGATGTCTGAATATCTACTTGCAGACTTTACAAACAGAGTGTTTCCTAACTGCTCTATGAAAAGAAAGGTTAAACTCTGTGAGTTGAACGCACACATCACAAAGGAGTTTCTGAGAATCATTCTGTCTAGTTTTTATACGAAGATATTTCCTTTTCTATCATTGACCACAAAGCGGCTGAAATCTCCACTTGCAAATTCCACAAAAAGAGTGTTTCAAGTCTGCTCTGTGTAAAGGATCGTTAAATTGCTGTGAGTTGAATACACACAACACAAGGAAGTTACTGAGAATTCTTCTGTCTAGCAGAATATGAAGAAATCCCGTTTCCAAAGAAGGCCACAAGATGTCAGAATATCCACTTACAGAATTGACAAACAGACTGTTTCCTAACTGCTCTATGAAAAGAAAGGTTAAACTCTGTGAGTTGAACGAACACATCACAACGCAGTTTGTGGGAATGATTCTGTCTAGTTTTGAAACGAAGATATTTCCTTTTCTGCCATTGACCTTAAAGCGCTTGAAATCTCCATTTGCCAATTGCACAAAAAGAGTGTTTCAAATCTGCTCTGTCTAAGGTAACGTTCAACTCTGTGAGTTGAATGTACACAACACAAGGAAGTTACTGGGAATTGCTTCTGTCTAGCCTTACATGAAAAAAAACCCGTTTCAAAAGAAGGCGTCTAAGTGGTCAAAATATCCACGTGCAGACTTTACAAACAGAGTGTTTCCAAACTGCTGAATGAAAAGAAAAGTTAAACTCTGAGAGTTGAATGCACACATCACAGAGCGGTTTCTGAGAATGATTCTGTCTAGTTTTGAAACGGAGTATATTTCCTTTTCTGCCTTTGGCCTCAAAGCGCTTGAAATCTCCACTTGCAAATTCCACAAAAAGAGTGTTTCAAATCTGCTCTGTGTAAATGAAAGTTCAACTCTGTGAGTTGAACACACACAACACAAGGAAGTTACTCGGAATTCTTCTGTCTAGCATAATATGAAAAAATCCCGTTTCCAACGAAGGCCTCAAAGAGGTCTGAATATCCACTTGCAGACTTTACAAACAGAGTGTTTCCCAACTGCTCTATGAAAAGAAAAGTTAAACTCTGTGAGTTGAACGCACACATCACAAAGGAGTTTCTGAGAATCATTCTGTCTAGTTTTTATAGGAAGATATTTCCTTTTCTACCTTTGACTTCAAAGCGGCTGAAATCTCCACTTGCAAATTCCACAAAAAGAGTGTTACAAGTCTGCTCTGTGTAAAGGATAGTTCAACTCTGTGAGTTGAATACACACAACACAAGGAAGTTACTGAGAATTCTTCTGTCTAGCAGAATATGAAGAAATCCCGTTTCCAACGAAGGCCACAAGATGTCAGAATATCCACTTACAGACTTTACAGAGTGTTTCCTAACTGCTCTATGAACAGAAAGGTTAAACTCTGTGAGTTGAACGAACACATCACAACGCAGTTTGTGGGAATGATTCTGCCTAGTTTTGAAACGAAGATATTTCCTTTTCTGCCATTGACCTTAAAGCGCTTGAAATCTCCACTTGCCAATTGCACAAAAAGAGTGTTTCAAATCTGCTCTGTCTAAGGGAACGTTCAACTCTGTGAGTTGAATGTACACAACACAAGGAAGTTACTGGGAATTCTTCTGTCTAGCCTTACAGGAAAAAAACCCGTTTCCAACGAAGGCCTCTAAGTGGTCAAAATATCCACGTGCACACTTTACAAACAGAGTGTTTCCAAACTGCTGAATGAAAAGAAAAGTTAAACTCTGAGAGTTGAACGCACACATCGCAGAGCAGTTTCTGAGAATGATTCTGTCTAGTTTTTATACGACGATATTTCATTTTCTGCCTTTGGCCTCAAAGCGCTTGAAATCTCCATTTGCAAATTCCTCAAAAAGAGTGTTTCAAATCTGCTCTGTGTAAATGAAAGTTCAACTCTGTGAGTTGAACACACACAACACAAGGAAGTTACTGGGAATTCTTCTGTCTAGCATAATATGAAGAAATCCCGCTTCCAACGAAGGCCTCAAAGAAGTCTGAATATCCACTTGCAGACTTTACAAACAGAGTGTTTCCCAACTGCTCTATGAAAAGAAAGTTTGAACTCTGTGAGTTGAACGCACACATCACAAAGGAGTTTCTGAGAATCATTCTGTCTAGTTTTTATACGTAGATATTTCCTTTTCTACCATTGACCTCAAAGCGGCTGAAATCTCCACTTGCAAATTCCAGAAAAACAGTGTTTCAAATCTGCTCTGTGTAAAGGATCGTTCAACTCTGTGAGTTGAATACACACAACACAAGGAAGTTACTGAGAATTCATCTTTCTAGCAGAATATGAAGAAATCCCGTTTCCAACGAAAGCCTCAAGGATGTCTGAATATCCACTTGCAGACTTTACAAACAGAGTGTTTCCTAACTGCTCTATGAAAAGAAAGGTTAAAGTCTGTGAGTTGAACGCACACATC
This sequence comes from Homo sapiens, assembly GCF_000001405.40. NCBI lineage: Eukaryota > Metazoa > Chordata > Mammalia > Primates > Hominidae > Homo > Homo sapiens. The sequence continues at coordinate 123,256,401 of NC_000001.11, read as the reverse complement.
ACAAAGGAGTTTCTGAGAATCATTCTGTCTAGTTTTGAAACGAAGATATTTCCTTTTCTGCCGTTGACCTTAAAGCGCTTGAAATCTACACTTGCAAATTGCACAAATAGAGTGTTTCAAATCTGCTCTGTCTAAGGGAACGTTCATCTCTGTGAGTTGAATGCACACAACACAAGGAAGTTACTGGGAATTCTTCTGTCTAGCCTTACAGGAAAAAAACCCGTTTCCAACGAAGGCCTCTAAGTGGTCAAAATATCCACGTGCAGACTTTACAAACAGAGTGTTTCCAAAGTGCTGAATGAAAAGAAAAGTTAAACTCTGAGAGTTGAACGCACACATCACAGAGCAGTTTCTGAGAATGATTCTGTCTAGTTTTTATACGAAGATATTTCCTTTTCTGCCTTTGGCCCCAAAGCGCTTGAAATCTCCAATTGCAAATTCCACAAAAACAGTGTTTCAAATCTGCTCTCTCTAAATGAACGTTCAACTCTGTCAGTTGAATACACACAACACAAGGAAGTTACTGAGAATTCTTCTGTCTAGCCTTATATGGAAAAAACCCGTTTCCAACGAAGGCCTCAAAGAGGTCTGAATATCCACTTGCAGACTTTACAAACGGAGTGTTTCCTAACTGCTCTATGAAAAGAAAGGTTAAACTCTGTGAGTTGAACGCACACATCACAAAGGAGTTTCTGAGAATCATTCTGTCTAGTTTTTCTACGAAGATATTTCCTTTTCTACTATTGACCTCAAAGCGGCTGAAATCTCCACTTGCAAATTCCACAAAAAGAGTGTTTCAAGTCTGCTCTCTGTAAAGGATCGTTCAACTCTGTGAGTTGAATACACACAACACAAGGAAGTTACTGACAATTCTTCTGTCTAGCAGAATATGAAGAAATCCCGTTTCCAAGGAAGGCCACAAGATGTCAGAATATCCACTTACAGAATTTACAAACAGACTGTTTCCTAACTGCTCTATGAAAAGCAAGGTTAAACTCTGTGAGTTGAACGAACACATCACAACGCAGTTTGTGGGAATGATTCTGTCTAGTTTTGAAACGAAGATATTTCCTTTTCTGCCATTGACCTCAAAGCGCTTGAAATCTCCACTTGCCAATTGCACAAAAAGAGTGTTTCAAATCTGCTCTGTCTAAGGGAACGTTCAACTCTGTGAGTTGAATGTACACAACACAAGGAAGTTACTGGGAATTCTTCTGTCTAGCCTTACAGGAAAAAAACCCGTTTCCAACGAAGGCCTCTAAGTGGTCAAAATATCCACGTGCAGACTTTACAAACAGAGTGTTTCCAAACTGCTGAATGAAAAGAAAAGTTAAACTCTGAGAGTTGAACGCACACATCGCAGAGCAGCTTCTGAGAATGATTCTGTCTAGTTTTTATACGAAGATATTTCCTTTTCTGCCTTTGGCCTCAAAGCGCTTGAAATCTCCACTTGCAAATTCCACAAAAAGAGTGTTTCAAATCTGCTCTGTGTAAATGAAAGTTCAACTCTGTGAGTTGAACACACACAACACAAGGAAGTTACTGGGAATTCTCTGTCTAGCACAGTATGAAGAAATCCCGTTTCCAACGAAGGCCTCAAAGAGGACTGAATATCCACTTGCAGAGTTTACAAACAGAGTGTTTCCTAACTGCTCTATGAAAAGAAAGGTTAAACTCTGTGAGTTGATCGCACACATCACAATGAAGTTTCTGAGAATCATTCTGTCTAGTTTTTCTACGAAGATATTTCCTTTTCTACTATTGACCTCAAAGCGGCTGAAATCTCCACTAGCAAATTCCACAAAAAGAGTGTTTCAAGTCTGCTCTGTGTAAAGGATCGTTCAACTCTGTGAGTTGAATACACACAACACAAGGAAGTTACTGAGAATTCTTCTGTCTAGCAGAATATGAAGAAATCCCGTTTCCAACGAAGGCCACAAGATGTCAGAATATCCACTTACAGAATTTACAAACAGAGCTGTTTCCTAACTGCTCTATGAAAAGAAAGGTTAAACTCTGTGAGTTGAACGAACACATCACAAAGCAGTTTGTGGGAATGATTCTGTCTAGTTTTTATAGGAAGATATTTCCTTTTCTACCTTTGACTTCAAAGCGGCTGAAATCTCCACTTGCAAATTCCACAAAAAGAGTGTTACAAGTCTGCTCTGTGTAAAGGATCGTTCAACTCTGTGAGTTGAATACACACAACACAAGGTAGTTACTGAGAATTCTTCTGTCTAGCCTTACATGAAAAAAACCCGTTTCCAACGAAGGCCTCTAAGTGGTCAAATTATGCACGTGCAGACTTTACAAACAGAGTGTTTCCAAACTGCTGAATGAAAAGAAAAGTTAAACTCTGAGAGTTGAACGCACACATCGCAGAGCAGTTTCTGAGAATGATTCTGTCTAGTTTTTATACGAAGATATTTCCTTTTCTGCCTTTGGCCCCAAAGCGCTTGAAGTCTCCACTTGCAAATTCCACAAAAACAGTGTTTCAAATCTGCTCTCTCTAAATGAAAGTTCAACTCTGTCAGTTGAATACACACAACACAAGGAAGTTAGTGAGAATTCTTCTGTCTAGCATAATATGAAGAAATCCCGTTTCCAACGAAGGCCTCAAAGGGGTCTGAATATCCACTTGCAGACTTTATAGACAGAGTGTTTCCTAACTGCTGTATGAAAAGAAAGGTTAAACTCTGTGAGTTCAACGCACACATCACAAAGGAGTTTATGAGAATCATTCTGTCTAGTTTCTATAGGAAGATATTTCCTATTCTACCATTGACCTCAAAGCGGCTGAAATCTCCAATTGCAAATTCCACAAAAAGAGTGTTTCAAGTCTGCTCTGTGTAAAGGATCGTTGAAATCTGTGAGTTGAATACACACAACACAATGAAGTTACTGAGAATTCTTCTGTCTAGCAGAATATGAAGAAATCCCGTTTCCAACGAAGGCCTCTAGGAGGTCTGAATATCCACTTGCAGACTTTACAAACAGAGTGTTTCCTAACTGCTCTATGAACAGAAAGGTTAAACTCTGTGAGTTGAACGAACACATCACAACGCAGTTTGTGGGAATGATTCTGTCTAGTTTTGAAACGAAGATATTTCCTTTTCTGCCGTTGACCTTAAAGCGCTTGAAATCTACACTTGTAAATTGCACAAATAGAGTGTTTCAAATCTGCTCTGTCTAAGGGAACGTTCAACTCTGTGAGTTGAATGCACACAACACAAGGAAGTTACTGGGAATTCTTCTGTCTACCCTTACATGAAAAAAACCCGTTTCCAACGAAGGCCTCTAAGTGGTCAAAATATCCACGTGCAGACTTTACAAACAGAGTGTTTCCAAACTGCTGAATGAAAAGAAAAGTTAAACTCTGAGAGTTGAACGCACACATCACAGAGCAGTTTCTGAGAATGATTCTGTCTAGTTTTTATACGAAGATATTTCCTTTTCTGCCTTTGGCCTCAAAGCGCTTGAAATCTCCACTTGCAAATTCCACAAAAAGAGTGTTTCAACTCTGCTCTGTGTAAATGAGAGTTCATCTCTGTGAGTTGAACACACACAACACAAGGAAGTTACTGGGAATTCTTCTGTCTAGCAGAATATGAAGAAATCCCGTTTCCAACGAAGGCCTCAAAGAGATCTGAATATCCACTTGCAGACTTTACAAACAGAGTGTTTCCTAACTGCTCTATGAAAAGAAAAGTTAAACTCTGTGAGTTGAACGCACACATCACAAAGGATTTTCTGAGAATCATTCTGTCTAGTCTTTATACGGAGATGTTTCCTTTTCTACCATTGACCTCAAAGCGGCTGAAATCTCCACTTGCAAATTCCACAAAAAGAGTGTTTCAAGTCGGCTCTGTGTAAAGGATTGTTCAAGTCTGTGAGTTGAATACACACAACACAAGGAAGTTACTGAGAATTATTCTGTCTAGCAGAATATGAAGAAATCCCGTTTCCAACGAAGGCCTCAAGGAGGTCTGAATATCCACTTGCAGACTTTACAAACAGAGTGTTTCCTAACTGCTCTATGAACAGAAAGGTTAAACTCCGTGAGTTGAACGAACACATCACAACGCAGTTTGTGGGAATGATTCTGTCTAGTTTTGAAACGAAGATATTTCCTTTTCTGCCATTGACCTTAAAGCGCTCGAAATCTACACTTGCAAATTGCACAAATAGAGTGTTTCAAATCTGCTCTAAGGGAACGTTCAACTCTGTGAGTTGAATGCACACAACACAAGGAAGTTACTGGGAATTCTTCTGTCTAGCCTTACATGAAAAAAACCCGTTTCCAACGAAGGCCTCTAAGTGGTCAAATTATCCACGTGCAGACTTTACAAACAGAGTGTTTCCGAACTGCTGAATGAAAAGCAAATTTAAACTCTGAGAGTTGAACGCACACATCGCAGAGCAGTTTCTGAGAATGATTCTGTCTAGTTTTTATACGAAGATATTTCCTTTTCTGCCTTTGGCCCCAAAGCGCTTGAAATCTCCACTTGCAAATTCCACAAAAACAGTGTTTCAAATCTGGTCTCTCTAAATGAAAGTTCAACTCTCACAGTTGAATACACACAACACAAGAAAGTTACTGAGAATTCTTCTGTCTAGCATAATATGAAGAAATCTCGTTTCCAACGAAGGCCTCAAAGAGGTCTGAATATCCACTTGCAGACTTTACAAACAGAGTGTTTCCTAACTGCTCTATGAAAAGAAAAGTTTAACTCTGTGTGTTGAACGCACACATCACAAAGGAGTTTCTGAGAATCATTCTGTCTAGTTTTTATAGGAAGATATTTCCTTTTCTACCATTGACCTCAAAGCGGCTGAAATCTCCACTTGCAAATTCCACAAAAAGAGTGTTTCAAGTCCGCTCTGTGTAAAGGAACGTTCAACTCTGTGAGTTGAATACACACAACACAAGGAAGTTACTGAGAATTCTTCTGTCTAGCAGAATATGAAGAAATCCCGTTTCCAACGAAGGCCACAAGATGTCAGAATATCCACTTACAGACTTTACAAACAGAGTGTTTCCTAACTGCTCTATGAACAGAAAGGTTAAACTCTGTGAGTTGAACGAACACATCACAACGCAGTTTGTGGGAATGATTCTGTCTAGTTTTGAAACGAAGATATTTCCTTTTCTGCCGTTGACCTCAAAGAGCTTGAAAACTACACTTGCAAATTGCACAAATAGAGTGTTTCAAATCTGCTCTGTCTAAGGGAACGTTCAACTCTGTGAGTTGAATGCACACAACACAAGGAAGTTACTGGGAATTCTTCTGTCTAGCCTTACATGAAAAAAACCCGTTTCCAACGAAGGTCTCTAAGTGGTCAAAATATCCACGTGCAGACTTTACAAACAGAGTGTTTCCAAACCGCTGAATGAAAAGAAAAGTTAAACTGCTGAGAGTTGAACGCACACATCACGCAGCAGTTTCTGAGAATGATTCTGTCTAGTTGTTATACGAAGATATTTCCTTTTCTGCCTTTGGCCCCAAAGCGCTTGAAATCTCCACTTGCAAATTCCACAAAAACAGTGTTTCAAATCTGCTCTCTCTAAATGAAAGTTCAACTCTGTCAGTTGAATACACACAACACAAGGAAGTTACTGAGAATTCTTCTGTCTAGCAGAATATGAAGAAATCCCGTTTCCAACGAAGGCCTCAACGAGGTCTGAATATCCACTTGCAGACTTTACAAGCAGAGTGTTTCCTAACTGCTCTATGAAAAGAAAGGTTAAACTCTGTGAGTTGAACACACACATCACAAAGAAGTTTCTGAGAATCATTCTGTCTAGTTTCTATAAGAAGATATTTCCTATTCTACCATTGACCTCAAAGCGGCTGAAATCTCCACTTGCAAATTCGACAAAAAGAGTGTTTCAAGCCTGCTCTCTGTAAAGGATCCTTCAACTCTGTGAGTTGAATACACACAACACAAAGAAGTTACTGAGAATTATTCTGTCTAGCAGAATATGAAGAAATCCCGTTTCCAACGAAGGCCTCAAAAGAGGTCTGAATATCCACTTGCAGACTTTACATACAGAGTGTTTCCTAACTGCTCTATGAAAAGAAAAGTTAAATTCTGTGAGTTGAACGCACACATCACAAAGGAGTTTTCTGAGAATCATTCTGTCTAGTTTTGAAACGAAGATATTTCCTTTTCTGCCATTGACCTCAAAGCGCTTGAAATCTCCACTTGCCAATTGCACAAAAAGAGTGTTTCAAATCTGCTCTGTTTAAGGGAACGTTCAACTCTGTGAGTTGAATGTACACAACACAAGGAAGTTACTGGGAATTCTTCTGTCTAGCCTTACATGAAAAAATCCCGTTTCCAACGAAGGTCTCTAAGTGGTCAAAATTTCCACGTGCAGACTTTACAAACAGAGTGTTTCCAAACCGCTGAATGAAAAGAAAAGTTAAACTCTGAGAGTTGATCGCACACATCACGCAGCAGTTTCTGAGAATGATTCTGTCTAGTCTTTATACGAAGATATTTACTTTTCTACCATTGACTTCAAATCGGCTGAAATCTCCACTTGCAAATTCCACAAAAAGGGTGTTTCAAGTCTGCTCTGTGTAAAGGATCATTCAAATCTGTGAGTTGAATAAACACAACACAAGGAAGTTACTGAGAATTCTTCTGTCTAGCATAATATGAAGAAATCCCGTTTCCAACGAAGGCCTAAAAGATGTCTGAATATCCACTTGCAGACTTTACAAACAGAGTGTTTCCTAACTGCGCTATGAAAAGAAAGGTTAAATTCTGTGAGTTGAACGCACACATCACAAAGGAGTTTATGAGAATCATTCTGTCTAGTTTCTATAGGAACATATTTCCTATTCTACCATTGACCTCAAAGCGGCTAAAATCTCCACTTGCAAATTCCACAAAAAGAATGTTTCAAGTCTGCTCTGTGTAAAGGATCGTTCAACTCTGTGAGTTGAATACACACAACACAAGGAAAGTTACTGAGAATTCTTCTGTCTAGCAGAATATGAAGAAATCCCGTTTCCAACGAAGGCCACAAGATGTCAGAATATCCACTTACAGACTTTACAAACAGAGTGTTTCCTAACTGCTCTATGAACAGAAAGGTTAAACTACTGTGAGTTGAACGAACACATCACAACGCAGTTTGTGGGAATGATTTCTGTCTAGTTTTTATAGGAAGATATTTCCTTTTCTACCTTTGACTTCAAAGCGGCTGAAATCTCCACTTGCAAATTCCAGAAAAAGAGTGTTACAAGTCTGCTTTGTGTAAAGGATCGTTCAACTCTGTGAGTTGAATACACACAACACAAGGAAGTTACTGAGAATTCTTCTGTCTAGCCTTACATGAAAAAAACCCGTTTCCAACGAAGGCCTCTAAGTGGTCAAATTATCCACGTGCAGACTTTACAAACAGAGTGTTTCCAAACTGCTGAATGAAAAGAAAAGTTAAACTCTGAGAGTTGAACGCACACATCGCAGAGCAGTTTCTGAGAATCATTCTGTCTAGTTTTTATACGAAGATATTTCCTTTTCTGCCTTTGGCCCCAAAGCGCTTGAAATCTCCACTTGCCAATTCCACAAAAACAGTGTTTCAAATCTGCTCTCTCTAAATGATAGTTCAACTCTGTCAGCTGAATACACACAACACAAGGAAGTTACTGAGAATTCTTCTGTCTAGCACAGTATGAAGAAATCCCGTTTCCAACGAAGGCCTCAAAGAGGTCTCAATATCCACTTGCAGAGTTTACAAACAGAGTGTTTCCTAACTGCTCTATGAAAAGAAAGGTTAAACTCTGTGAGTTGAACGCACACATCACAAAGAAGTTTCTGAGAATCATTCTGTCTAGTTTTTATAGGAAGATATTTCCTTTTCTACCTTTGACTTCAAAGCGGCTGAAATCTCCACTTGCAAATTCCACAAAAAGAGTGTTACAAGTCTGCTCTGTGTAAAGGATCGTTCAACCCTGTGAGTTGAATACACACAACACAAGGAAGTTACTGAGAATTCTTCTGTCTAGCAGAATATGAAGAAATCCCGTTTCCAACGAAGGCCACAAGATGTCAGAATATCCACTTACAGAATTGACAAACAGACTGTTTCCTAACTGCTCTATGAAAAGAAAGGTTAAACTCTGTGAGTTGAACGAACACATCACAACGCAGTTTGGGGGAATGATTCTCTGTAGTTTTGAAACGAAGATATTTCCTTTTCTGCCATTGACCTTAAAGCGCTTGAAATCTACACTTGCAAATTGCACAAATAGAGTGTTTCAAATCTGCTCTGTCTAAGGGAACGTTCAACTCTGTGAGTTGAATGCACACAACACAAGGAAGTTACTGGGAATTCTTCTGTCTAGCCTTACATGAAAAAAACCCGTTTCCAACGAAGGCATCTAAGTGGTCAAAATATCCACGTGCAGACTTTACAGAGTGTTTCCAAACCGCTGAATGAAAAGAAAAGTTAAACTCTGAGAGTTGAACGCACACATCACGCAGCAGTTTCTGAGAATGATTCTGTCTAGTTTTTATACGAAGATATTTCCTTTTCTGCCTTTGGCCCCAAAGCGCTTGAAATCTCCACTTGCAAATTCCACAAAAACAGTGTTTCAAATCTGCTCTCTCTAAATGAAAGTTCAACTCTGTCAGTTGAATACAAACAACACAAGGAAGTTACTGAGAATTCTTCTGTCTAGCATAGTATGAAGAAATCCCGTTTCCAACCAAGGCCTCAAAGAGGTCTGAACATCCACTTGCAGAGTTTACAAACAGAGTGTTTCCTAACTGCTCTATGAAAAGAAAGGTTAAACTCTGTGAGTTGAACGCACACATCACAAAGAAGTTTCTGAGAATCATTCTGTCTAGTTTCTATAGGAAGATATTTCCTATTCTACCATTGACCTCAAAGCGGCTGAAGTCTCCATATGCAAATTCCACAAAAAGAGTGTTTCAAGTCTGCTCTGTGTAAAGGATCGTTCAACTCTGTGAGTTGAATACACACAACACAAGGAAGTTACTGAGAATTCTTCTGTCTAGCATAATATGAAGAAATCCCGTTTCCAACGAAGGCCTCAAGGAGGTCTGAATATCCACTTGCAGACTTTACAAACAGTGTTTCCTAACTGCTCTATGAAAAGAAAGGTTAAACTGTGTGAGTTGAACGCACACATCACAAAAGAGTTTCTGAGAATCATTCTGTCTAGTTTTGAAACGAAGATATTTCCTTTTCTGCCATTGACCTTAAAGCGCTTGAAATCTCCATTTGCCAATTGCAAAAAAAGAGTGTTTCAAATCTGCTCTGTCTAAGGGAACGTTCAACTCTGTGAGTTGAATGTACACAACACAAGGAAGTTACTGGGAATTCTTCTGTCTAGCCTTACAGGTAAAAAAACCCGTTTCCAACGAAGGCCTCTAAGTGGTCAAGTTATCCACGTGCAGACTTTACAACCAGAGTGTTTCCAAACTGCTGAATGAAAAGAAAAGTTAAACTCTGAGAGTTGAACGCACACATCGCAGAGCAGTTTCTGAGAATGATTCTGTCTAGTTTTTATACGAAGATATTTCCTTTTCTGCCTTTGGCCCCAAAGCGCTTGAAATCTCCACTTGCCAATTCCACAAAAACAGTGTTTCAAATCTGCTCTCTCTAAATGATAGTTCAACTCTGTCAGTTGAATACACACAACACAAGGAAGTTACTGAGAATTCTTCTGTCTAGCAGAATATGAAGAAATCCCGTTTCCAAAGAAGGCCTCAAAGGGGTCTGAATATCCACTTGCAGACTTTATAAACAGAGTGTTTACTAGCTGCTCTATGAAAAGAAAGGTTAAACTCTGTGAGTTGAACACACACATCACAAAGGAGTTTCTGAGAATCATTCTGTCTAGTTTTTATAGGAAGATATTCCCTTTTCTACCTTTGACTTCAAAGCGGCTGAAATCTCCACTTGCAAATTCCACAAAAAGAGTGTTACAAGTCTGCTCTGTGTAAAGGATCGGTCAACTCTGTGAGTTGAATACACACAACACAAGGAAGTTACTGGGAATTCTTCTGTCTAGCAGAATATGAAGAAATCCCGTTTCCAATGAAGGCCACATGATGTCAGAATATCCACTTACAGAATTTACAAACAGACTGTTTCCTAACTGCTCTATGAAAAGAAAGGTTAAACTCTGTGAGTTGAACGAACACATCACAACGCAGTTTGTGGGAATGATTCTGTCTAGTTTTGAAACGAAGATATTTCCTTTTCTGCCATTGACCTTAAAGCGCTTGAAATCTCCACTTGCCAATTGCACAAAAAGTGTGTTTCAAATCTGCTCTGTCTAAGGGAACGTTCAACTCTGTGAGTTGAATGTACACAACACAAGGAAGTTACTGGGAATACTTCTGTCTAGCCTTACATGAAAAAAACCCGTTTCCAACGAAGGCCTCTAAGTGGTCAAGTTATCCACGTGCAGACTTTACAAACAGAGTGTTTCCAAACTTCTGAATGAAAAGAAAAGTTAAACTCTGAGAGTTGAACGCACACATCGCAGAGCAGTTTCTGAGAATGATTCTGTCTAGTTTTTCTACGAAGATATTTCCTTTTCTGCCTTTGGCCCCAAAGCGCTTGAAATCTCCACTTGCAAATTCCACAAAAACAGTGTTTCAAATCTGCTCTCTCTAAATGAAAGTTCAACTCTGTCAGTTGAATACACACAACACAAGGAAGTTACTGAGAATTCTTCTGTCTAGCATAATATGAAGAAATCCCGTTTCCAAAGAAGGCCTCAAAGAGGTCTGAATATCCACTTGCAGTCTTTACAAACGGAGTGTTTCCTAACTGCTCTATGAAAAGAAAGGTTAAACTCTCTGAGTTGAACGCACACATCACAAAGGAGTTTCTGAGAATCATTCTGTCTAGTTTCTATAGGAAGATATTTCCTATTCTACCATTGACCTCAAAGAGGCTGAAATCTCCACTTGCAAATTCCACAAAAAGAGTGTTTCAAGTCTGCTCTGTGTAAAGGATCGTTCAAATCTGTGAGTTGAATACTCACAACACAAGGAAGTTACTGAGAATTCTTCTGTCTAGCAGAATAGGAAGAAATCCCGTTTCCAACGAAGGCCACAAGATGTCAGAATATCCACTTGCAGACTTTACAAACAGAGTGTTTCCTAACTGCTCTATGAACAGAAAGGTTAAACTCTGTGAGTTGAACGAACACATCACAACGCAGTTTGTGGGAATGATTCTGTCTAGTTTTGAAACGAAGATATTTCCTTTTCTGCCGTTGACCTTAAAGCGCTTGAAATCTACACTTGCAAATTGCACAAATAGAGTGTTTCAAATCTGTTCTGTCTAAGGGAACGTTCAGCTCTGTGAGTTGAATGCACACAACACAAGGAAGTTACTGGGAATTCTTCTGTCTAGACTTACATGAAAATAACCCGTTTCCAACGAAGGCCTCTAAGTGGTCAAATTATCCACGTGCAGACTTTACAAACAGAGTGTTTCCAAACTGCTGAATGAAAAGAAAAGTTAAACTGTGAGAGTTGAACGCACACATCGCAGAGCAGTTTCTGAGAATGATTCTGTCTAGTTTTTATACGAAGATATTCCCTTTTCTACCATTGACCTCAAAGCGGCTGAAATCACCACTTGCCAATTGCACAAAAAGAGTGTTTCAAATCTGCTCTGTCTAAGGGAACGTTCAACTCTGTGAGTTGAATGTATACAACACAAGGAAGTTACTGGGAATTCTTCTGTCTAGCCTTACAAGAAAAAAACCCGTTTCCAACGAAGGCCTCAAAGAGGTCTGAATATCCACTTGCAGACTTTACAAACAGAGTGTTTCCTAACTGCTCTATGAAAAGAAAGGTTAAACTCTGTGAGTTGAACGCACACATCACAAAGGAGTTTCTGAGAATCATTCTGTCTAGTTTTTCTACGAAGATATTTCCTTTTCTACTATTGACCTCAAAGCGGCTGAAATCTACACTTGCAAATTCCACAAAAAGAGTGTTTCAAGTCTGCTCTGTGTAAAGGATCGTTCAACTCTGTGAGTTGAATACACACAACACAAGGAAGTTACTGAGAATTCTTCTGTCTAGCAGAATATGAAGAAATCCCATTTCCAACGAAGGCCACAAGATGTCAGAATATCCACTTACAGACTTTACAAACAGAGTGTTTCCTAACTGCTCTATGAACAGAAAGGTAAAACTCTGTGAGTTGAACGAACACATCACAACGCAGTTTGTGGGAATGATTCTGTCTAGTTTTAAAACGAAGATATTTCCTTTTCTGCCATTGACCTTAAAGCGCTTGAAATCTACAATTGCAAATTGCACAAATAGAGTGTTTCAAATGTGCTCTGTCTAAGGGAACGTTCAACTCTGTGAGTTGAATGCACACAACACAAGGAAGTTACTGGGAATTCTTCTGTCTAGCCTTACATGAAAAAAACCCTTTTCCAACGAAGGCCTCTAAGTGGTCAAAATATCCACGTGCAGACTTTACAGACAGAGTGTTTCCAAACCCCTGAATGAAAAGAAAAGTTAAACTCTGAGAGTTGAACGCACACATCACGCATCAGTTTCTGAGAATGATTCTGTCTAGTTTTGAAACGAAGATATTTCCTTTTCTGCCTTTGGCCTCAAATCGCTTGAAATCTCCACTTGCAAATTCCACAAAAAGAGTGTTTCAAATCTGCTCTGTGTAAATGGAAGTTCAACTCTGTGAGTTGAACACACACAACACAAGGAAGTTACTGGGAATTCTTCTGTCTAGCATAATATGAAGAAATCCCGTTTCCAACGAAGGCCTCAAAGGGGTCTGAATATCCACTTGCAGACTTTATAAACAGAGTGTTTACTAACTGCTCTATGAAAAGAAAGGTTAAACTCTGTGAGTTGAACACACACATCACAAAGGACTTTCTGAGAATGATTCTGTCTAGTCTTTATACGAAGATATTTCCTTTTCTACCATTGACCTCAAAGCGGCTGAAATCTCCACTTGCAAATTCCACAAAAAGAGTGTTTCAAGTCTGCTCTGTGTAAAGGATCGTTCAACTCTGTGAGTTAAATGCACACAACACAAGGAAGTTACTGAGAATTCTTCTGTCTAGCAGAATATGAAGAAATCCCGTTTCCAACGATGGCCACAAGATGTCAGAATATCCACTTACAGACTTTACAAACAGAGTGTTTCCTAACTGCTCTATGAACGGAAAGGTTAAACTCTGTGAGTTGAACGAACACATCACAACGCAGTTTGTGGGAATGATTCTGTCTAGTTTTGAAACGAAGATATTTCCTTTTCTGCCATTGACCTTAAAGCGCTTGAAATCTACACTTGCAAATTGCACAAATAGAGTGTTTCAAATCTGCTCTGTCTAAGGGAACGTTCAACTCTGTGAGTTGAATGCACACAACACAAGGAAGTTACGGGGAATTCTTCTGTCTAGCCTTACAGGAAAAAAACTCGTTTCCAACGAAGGCCTCTAAGTGGTCAAAATATCCACGTGCAGACTTTACAAACAGAGTGTTTCCAAACTGCTGAATGAAAAGAAAAGTTAAACTCTGAGAGTTGAACGCACACATCGCAGAGCAGTTTCTGAGAATGATTCTGTCTTGTTTTTCTACGAAGATATTCCCTTTTCTGCCTTTGGCCCCAAAGCGCTTGAAATCTCCACTTGCAAATTCCACAAAAACAGTGTTTCAAATCTGTTCTCTCTAAATGAAAGTTCAACTCTGTCAGTTGAATACACACAACACAAGGAAGTTACTGAGAATTCTTCTGTCTAGTCTTATATGAAAAAAACCCGTTTCCAACGAAGGCCTCAAAGAGGTCGGAATATCCACTTGCAGACTTTACAATCACAGTGTTTCCTAACTGCTCTACGAAAAGAAAGGTTAAACTCTGTGAGTTGAACACCCACATCACAAAGGAGTTTCTGAGAATCATTCTGTCTAGTTTTTATAGGAAGTTATTTCCTTTTCTACCTTTGACTTCAAAGCGGCTGAAATCTCCACTTGCAAATTCCACAAAAAGAGTGTTACAAGTCTGCTCTGTGTAAAGGATCGTTCAACTGTGTGAGTTGAATACACACAACACAAGGAAGTTACTGAGAATTCTTCTGTCTAGCAGAACATGAAGAAATCCCGCTTCCAACGAAGGCCTCAAAGAAGTCTGAATATCCACTTGCAGACATTACAAACAGAGTGTTTCCCAACTGCTCTATGAAAAGAAAGGTTGAACTCTGTGAGTTGAACGCACACATCACAAAGGAGTTTCTGAGAATCATTCTGTCTAGTTTTTATACGAAGATATTTCCTTTTCTACCATTGACCCCAAAGCGGCTGAAATCTCCACTTGCAAATTCCACAAAAAGAGTGTTTCAAGTCTGCTCTGTGTAAAGGATCGTTCAACTCTGTGAGTTGAATACACACAACACAAGGAAGTTACTGAGAATTCTTCTGTCTAGCAGAATATGAAGAAATCCCTTTTCCAACGAAGGCCACAAGATGTCAGAATATCCACTTACAGACTTTACAAACAGAGTGTTTCCTAACTGCTCTATGAACAGAAAGGTTAAACTCTGTGAGTTGAACGAACACTTCACAACGCAGTTTGTGGGAATGATTCTGTCTAGTTTTGAAACGAAGATATTTCCTTTTCTGCCGTTGACCTTAAAGCGCTTGAAATCTACACTTGCAAATTGCACAAATAGAGTTTTTCAAATCTGCTCTGTCTAAGGGAACGTTCAACTCTGTGAGTTGAATGCACACAACACAAGGAAGTTACTGGGAATTCTTCTGTCTAGCCTTACATGAAAAAAACCCGTTTCCAACGAAGGCATCTAAGTGGTCAAAATTTCCACGTGCAGACTTTACAAACAGAGTGTTTCCAAACCGCTGAATGAAAAGAAAAGTTAAACTCTGAGAGTTGAACGCACACATCACGCAGCAGTTTCTGAGAATGATTCTGTCTAGTTTTGAAACGAAGATATTTCCTTTTCTGCCTTTGGCCTCAAATCGCTTGAAATCTCCACTTGCAAATTCCACAAAAAGAGTGTTTCAAATCTGCTCTGTGTAAATGGAAGTTCAACTCTGTGAGTTGAACACACACAACACAATGAAGTTACTGGGAATTCTTCTGTCTAGCATAATATGAAGAAATGCCGTTTCCAAAGAAAGCCTCAAAGAGGACTGAGAATCCACTTGCAGACTTTACAAACAGAGTGTTTCCTAACTGCTCTATGAAAAGAAAGGTTAAACTCTGTGAGTTGAACGCACACATCACAAAGGAGTTTCTGAGAATCATTCTGTCTAGTTTTTATACGAAGATATTTCCTTTTCTACCATTGACCTCAACGCGGCTGAAATCTCCACTTGCAAATTCCACAAAAAGTGTGTTTCAAGTCCGCTCTGTGTAAAGGATCGTTCAACTCTGTGAGTTGAATACACACAACACAAGGAAGTTACTGAGAATTCTTCTGTCTAGCACAGTATGAAGAAATCCCGTTTCCAACGAAGGCCTCAAAGAGGTCTGAATATCCACATGCAGACTTTACAAACAGAGTGTTTCCTAACTGCTCTATGAAAAGAAAGGTTAAACTCTGTGAGTTGAACGCACACGTCACAATGAAGTTTCTGAGAATCATTCTGTCTAGTTTTGAAACGAAGATATTTCCTTTTCTGCCGTTGACCTTAAAGCGCTTGAAATCTACACTTGCAAATTGCACAAATAGAGTATTTCAAATCTGCTCTGTCTAAGGGAACGTTCAACTCTGTGAGTTGAATGCACACAACACAAGGAAGTTACTGGGAATTCTTCTGTCTAGCCTTACGTGAAAAAAACCCGTTTCCCACGAAGGCCTCTAAGTGGTCAAAATATCCACGGGCAGACTTTACAAACAGAGTGTTTCCAAACCGCTGAATGAAAAGAAAAGTTAAACTCTGAGAGTTGAACGCACACATCACGCAGCAGTTTCTGAGAATGATTCTGTCTAGTTTTTATAGGAATATATTTCCTTTTCTGCCTTTGGCCCCAAAGCGTTTGAAATCTCCACTTGCAAATTCCACAAAAACAGTGTTTCAAATCTGCTCTCTCTAAATGAAAGTTCAACTCTGTCAGTTGAATACACACAACACAAGGAAGTTCCCGAGAATTCTTCTGTCTAGCATAATAGGAAGAAATCCCGTTTCCAACGAAGGCCTCAAGGAGGTCTGAATATCCACTTGCAGACTCTACAAACAGAGTGTTTCCTAACTGCTCTATGAAAAGAAAGGTTAAACTCTGTGAGTTGAACGCACACATCACAAAGGAGTTACTGAGAATCATTCTGTCTAGTTTTTCTACGAAGATATTTCCTATTCTACTATTGACCTCAAAGCGGCTGAAATCTCCACTTGCAAATTCCACAAAAAGAGTGTTTCAAGTCTGCTCTCTGTAAAGGATCGTTCAACTCTGTGAGTTGAATACACACAACACAAGGAAGTTACTGAGAATTCTTCTGTCTAGCAGAATATGAAGAAATCCCGTTTCCAACGAAGGCCACAAGATGTCAGAATATCCACTTTCAGACTTTACAAACAGAGTGTTTCCTAACTGCTCTATGAACAGAAAGGTTAAACTCTGTGGGTTGAACGAACACATCACAACGCAGTTTGTGGGAATGATTCTGTCTAGTTTTGAAACGAAGATATTTCCTTTTCTGCCATTGACCTTAAAGCGCTTGAAATCTCCACTTGCCAATTGCACAAAAAGAGTGTTTCAAATCTGCTCTGTCTAAGGGAACGTTCAACTCTGTGAATTGAATGTACACAACACAAGGAAGTTACTGGGAATTCTTCTGTCTAGCCTTACATGAAAAAAAACCCGTTTCCAACGAAGGCCTCTAAGTGGTCAAAATATCCACGTGCAGACTTTACAAACAGAGTGTTTCCAAACCGCTGAATGAAAAGAAAAGTTAAACTCTGAGAGTTGAACGCACACATCACGCAGCAGTTTTCTGAGAATGATTCTGTCTAGTTTTTATACGAAGATATTTCCTTTTCTGCCTTTGGCCCCAAAGCGCTTGAAATCTCCACTTGCAAATTCCACAAAAACAGTGTTTCAAATCTGCTCTCTCTAAATGAAAGTTCAACTCTGTCAGTTGAATACACACAACACAAGGAAGTTAATGAGAATTCTTCTGTATAGCAGAATATGAAGAAATCCCGTTTCCAACGAAAGCCTCAAAGATGTCTGAATATCCACCTGCAGACATTACAAACAGAGTGTTTCCTAACTGCTCTATGAAAAGAAAGGTTAAACTCTGTGAGTTGAACGCACACATCACAAAGGAGTTTCTGAGAATCATTCTGTCTTGTTTCTATAGGAAGATATTTCCTATTCTACCATTGACCTCAAAGCGGCTGAAATCTCCACTTGCAAATTCCACAAAGAGAGTGTTTCAAGTCTGCTCTGTGTAAAGGATCGTTCAACTCTGTGAGTTGAATACACACAATACAAGGAAGTTACTGAGAATTCTTCTGTCTAGCAGAATATGAAGAAATCCCGTTTCCAACGAAGACGTCAAGGAGGTCTGAATATCCACTTGCAGACTTTAGAGAGTGTTTCCTAACTGCTCTATAAAAAGAAAGGTTAAACTCTGTGAGTTGAACGCACACATCACAAAGGAGTTTCTGAGAATCATTCTGTCTAGTTTTGAAACGAAGCATATTTCCTTTTCTGCCATTGACCTTAAAGCGCTTGAAATCTACACTTGCAAATTGCACAAATAGAGTGTTTCAAATCTGCTCTGTCTAAGGGAACGTTCAGCTCTGTGAGTTGAATGCACACAACACAAGGCAAGTTACTGGGAATTCTTCTGTCTACCCTTACATGAAAAAAACCCGTTTCCAACGAAGGCCTCTAAGTGGTCAAAATATCCACGTGCAGACTTTACAAACAGAGTGTTTCCAAACTGCTGAATGAAAAGAAACGTTAAACTCTGAGAGTTGAATGCACACATCACAGAGCATTTTCTGAGAATGATTCTGTCTAGTTTTTATACGAAGATATTTCCTGTTCTGCCTTTGGCCCCAAAGCGCTTGAAATCTCCACTTGCAAATTCCACAAAAACAGTGTTATAAATCTGCTCTCTCTAAATGAAAGTTCAACTCTGTCAGTTGAATACACACAACACAAGGAAGTTACTGAGAATTCTTCTGTCTAGCAGAATATGAAGAAATCCCGTTTCCCACGAAGGCCTCAAGGAGGTCAGAATATCCACTTGCAGACTTTACAAACAGAGTGTTTCCTAACTGCTCTATGAAAAGAAAGGTTAAACTCTGTGAGTTGAACGCACACATCACAAAGGAGTTTCTGAGAATCATTCTGTCTAATTTTTATATGAAGAT
Source organism: Homo sapiens (assembly GCF_000001405.40). Taxonomy (NCBI): domain Eukaryota; kingdom Metazoa; phylum Chordata; class Mammalia; order Primates; family Hominidae; genus Homo; species Homo sapiens. The sequence goes on along the minus strand of NC_000001.11, from coordinate 123,238,008 downwards.
ATTTCCTTTTCTACCACTGACCTCAAAGCGGCTGAAATCTCCACTTGCAAATTCCACAAAAAGAGTGTTTCAAATCTGCTCTGTGTAAATCATCGTTCAACTCTGTGAGTTGAATACACACAACACAAGGAAGATTCTGAGAATTCTTCTTTCCAGCAGAATATGAAGAAATCCCGTTTCCAACGAAAGCCTCAAGGATGTCTGAATATCCACTTGCAGACTTTACAAACAGAGTGTTTCCTAACTGCTCTATGAAAAGAAAGGTTAAACTCTGTGAGTTGAACGCACACATCACAAAGGAGTTTCTGAGAATCATTCTGTCTAGTTTTGAAACGAAGATATTTCCTTTTCTGCCGTTGACCATAAAGAGCTGGAAATCTACACTTGCAAATTGCACAAATAGAGTGTTTCAAATCTGCTCTGTCTAAGGGAACGTTCAACTCTGTGAGTTGAATGCACACAACACAAGGAAGTTACTGGGAATTCTTCTGTCTAGCCTTACAGGAAAAAAACCCGTTTCCAACGAAGGCCTCTAAGTGGTCAGAATATCCACGTGCAGACTTTAGAAACAGAGTTTTTCCACACTGCTGAATGAAAAGAAAAGTTAAACTCTGAGAGTTGAACGCACACATCACAGAGCAGTTTCTGAGAATGATTCTGTCTAGTTTCTATAGGAAGATATTTCCTATTCTACCATTGACCTCAAAGCGGCTGAAATCTCCACTTGCAAATTCCACAAAAAGAGTGTTTCAAGTCTGCTCTCTGTAAAGGATCGTTCAACACTGTGAGTTGAATACACACAACACAAGGAAGTTACTGAGAATTATTCTTTCTAGCAGAATATGAAGAAATCCCGTTTCCAACGAAAGCCTCAAGGATGTCTGAATATCCACTTGCAGACTTTACAAACAGAGTATTTCCTAACTGCTCTATGAAAAGAAAGGTTAAACTCTGTGAGTTGAACGCACACATCACAAAGGAGTTTCTGAGAATCATTCAGTCTAGTTTCTAAACGAAGATATTCCCTTTTCTACCATTGACCTCAAAGCGGCTGAAATCTCCACTTGCAAATTCCACAAAAAGAGTGTTTCAAGTCTGCCCTGTGTAAAGGATCGTTCAACTCTGTGAGTTGAATACACACAACACAAGGAAGTTACTGAGAATTCTTCTGTCTAGCAGAATATGAAGAAATCCCGTTTCCAACGAAGGCCACAAGATGTCAGAATATCCACTTACAGACTTTACAAACAGAGTGTTTCCTAACTGCTCTATGAACAGAAAGGTTAATCTCTGTGAGTTGAACGAACACATCACAACGCAGTTTGTGAGAATGATTCTGTCTTGTGTTGAAACGAAGATATTTCCTTTTCTGCCATTGACCTTAAAGCGCTTGAAATCTACACTTGCAAATTGCACAAATAGAGTGTTTCAAATCTGCTCTGTCTAATGGAACGTTCAACTCTTTGAGTTGAATGCACACAACACAAGGAAGTTACTGGGAATTCTTCTGTCTAGCCTTACATGAAAAAAACCCGTTTCCAACGAAGGCGTCTAAGTCGTCAAAATATCCAGGTGCAGACTTTACAAACAGAGTGTTTCCAAACCGCTGAATGAAAAGAAAAGTTAAACTCTGAGAGTTGAACGCACACATCATGCAGCAGTTTCTGAGAATGATTCTGTCTAGTTTTTATACGAAGACATTTCCTTTTCTGCCTTTGGCCGCAAATCGCTTGAAATCTCCACTTGCAAATTCCTCAAAAACAGTGTTACAAATCTGCTCTCTTTAAATGAAAGTTCAACTCTGTCAGTTGAATACACACAACACAAGGAAGTTACTGAAAATTCTTCTGTCTAGCCTTACATGAAAAAAACCCGTTTCCAACGAAGGCCTCAAAGAAGTCCAAATATCCACGTGCAGACTTTACAAACAGAGTGTTTCCTAACTGCTCTATGAAAAGAAAGGTTAAACTCTGTGAGTTGAACGCACACATCACAAAGGAGTTTCTGAGAATCATTCTGTCTAGTTTCTATACGAAGATATTCCCTTTTCTACCATTGACCTCAAAGCGGCTGAAATCTCCACTTGCAAATTCCACAAAAAGAGTATTTCAAGTCTGCTCTGTGTAAAGGATCGTTCAACTCTGTGAGTTGAATACACACAACACAAGGAAGTTACTGAGAATTCTTCTGTCTAGCAGAATATGAAGAAATTCCGTTTCCAACGAAGGCCACAAGATGTCAGAATATCCACTTACAGAATTGACAAACAGACTGTTTCCTAACTGCTCTATGAAAAGAAAGGTTAAACTCTGTGAGTTGAACGAACACATCACAACGCAGTTTGTGGGAATGATTCTGTCTAGTTTTGAAACGAAGATATTTCCTTTTCTGCCGTTGACCTTAAAGCGCTTGAAATCTACACTTGCAAATTGAACAAATAGAGTGTTTCAAATCTGCTCTGTCTAAGGGAACGTTCAACTCTGTGAGTTGAATGCACACAACACAAGGAAGTTACTGGGAATTCTTCTGTCTAGCCTTACATGAAAAAAACCCGTTTCCAACGAAGGCCTCTAAGTGGTCAAAATATCCACGTGCAGACTTTACAAACAGAGTGTTTCCAAACCGCTGAATGAAAAGAAAAGTTAAACTCTGAGAGTTGAACGCACAAATCACGCAGCAGTTTCTGAGAATGATTCTGTCTAGTTTTGAAACGAAGATATTTCCTTTTCTGCCTTTGGCCTCAAAGCGCTTGAAATCTCCACTTGCAAATTCCACAAAAAGAGAGTTTCAAATCTGCTCTGGGTAAATGAAAGTTCAACTCTGTGAGTTGAACACACACAACACAAGGAAGTTACTGGGAATTCTTCTTTCTAGCAGAACATGAAGAAATCCCGCTTCCAACGAAGGCCTCAAAGAAGTCTGAATATCCACTTGCAGACTTTACAAACAGAGTGTTTCCCAACTGCTCTATGAAAAGAAAGGTTGAACTCTGTGAGTTGAACGCACACATCACAAAGGAGTTTCTGAGAATCATTCTGTCTAGTTTTTCTACGAAGATATTTCCTTTTCTACTATTGACCTCAAAGCGGCTGAAATCTCCACTTGCAAATTCCACAAAAAGAGTGTTTCAAGTCTGCTCTGTGTAAAGGATCGTTCAACTCTGTGAGTTGAATACACACAACACAAAGAAGTTACTGAGAATTCTTCTGTCTAGCAGAATATGAAGAAATCCCGTTTCCAACGAAGGCCTCAAAGAGGTCTGAATATCCACTTGCAGACTTTACAAACAGAGTGTTTCCTAACTGCTCTATGAAAAGAAAGGTTAAACTCTGTGAGTTGAACGCACACATCACAAAGGAGTTTACTGAGAATCGTTCTGTCTAGTTTTTATAGGAAGATATTTCCTTTTCTACATTTGACTTCAAAGCGGCTGAAATCTCCACTTGCAAATTCCACAAAAAGAGTGTTACAAGTCTACTCTGTGTAAAGGATCGTTCAACTGTGTGAGTTGAATACACACAACACAAGGAAGTTACTGAGAATTCTTCTGTCTAGCCTTATATGAAAAAAACCCGTTTCCAACGAAGGCCTCTAAGTGGTCAAAATATCCACGTGCAGACTTTACAAACAGAGTGTTTCCAAACCGCTGAATGAAAAGAAAAGTTAAACTCTGAGAGTTGAACGCACACATCACGCAGCAGTTTCTGAGAATGATTCTGTCTAGTTTTTATACGAAGATATTTCCTTTTCTGCCTTTGGCCTCAAAGCGCTTGAAATCTCCACTTGCAAATTCCACAAAAAGAGTGTTTCAAATCTGCTCTGTGTAAATGAAAGTTCAACTCTGTGAGTTGAACACACACAACACAAGGAAGTTACTGAGAATTGTTCTGTCTAGCAGAATATGAAGAAATCCCGTTTCCAACGAAGGCCTCAAAGAGGTCTGAATATCCACTTGCAGACTTTACAAACAGAGTGTTTCCTAACTGCTCTATGAAAAGAAAGGTTAAACTCTGTGAGCTGAACGCACACATCACAAAGGAGTTTCTGAGAATCATTCTGTCTAGTTTCTATACGAAGATATTCCCTTTTCTACCATTGACCTCAAAGCGGCTGAAATCTCCACTTGCAAATTCCACAAAAAGAGTGTTTCATGTCTGCTCTGTGTAAAGGATCATTCAACTCTGTGAGTTGAATACACACAACACAAGGAAGTTACTGAGAATTCTTCTGTCTAGCATAGTATGAAGAAATCCCGTTTCCAACGAAGGCCTCAAAGAGGTCTGAATATCCACTTGCAGACTTTACAAACAGAGTGTTTCCAAACTGCTGAATGAAAAGAAAAGTTAAACTCTGAGAGTTGAACGCACACATCGCAGAGCAGTTTCTGAGAATGATTCTGTCTAGTTTTGAAACGAAGATATTTCCTTTTCTGCCGTTGACCTTAAAGCGCTTGAAATCTACACTTGCAAATTACACAAATAGAGTGTTTCAAATGTGCTCTGTCTAAGGGAACGTTCAACTCTGTGAGTTGAATGCACACAACACAAGGAAGTTACTGGGAATTCTTCTGTCTACACTTACATGAAAAAAACCCGTTTCCAAAGAAGGCCTCTAAGTGGTCAAAATATCCACGTGCAGACTTTACAAACAGAGTGTTTCCAAACTGCTGAATGAAAAGAAAAGTTAAACTCTGAGAGTTGAACGCACACATCACAGAGGATTTTCTGAGAATGATTCTGTCTAGTTTTTATACGAAGATATTTCCTTTTCTGCCTTTGGCCGCAAAGCGCTTGAAATCTCCACTTGCAAATTCCACAAAAACAGTGTTACAAATCTGCTCTCTCTAAATGAAAGTTCAACTCTGTCAGTTGAATACACACAACACAAGGAAGTTACTGAGAATTCTTCTGTCTAGCATAATATGAAGAAATCCCGTTTCCTACGAAGGCCTCAAAGAGGTCTGAATATCCACTTGCAGACTTTACAAACAGAGTGTTTCCTAACTGCTCTATGAAAAGAAAGGTTAAACTCTGTGAGTTGAGCGCACACATCACAAAGGAGTTTCTGAGAATCATTCTGTCTAGTCTTTATACGAAGTTATTTACTTTTCTACCATTGACCTCAAAGCGGCTGAAATCTCCACTTGCAAATTCCACAAAAAGAGTGTTTCAAGTCTGCTCTGTGTAAAGGATCGTTCAACTCTGTGAGTTGAATACACACAACACAAGGAAGTTACTGAGAATTCTTCTGTCTAGCAGAATATGAAGAAATCCCGTTTCCAACGAAGGCCACAAGATGTCAGAATATCCACTTACAGAATTTACAAACAGACTGTTTCCTAACTGCTCTATGAAAAGAAAGGTTAAACTCTGTGAGCTGAACGAACACATCACAACGCAGTTTTTGGGAATGATTCTGTCTAGTTTTGAAACGAAGATATTTCCTTTTCTGCCATTGACCTTAAAGCGCTTGAAATCTACACTTGCAAATTGCACAAATAGAGTGTTTCAAATCTGCTCTGTCTAAAGGAACGTTCAACTCTGTGAGTGGAATGCACACAACACAAGGAAGTTACTGGGAATTCTTCTGTCTAGCCTTACAGGAAAAAACCCGTTTCCAACGAAGGCCTCTAAGTGGTCAAATTATCCACGTGCAGACTTTACAAACAGAGTGTTTCCAAACTGCTGAATGAAAAGAAAAGTTAAACTCTGAGAGTTGAACGCACACATCGCAGAGCAGTTTCTGAGAATGATTCTGTCTAGTTTTTATACGAAGATATTTCCTTTTCTGCCTTTGGCCTCAAAGCGCATGAAATCTACCTTTGCAAATTCCACAAAAAGAGTGTCTCAAATCTGCTCTGTCTAAATGAAAGTTCAACTCTGTCAGTTGAATACACACAACACAAGGAAGTTACTGAGAATTCTTCTGTCTAGCCTTATATGAAAAAAACCCATTTCCAACGAAGGCCTCAAAGAGGGCTGAATATCCACTTGCAGACTTTACAAGCAGAGTGTTTCCTAACTGCTCTATGAAAAGAAAGGTTAAACTCTGTGAGTTGAACGCACACATCACAAAGGAGTTTCTGAGAATCATTTCTGTCTAGTCTTTATACGAAGATATTTCCTTTTCTACCATTGACCTCAAAACGGCTGAAATCTCCACTTGCAAATTCCACAAAAAGTGTGTTTCAAGTCTGCTCTGTGTAAAGGATCGTTCAACTCTGTGAGTTGAATACACACAACACAAGGGAAGTTACTGAGAATTCTTCTGTCTAGCAGAATATGAAGAAATCCCGTTTCCAACGAAGGCCACAAGATGTCAGAATATCCACTTACAGAGTTTTCAAACAGACTGTTTCCTAACTGCTCTATGAAAAGAAAGGTTAAACTCTGTGAGTTGAACGAACACATCACAACGCAGTTTGTGGGAATGATTCTGTCTAGTTTTGAAACGAAGATATTTCCTTTTCTGCCGTTGACCTTAAAGCGCTTGAAATCTACACTTGCAAATTGCACAAATAGAGTGTTTCAAATCTGCTCTGTCTAAGGGAACGTTCAACTCTGTGAGTTGAATGCACACAACAGAAGGAAGTTACTGGGAATACTTCTGTCTAGCCTTACATGAAAAAAACCCGTTTCCAACGAAGGCCTCTAAGTGGTCAAAATTTCCACATGCAGACTTTACAAACAGAGTGTTTCCAAACCGCTGAATGAAAAGAAAAGTTAAACTCTGAGAGTTGAACGCACACATCACGCAGCAGTTTCTGAGAATGACTCTGTCTAGTTTTGAAACGAAGATATTTCCTTTTCTGCCTTTGGCCTCAAAGCGCTTGAAATCTCCACTTGCAAATTCCACAAAAAGAGTGTTTCAAATCTGCTCTGTGTAAGTGAAAGTTCAACTCTGTGAGTTGAACACACACAACACAAGGAAGTTACTGGGAATTCTTCTTTCTAGCAGAATATGAAGAAATCCCGTTTCCAACGAAAGCCTCAAAGATGTCTGAATATCCACTTGCAGACTTTACAAACAGAGTGTTTCCTAACTGCTCTATGAAAAGAAAGGTTAAACTCTGTGAGTTGAACGCACACATCACAAAGGAGTTTCTGAGAATCATTCTGTCTAGTTTTTATACGAAGATATTTCCTTTTCTACCATTGACCTCAAAGCGGCTGAAATCTCCACTTGCAAATTCCACAAAAAGAGTGTTTCAAGTCTGCTCTGTGTAAAGGATCGTTCAACTCTGTGAGTTGAATACACACAACACGCGGAAGTTACTGAGAATTCTTCTGTCTAGCAGAATATGAAGAAATCCCGTTTCCAACGAAGGCCACAAGATGTCAGAATATCCACTTACAGAATTTTCAAACAGACTGTTTCCTAACTGCTCTATGAAAAGAAAGGTTAAACTCTGTGAGTTGAACGAACACATCACAACGCTGTTTGTGGGAATGATTCTGTCTAGTTTTGAAACGAAGATATTTCCTTTTCTGCCATTGACCTTAAAGCGCTTGAAATCTCCATTTGCCAATTGCACAAAAAGAGTGTTTCAAATCTGCTCTAAGGGAACGTTCAACTCTGTGAGTTGAATGTACACAACACAAGGAAGTTACTGGGAATTCTTCTGTCTAGCCTTACATGAAAAAAACCCGTTTCCAACGAAGGCCTCTAAGTGGTCAAGTTATCCACGTGCAGACTTTACAAACAGAGTGTTTCCAAACTTCTGAATGAAAAGAAAAGTTAAACTCTGAGAGTTGAACGCACACATCGCAGAGCAGTTTCTGAGAATGATTCTGTCTAGTTTTTATACGAAGATATTTCCTTTTCTGCCTTTGGCCCCAAAGCGTTTGAAATCTCCACTTGCAAATTCCACAAAAACAGTATTTCAAATCTGCTCTCTCTAAATGAAAGTTCAACTCTGTCAGTTGAATACACACAACACAAGGAAGTTACTGAGTATTCTTCTCTCTAGCATAATATGAAGAAATCCCGTTTCCTACGAAGGCCTCAAAGAGGTCTGAATATCCACTTGCAGACTTTACAAACAGAGTGTTTCCTAACTGCTCTATGAAAAGAAAGGTTAAACTCTGTGAGTTGAGCGCACACATCACAAAGGAGTTTCTGAGAATCATTCTGTCTAGTTTCTATAGGAAGATATTTCCTATTCTACCATTGACCTCAAAGCGGCTGAAATCTCCACTTGCAAATTCCACAAAAAGAGTGTTTCAAGTCTGCTGTGTGTAAAGGATCGTTCAACTCTGTGAGTTGAATACACACAACACAAGGAAGTTACTGAGAATTCTTCTGTCTAGCAGAATATGAAGAAATCCCGTTTCCAACGAGGGCCACAAGGATGTCAGAATATCCACTTACAGACTTTACAAACAGTGTGTTTCCTAACTGCTCTATGAACGGAAAGGTTAAACTCTGTGAGTTGAACGAACCCATCACAACGCAGTTTGTGGGAATGATTCTGTCTAGTTTTGAAACGAAGATATTTCCTTTTCTGCCATTGACCTTAAAGCGCTTGAAATCTCCATTTGCCAATTGCACAAAAAGAGTGTTTCAAATCTGCTCTGTCTAAGGGAACGTTCAACTCTGTGAGTTGAATGTACACAACACAAGGAAGTTACGGGGAATTCTTCTGTCTAGGCTTACATGAAAAAAACCCGTTTCCAACGAAGGCCTCTAAGTGGTCAAATTATCCACGTGCAGACTTTACAAACAGAGTGTTTCCAAACTGCTGAATGAAAAGCAAAGTTAAACTCTGAGAGTTGAACGCACACATCGCAGAGCAGTTTCTGAGAATGATTCTGTCTAGTTTTGAAACGAAGATATTTCCTTTTCTGCCTTTGGCCTCAAAGCGCTTGAAATCTCCACTTGCAAATTCCACAAAAAGAGTGTTTCAAATCTGCTCTGGGTAAATGAAAGTTGAACTCTGTGAGTTGAACACACACAACACAAGGAAGTTACTGGGAATTCTTCTTTCTAGCAGAATATGAAGAAATCCCGTTTCCAACGAAAACCTCAAGGATATCTGAATATCCACTTGCAGACTTTACAAACAGAGTGTTTCCTAACTGCTCTATGAAAAGAAAGGTTAAACTCTGTGAGTTGAACGCACACATCACAAAGGAGTTTCTGAAAATCATTCTGTCTAGTTTTTCTACGAAGATATTTCCTTTTCTACTATTGACCTCAAAGCGGCTGAAATCTCCACTTGCAAATTCCACAAAAAGAGTGTTTCAACTCTGCTCTGTGTAAAGGATCGTTCAACTCCGTGAGTTGAATACACACAACAAAAGGAAGTTACTGAGAATTCTTCTGTCTAGCAGAATATGAAGAAATCCCGTTTCCAACGAAGGCCACAAGCTGTCAGAATATCCACTTACAGAATTTTCAAACAGACTGTTTCCTAACTGCTCTATGAAAAGAAAGGTTAAACTCCGTGAGTTGAACGAACACATCACAACGCAGTTTGTGGGAATGATTCTGTCTAGTTTTTATAGGAAGATATTTCCTTTTCTACCTTTGACTTCAAAGCGGCTGAAATCTCCACTGGCAAATTCCACAAAAAGGGTGTTACAAGTCTGCTCTGTGTAAAGGATCGTTCAACTCTGTGAGTTGAATACACACAACACAAGGAAGTTACTGAGAATTCTTCTGTCTAGCCTTACATGAAAAAAACCCGTTTCCAACGAAGGCCTCTAAGTGGTCAAGTTATCCACGTGCAGACTTTACAAACAGAGTGTTTCCAAATTGCTGAATGAAAAGAAAAGTTAAGCTCTGAGAGTTGAACGCACACATCGCAGAGCAGTTTCTGAGAATGATTCTGTCTAGTTTTTATACGAAGATATTTCCTTTTCTGCCTTTGGCCCCAAAGCGCTTGAAATCTCCACTTGCAAATTCCACAAAAACAGTGTTTAAAATCTGCTCTCTCTAAATGAAAGTTCAACTCTGTCAGTTGAATACACACAACACAAGGAAGTTACTGAGAATTCTTCTGTCTAGCCTTATATGAAAAAAACCCGTTTCCAACGAAGGCCTCAAAGAGGTCTGAATATCCACTTGCAGACTTTACAAACAGAGTGTTTCCTAACTCCTCTATGAAAAGAAAGGTTAAACTCTGTGAGTTGAACGCACACATCACAAAGGAGTTTCTGAGAATCATTCTGTCTAGTTTTTATACGAAGATATTTCCTTTTCAACAATTGACCTCAAAGCGGCTGAAATCTCCACTTGCAAATTCCACAAAAAGAGTGTTTCAAGTCTACTCTGTGTAAAGCATCGTTCAACTCTGTGAGTTGAAATTACACAACACAAGGAAGTTTCTGAGAATTCTTCTGTCTAGCCTTATATGAAAAAACCCCGTTTCCAACGAAGGCCTCAAAGAGGTCTGAATATCCACTTGCAGACTTTACAAACAGAGTGTTTCCTAACTGCTCTATGAAAAGAAAGGTTAAACTCTGTGAGTTGAACACACACATCACAAACGAGTTTCTGAGAATCATTCTGTCTAGTTTTTATAGGAAGATATTTCCTTTTCTACCTTTGACTTCAAAGCGGCTGAAATCTCCACTTGCAAATTCCACAAAAAGAGTGTGACAAGTCTGCTCTGTCTAAGGGAACGTTCAACTCTGTGAGTTGAATGTACACAACACACGGAAGTTACTGGGAATTCTTCTGTCTAGCCTGACAGGAAAAAAACCCGTTTCCAACGAAGGCCTCTAAGTGGTCAAAATATCCACGTGCAGACTTTACAAACAGAGTGTTTCCAAACTGCTGAATGAAAAGAAAAGTTAAACTCTGAGAGTTCGAACGCACACATCGCAGAGCAGTTTCTGAGAATGATTCTGTCTAGTTTTCATACGAAGATATTTCCTTTTCTGCCTTTGGCCCCAAAGCGTTTGAAATCTCCACTTGCAAATTCCACAAAAACAGTATTTCAAATCTGCTCTCTCTAAATGAAAGTTCAACTCTGTCAGTTGAATACACACAATACAAGGAAGTTACTGAGAATTCTTCTGTCTAGCAGAATATGAAGAAATCCCGTTTCCAACGAAGGCCTCAAAGAGGTCTGAATATCCACTTGCAGACTTTACAAACAGAGTGTTTCCTAACTGCTCTATGAAAAGAAAGGTTAAACTCTGTGAGTTGAACTCACACATCACAAAGGAGTTTCTGAGAATCATTCTGTCTAGTCTTTATACGAAGATATTTCCTTTTCTACCATTGACCTCAAAGCGGCTGAAATCTCCACTTGCAAATTCCACAAAAAGAGTGTTTCAACTCTGCTCTCTGTAAAGGATCGTTCAACTCTGTGAGTTGAATACACAAAACACAAGGAAGTTACTGAGAATTATTCTGTCTAGCATAATATGAAGAAATCCCGTTTCCAACGAAGGCCGCAAGATGTCAGAATATCCACTTACAGACTTTACAAACAGAGTGTTTCCTAACTGCTCTATGAACAGAAAGGTTAAACTCTGTGAGTTGAACGAACACATCACAACGCAGTTTGTGGGAATGATTCTGTCTAGTTTAGAAACGAAGATATTTCCTTTTCTGCCTTTGACCTTAAAGCGCTTGAAATCTACACTTGCAAATTGCACAAATAGAGTGTTTCAAATCTGCTCTGTCTAAGGGAACGTTCAACTCTGTGAGTTGAATGCACACAACACAAGGAAGTTACTGGAAATTCTTCTGTGTAGCCTTACATGAAAAAAAACCCGTTTCCAACGAAGGCCTCTAAGTGGTCAAAATATCCACGTGCAGACTTTATAAACAGAGTGTTTCCAAACCGCTGAATGAAAAGAAAAGTTAAACTCTGAGAGTTGAACGCACACATCACGCAGCAGTTTCTGAGAATGATTCTGTCTAGTTTCTATAGGAAGATATTTCCTATTCTACCATTGACCTCAAAGCGGCTGAAATCTCCACTTGCAAATTCCACAAAAAGAGTGTTTCAAGTCTGCTACTGTGTAAAGGATCGTTCAACTCTGTGAGTTGAATACACACAACACAAGGAAGTTACTGAGAATTCTTCTTTCTGGCAGAATATGAAGAAATCCCGTTTCCAACGAAAGCCTCAAGGATGTCTGAATATCCACTTGCAGACTTTACAAACAGAGTGTTTCCTAACTGCTCTATGAAAAGAAAGGGTAAACTCTGTGAGTTGAACGCACACATCACAAAGGAGTTTCTGAGAATCATTCTGTCTAGTTTCTATAGGAAGATATTTCCTATTCTACTATTGACCACAAAGCGGCTGAAATCTCCACTTGCAAATTCCACAAAAAGAGTGTTTCAAGTCTGCTCTGTGTAAAGCATCGTTCAACTCTGTGAGTTGAATACACACAACACAAGGAAGTTACTGAGAATTCTTCTGTCTAGCAGAACATGAAGAAATCCCACTTCCAACGAAGGCCTCAAAGAAGTCTGAATATCCACTTGCAGACTTTACAAACAGAGTGTTTCCCAACTGCTCTATGAAAAGAAAGGTTGAACTCTGTGAGTTGAACGCACACATCACAAAGGAGTTTCTGAGAATCATTCTGTCTAGTTTTTATACGAAGATATTTCCTTTTCTACCATTGACCTCAAAGCGGCTGAAATCTCCACTTGCAAATTCCAATAAAAAGAGTGTTTCTAATCTGCTCTGTGTGAAGGATCGTTCAACTCTGTGAGTTGAATGCACACAACACAAGGAAGTTACTGGGAATTCTTCTGTCTAGCAGAATATGAAGAAATCCCGTTTCCAACGAAGGCCTCAAGATGTCAGAATATCCACTTACAGACTTTACAAACAGAGTGTTTCCTAACTGCTCTATGAACAGAAAGGTTAAACTCTGTGAGTTGAACGAACACATCACAACGCAGTTTGTGGGAATGATTCTGTCTAGTTTTTATAGGAAGATATTTCCTTTTCTACCTTTGACATCAAAGCGGCTGAAATCTCCACTTGCAAATTCCACAAAAAGAGTGTTACAAGTCTGCTCTGTGTAAAGGATCGTTCAACTCTGTGAGTTGAATACACACGACACAAGGAAGTTACTGAGAATTCTTCTGTCTAGCCTTACATGAAAAAAACCCGTTTCCAACGAAGGCCTCTAAGTGGTCAAATTGTCCACGTGCAGATTTTACAAACAGAGTGTTTCCAAACAGCTGAATGAAAAGAAAAGTTAAACTCTGAGAGTTGAACGCACACATCGCAGAGCAGTTTCTGAGAATGATTCTGTCTAGTTTTTATACGAAGATATTTCCTTTTCTGCCTTTGGCCCCACAGCGCTTGAAATCTCCACTTGCAAATTCCACAAAAACAGTGTTTCAAATCTGCTCTCTCTAAATGAAAGTTCAACTCTGTCAGTTAAAAACACACAACACAAGGAAGTTACTGAGAATTCTTCTGTCTAGCACAGTATGAAGAAATCCCGTTTCCAACGAAGGCCTCAAATAGGTCTGAATATCCACTTGCAGAGTTTACAAACAGAGTGTTTCCTAACTGCTCCATGAAAAGAAAGGTTAAACTCTGTGAGTTGAACGCACACATCACAAAGAAGTTTCTGAGAATCATTCTGTCTTGTTTCTATACGAAGATATTTCCTTTTCTACCATTGACCTCAAAGCGGCTGAAATCTCCACTTGCAAATTCCACAAAAAGAGAGTTTCAAGTCTGCTCTGTGTAAAGGATCGTTCAACTCTGTGAGTTGAATACACACAACACAAGGAATTTACTGAGAATTCTTCTGTCTAGCAGAATATGAAGAAATCCCGTTTCCAACGAAGGCCTCAAGGACGTCTGAATATCCACTTGCAGACTTTACAAACAGAGTGTTTCCTAACTGCTCTATGAAAAGAAAGGTTAAACTGTGTGAGTTGAACGCACACATCACAAAGGAGTTTCTCAGAATCATTCTGTCTAGTTTTTATACGAAGATATTTCCTTTTCTACCATTGACCTCAAAGCGGCTGAAATCACCACTTGCCAATTGCACAAAAAGAGTGTTTCAAATCTACTCTGTCTAAGGGAACGTTCAAATGTGTGAGTTGAATGTACGCAAAACAAGGAAGTTCCTGGGAATTCTTCTGTCTAGCCTTACAGGAAAAAAACCCGTTTCCAACGAAGGCCTCTAAGTGGTCAAAATATCCACGTGCAGACTTTACAAACAGAGTGTTTCCAAACTGGTGAATGAAAAGAAAAGTTAAACTCTGAGAGTTGAACGCACACATCGCAGAGCAGTTTCTGAGAATGATTCTGTCTAGTTTTTATACGAAGATATTTCCTTTTCTGCCTTTGGCCACAAAGCGCTTGAAATCTCCACTTGCAAATTCCACAAAAACAGTGTTTCAAATCTGCTCTCTCTAAATGAAAGTTCAACTCTGTGAGTTGAATACACACAACACAAGGAAGTTACTGAGAATTCTTCTGTCTAGCAGAATATGAAGAAATCCCGTTTCCAACGAAGGCCTCAAAGAGGTCTAAATATCCCCTTGCAGACTTTACAAACAGAGTGTTTCCTAACTGCTCTATGAAAAGAAAGGTTAAACTCTGTGAGTGGAACGCACACATCACAAATGGGTTTCTGAGAATCATTATGTCTAGTTTTTCTACGAAGATATTTCCTTTTCTACTATTGACCTCAAAGTGGCTGAAATCTCCACTTGCAAATTCCACAAAAAGAGTGTTTCAAGTCTGCTCTGTGTAAAGGATCGTTCAACTCTGTGAGTTGAATACACACAACACAAGGAAGTTACTGAGAATTCTTCTGTCTAGCATAATATGAAGAAATCCCGTTTCCAACGAGGGCCTCACAGAGGTCTGAATATCCACTTGTAGACTTTACAAACAGAGTGTTTCCTAACTGCTCTATGAAAAGAAAAGTTAAACTCTGTGAGTTGAACGCACACATCACAGAGGAGTTTCTGAGAATCATTCTGTCTAGTTTTGAAACGAAGATATTTCCTTTTCTGCCATTGACCTTAAAGAGCTTGAAAACTACACTTGCAAATTGCACAAATAGAGTGTTTCAAATCTGCTCTGTCTAAGGGAACGTTCAACTCTGTGAGTTGAATGCACACAACACAAGGAAGTTACTGGGAATTCTTCTGTCTAGCCTTACATGAAAAAAACCCGTTTCCAACGAAGGCCTCTAAGTGGTCAAAATTTCCACGTGCAGACTTTACAAACAGAGTGTTTCCAAACCGCTGAATGAAAAGAAAACTTAAACTCTGAGAGTTGAACGCACACATCACGCAGCAGTTTCTGAGAATGATTCTGTCTAGTTTTGAAACGAAGATATTTCCTTTTCTGCCTTTGGCCTCAAAGCCCTTGAAATCTCCACTTGCAAATTCCACAAAAAGAGTGTTTCAAATCTGCTCTGTGTAAATGAAAGTTCAACTCTGTGAGTTCAACACACAAAACACAAGGAAGTTACTGGAATTCTTCTGTCTAGCATAATATGAAGAAATCCCGTTTCCAACGAAGGCCTCAAGGAGGTCTGAATATCCACTTGCAGACTTTAAAAACAGAGTGTTTCCTAACTGCTCTATGAAAAGAAAGGTTAAACTCTGTGAGTTGAACGCACACATCACAAAGGAGTTTCTCAGAATCATTCTGTCTAGTTTTTATACGAAGATATTTCCTTTTCTACCATGGACCTCAAAGCGGCTGAAATCTCCACTTGCAAATTCCACAAAAAGAGAGTTTCAAGTCTGCTCTGTGTAAAGGATCGTTCAACTCTTTGAGTTGAATACACACAACACAAGGAAGATTCTGAGAATTCTTCTGTCTAGCAGAATATGAAGAAATCGCGTTTCCAACGAAGGCCACAAGATGTCAGAATATCCACTTACAGAATTTACAAACAGACTGTTTCCTAACTGCTCTATGAAAAGAAAGGTTAAACTCTGTGAGTTGAACGAACACATCACAACGCAGTTTGTGGGAATGATACTGTCTAGTTTTGAAACGAAGATATTTCCTTTTCTGCCATTGACCTTAAAGCGCTTGAAATCTACACTTGCAAATTGCACAAATAGAGTGTTTCAAATCTGCTCTGTCTAAGGGAACGTTCATCTCTGTGAGTTGAATGCACACAACACAAGGAAGTTACTGGGAATTCTTCTGTCTAGCCTTACAGGAAAAAAACCCGTTTCCAACGAAGGTCTCTAAGTGGTCAAAGTATCCACCTGCAGACTTTACAAACAGAGTGTTTCCAAACTGCTGAATGAAAAGAAAAGTTAAACTCTGAGAGTTGAACGCACACATCGCAGAGCAGTTTCTGAGAATGATTCTGTCTAGTTTTTATACGAAGATATTTCCTTTTCTGCCTTTGGCCTCAAAGCGCTTGAAATCTCCACTTGCAAATTCCACAAAAAGAGTGTTTCAAATCTGCTCTGTGTAAATCAAAGTTCAACTCTGTGAGTTGAACACACACAACACAAGGAAGTTACTGGGAATCTTCTGTCTAGCAGAATATGAAGAAATCCCGTTTCCAACGAAGGCCTCAAAGAGGTCTGAATATCCACTTGCAGACTTTACAAACAGAGTGTTTCCGAACTGCTCTATGAAAAGAAAGGTTAAACTCTGTGAGCTGAACGCACACATCACAAAGGAGTTTCTGAGAATCATTCTGTCTAGTTTTTATAGGAAGATATTTCCTTTTCTACCTGTGACTTCAAAGCGGCTGAAATCTCCACTTGCAAATTACACAAAAAGAGTGTTACAAGTCTGCTCTGTGTAAAGGATCGTTCAACTCTGTGAGTTGAATACACACAACACAAGGAAGTTACTGAGAATTCTTCTGTCTAGCAGAATATGAAAAAATCCCGTTTCTAACGAAGGCCACAAGATGTCAGAATATCCACTTACAGACTTTACAAAAAGAGTGTTTCCTAACTGCTCTATGAACAGAAAGGTTAAACTCTGTGAGTTGAACGAACACATCACAACGCAGTTTGTGGGAATGATTCTGTCTAGTTTTGAAACGAAGATATTTCCTTTTCTGCCGTTGACCTTAAAGAGCTTGAAAACTACAATTGCAAATTGCACAAATAGAGTGTTTCAAATCTGCTCTGTCTAAGGGAACGTTCAACTCTGTGAGTTGAATGCACACAACACAAGGAAGTTACTGGGAATTCTTCTGTCTAGCCTTACATGAAAAAAACCCGTTTCCAACGAAGGCCTCTAAGCGGTCAAATTATGCAAGTGCAGACTTTACAAACAGAGTGTTTCCAAACTGCTGAATGAAAAGAAAAGTTAAACTCTGAGAGTTGAACGCACACATCGCAGAGCAGTTTCTGAGCATGATTCTGTCTAGTTTTGGCCCCAAAGCGCTTGATATCTCCACTTGCAAATTCCACAAAAAGAGTGTTTCAAGTCTGCTCTGTGTAAAGGATCGTTCAACTCTGTGAGTTGAATACACACAACACAAGGAAGTTACTGAGAATTCTTCTGTCTAGCATAATATGAAGAAATCCCGTTTCCAACGAAGGCCTCAAAGGGGTCTGAATATCCACTTGCAGACTTTATAAACAGAGTGTTTACTAACTGCTCTATGAAAAGAAAGGTTAAACTCTGTGAGTTGAACACACACATCACAAAGGAGTTTCTAAGAATCATTCTGTCTAGTTTCTATAGGAAGATATTTGCTATTCTACCATTGACCTCAAAGCGGCTGAAATCTCCACTTGCAAATTCCACAAAAAGAATGTTTCAACTCTGCTCTGTGTAAAGGATCGTTCAACTCTGTGAGTTGAATACACACAACACAAGGAAGTTACTGAGAATTCTTCTGTCTAGCAGAATATGAAGAAATCCCGTTTCCAACGAAGGCCACAAGATGTCAGAATATCCACTTACAGACTTCACAAACAGAGTGTTTCCTAACTGCTCTATGAAGAGAAAGCTTAAACTCTGTGGGTTGAACGAACACATCACAACGCAGTTTGTGGTAATGATTCTGTCTAGTTTTGAAACGAAGATATTTCCTTTTCTGCCGTTGACCTTAAAGAGCTTGAAAACTACACTTGTAAGTTGCACAAATAGAGTGTTTCAAATCTGCTCTGTCTAAGGGAACGTTCAACTCTGTGAGTTGAATGCACACAACACAAGGAAGTTACTGGGAATTCTTCTGTCTAGCCTTACAGGAAAAAAACCCGTTTCCAACGAAGGCCTCAAAGAGGTCTGAATATCCACGTGCAGTCTTTACAAACAGAGTGTTTCCTAACTGCTCTATGAAAAGAAAGTTTTAACTCTGTGAGTTGAACGCATAAATCACAAAGAAGTTTCTGAGAATCATTCTGTCTAGTTTTTATACGAAGATATTTCCTTTTCTGCCTTTGGCCCCAAAGCGCTTGAAATCTCCACTTGCAAATTCCACAAAAACAGTGTTTCAAATCTGCTCTCTCTAAATGAAAGTTCAACTCTGTCAGTTGAATACACAAAACACAAGGAAGTTACTGAGAATTCTTCTGTCTAGCAGAAGATGAAGAAATCCCGCTTCCAACGAAGGCCTCAAGGAGGTCTGAATATCCACTTGCAGACTTTACAAACAGAGTGTTTCCCAACTGCTCTATGAAAAGAAAGGTTGAACTCTGTGAGTTGAACGCACACATCACAAAGGAGTTTCTGAGAATCATTCTGTCTAGTTTTTCTACGAAGATATTTCCTTTTGTACTATTGACCTCAAAGCGGTTGAAATCTCCACTTGCAAATTCCACAAAAAGAGTGTTTCAAGTCTGCTCTGTGTAAAGGATCTTTCAACTCTGTGAGTTGAATACACACAACACAAGGAAGTTACTGAGAATTCTTCTGTCTAGTACAGTATGAAAAAATCCCGTTTCCAACGAAGGCCTCAAAGAGGTCTAAATATCCACTTGCAGAGTTTACAAACAGAGTGTTTCCTAACTGCTCTATGAAAAGAAAGGTTAAACTCTGTGAGTTGAACGCACACATCACAAAGAAGTTTCTGAGAATCATTCTGTCTAGTTTTGAAACGAAGATATTTCCTTTTCTGCCATTGACCTTAAAGCGCTTGAAATCTCCAATTGCCAATTGCACAAAAAGAGTGTTTCAAATCTGCTCTGTCTAAGGGAGCGTTCAAATCTGTGAGTTGAATGTACACAACACAAGGAAGTTACTGGGAATTCTTCTGTCTAGCCTTATATGAAAAAAACCCGTTTCCAAAGAAGGCCTCTAAGTGGTCAAATTATCCACGTGCAGACTTTACAAACAGAGTGTTTCCAAACTGCTGAATGAAAAGAAAAGTTAAACTCTGAGAGTTGAACGCACACATCGCAGAGCAGTTTCTGAGAATGATTCTGTCTAGTTTTTATACGAAGATATTTCCTTTTCTGCCTTTGGCCTCAAAGCGCTTGAAATCTCCACTTGCAAATTCCATAAAAAGAGTGTTTCAAATCTGCTCTATGTAAATGAAAGTTCAACTCTGTGAGTTGAACACACACAACACAAGGAAGTTACGGGGAATTCTTCCGTCTAGCATAATATGAAGAAATCCCGTTTCCAAAGAAGGCCTCAAAGGGGTCTGAATATCCACTTGCAGACTTTATAAACAGAGTGTTTACGAACTGCTCTATGAAAAGAAAGGTTAAACTCTGTGAGTTGAACACACACATCACAAAGGAGTTTCTGAGAATCATTCTGTCTAGTCTTTATACGAAGATATTTCCTTTTCTACCATTGACCTCAAAGCGGCTGAAATCTCCACTTGCAAATTCCACAAAAAGGGTGTTTCAAGTCTGCTCTGGGTAAAGGATCGTTCAACTCTGTGAGTTGAATACACACAACACAAGGAAGTTACTGAGAATTCTTCTGTCTATCAGAATATGAAGAAATCCCGTTTCCAAAGAAGGCCTCAAGGAGGTCTGAATATCCACTTGCAGGCTTTACAAACAGAGTGTTTCCTAACTGCTCTATGAAAAGAAAGGTTAAACTCTGTGAGTTGAACGCACACATCACAAAGGAGTTTATGAGAATCATTCTGTCTAGTTTTGAAACGAAGATATTTCCTTTTCTGCCGTTGACCTTAAAGAGCTTGAAAACTACACTTGCAAATTGCACAAATAGAGTGTTTCAAATCTGCTCTGTCTAAGGGAACGTTCAACTCTGTGAGTTGAATGCACACAACACAAGGAAGTTACTGGGAATTCTTCTGTCTAGCCTTACATGAAAAAAACCCGTTTCCAACGAAGGCCTCTAAGTGGTCAAAATATCCACGTGCAGTTTTTACAAACAGAGTGTTTCCAAACCGCTGAATGAAAAGAAAAGTTAAACTCTGAGAGTTGAACGCACACATCACGCAGCAGTTTCTGAGAATGATTCTGTCTAGTTTTTATACGAAGATATTTCCTTTTCTGCCTTTGGCCTCAAATCGCTTGAAATCTCCATTTGCAAATTCCACAAAAAGAGTGTTTCAAATCTGCTCTGTGTAAATGAAAGTTCAACTCTGTCAGTTGAATACACACAACACAAGGAAGTTACTGAGAATTCTTCTGTCTAGCAGAATATGAAGAAATCCCGTTTCCAACGAAGGCCTCAAGGAGGTCTGAATATCCACTTGCAGACTTTACAAACAGAGTGTTTCCTAACTGCTCTATGAACAGAAAGTTTAAACTCTGTGAGTTGAACACACACATCACAAAGGAGTTTCTGAGAATCATTCTGTCTAGTTTTTATACGAAGATATTTCCTTTTCTACCATGGACCTCAAAGCAGCTGAAATCTCCACTTGCAAATTCCACAAAAAGAGTGTTTCAAGTCTGCTCTGTGTAAAGGATCGTTCAACTCTGTGAGTTGAATACACACAACACAAGGAAGATTCTGAGAATTCTTCTGTCTAGCAGAATATGAAGAAATCCCGTTTCCAACGAATGCCACAAGATGTCAGAATATCCACTTACAGAATTGACAGACTGTTTCCTAACTGCTCTATGAAAAGAAAGGTTAAACTCTGTGAGTTGAACGAACACATCACAACGCAGTTTGTGGGAATGATTCTGTCTAGTTTTGAAACGAAGATATTTCCTTTTCTGCCATTGAACTTAAAGCGCTTGAAATCTCCATTTGCCAATTGCACAAAAAGAGTGTTTCAAATCTGCTCTGTCTAAGGGAACGTTCAACTCTGTGAGTTGAATGTACACAACACAAGGAAGTTACTGGGAATTCTTCTGTCTAGCCTTACAGGAAAAAAACCCGTTTCCAACGAAGGCCTCTAAGTGGTCAAAATATCCACGTGCAGACTTTACAAACAGAGTGTTTCCAAACTGCTGAATGAAAAGAAAAGTTAAACTCTGAGAGTTGAACGCACACATTGCAGAGCAGTTTCTGAGAATGATTCTGTCTAGTTTTTATACGAAGATATTTCCTTTTCTGCCTTTGGCCTCAAAGCGCTTGAAATCTCCACTTGCAAATTCCACAAAAAGAGTGTTTCAAATCTGCTCTGTGTAAATCAAAGTTCAACTCTATGAGTTGAACACACACAACACAAGGAAGTTACTGGGAATTCTTCTGTCTAGCATAATATGAAGAAATCCCGTTTCCAACGAAGGCCTCAAAGTGGTCTGAATATCCACTTGCAGACTTTACAAACAGAGTGTTTCCTAACTGCTCTATGAGAAGAAAAGTTAAACTCTGTGAGTTGAACGCACACATCACAAAAGATTTTCTGAGAATCATTCTGTGTAGTTTTTATAGGAAGATATTTCCTTTTCTACCTTTGACTTCAAAGCGGCTGAAATCTCCACTTGCAAATTCCACAAAAAGAGTGTTACAAGTCTGCTCTGTGTAAAGGATCGTTCAACTCTGTGAGTTGAATACACACCACACAAGGAAGTTACTGAGAATTCTTCTGTCCAGCCTTACATGAAAAAAACCCGTTTCCAACGAAGGCCTCTAAGTGGTCAAATTATCCACGTGCAGACTTTACAAACAGAGTGTTTCCAAACTGCTGAATGAAAAGCAAAGTTAAACTCTGAGAGTTGAACACACACATCGCACAGCAGTTTCTGAGAATGATTCTGTCTAGTTTTGAAACGAAGATATTTCCTTTTCTGCCATTGAACTTAAAGCGCTTGAAATCTACACTTGCAAATTGCACAAATAGAGTGTTTCAAATCTGCTCTGTCTAAGGGAACGTTCAACTCTGTGAGTTGAATACACACAACACAAGGAAGTTACTGGGAATTCTTCTGTCTAGCCTTACATGAAAAAAACTCGTTTCCAACGAAGGCCTCTAAGTGGTCAAAATATCCACGTGCAGACTTTACAAACAGAGTGTTTACAAACTGCTGAATGAAAAGAAAATTAAACTCTGAGAGTTGAACGCACACATCACAGAGCAGTTTTTGAGAATGCTTCTGTCTAGTTTTTATACGAAGATATTTCCTTTTCTACCATTGACCTCAAAGCGGCTGAAATCTCCACTTGCAAATTCCACAAAAAGAGTGTTTCAAGTCTGCTCTGTGTAAAGGATCGTTCAGCTCTGTGAGTTGAATACACACAACACTCGGAAGTTACTGAGAATTCTTCTGTCTAGCACAGTATGAAGAAATCCCGTTTCCAACTAAGGCCTCAAAGAGGTCTGAATATCCACTTGCAGAGTTTACAAACAGAGTGTTTCCTAACTGCTCTATGAAAAGAAAGGTTAAACTCTGTGAGTTGAACGCACACATCACAAAGAAGTTTCTGAGAATCATTCTGTCTAGTTTTTATAGGAAGATATTTCCTTTTCTACCTTTGACGTCAAAGCGGGTGAAATCTCCACTTGCAAATTCCACAAAAAGAGTGTCACAAGTCTGCTCTGTGTAAAGGATCGTTCAACTCTATGAGTTGAATACACACAACACAAGGAAGTTACTGAGAATTCTTCTGTCTAGAATAGTATGAAGAAATCCCGTTTCCAACGAAGGCCTCAAACAGGTCTGAACATCCACTTGCAGAGTTTACAAACAGAGTGTTTCCTAACTGCTCTATGAAAAGAAAGGTTAAACTCTGTGAGTTGAACGCACACATCACAAAGAAGTTTCTGAGAATCATTCTGTCTAGTTTTGAAACGAAGATATTTCCTTTTCTGCCATTGACCTTAAAGCGCTTGAAATCTACACTTGCAAATTGCACAAATAGAGTGTTTCAAATCTGCTCTGTCTAAGGGAACGTTCAAGTCTGTGAGTTGAATGCACACAACACAAGGAAGTTAGTGGGAATTCTTCTGTCTAGCCTTACATGAAAAAAACCCGTTTCCAACGAAGGCCTCTAAGTGGTCAAAATATCCACGCACAGACTTTACAAACAGAGTGTTTCCAAACCGCT
This sequence comes from Homo sapiens, assembly GCF_000001405.40. Lineage (NCBI taxonomy): Eukaryota > Metazoa > Chordata > Mammalia > Primates > Hominidae > Homo > Homo sapiens. The sequence continues at coordinate 123,214,685 of NC_000001.11, read as the reverse complement.
GAATGAAAAGAAAAGTTAAACTCTGAGAGTTGAACGCACACATCACGCAGCAGTTTCTGAGAATGATTCTGTCTAGTTTTGAAACGAAGATATTTCCTTTTCTGCCTTTGGCCTCAAAGCGCTTGAAATCTCCACTTGCAAATTCCACAAAAAGAGTGTTTCAAATCTGCTCTGTGTAAATGAAAGTTCAACTGTGTGAGTTGAACACACACAACACAAAGAAGTTACCGGGAATTCTTCTGTGTAGCATAATATGAAGAAATCCCGTTTCCAACGAAGGCCTCCAAGGGGTCTGAATATCCACTTGCAGACTTTATAAACAGAGTGTTTACTAACTGCTCTATGAAAAGAAAGGTTAAACTCTGTGAGTTGAACACACACATCACAAAGGAGTTTCTGAGAATCATTCTGTCTAGTTTTTATATGAAGATATTTCCTTTTCTACCATTGACCTCAAAGCGGCTGAAATCTCCACTTACAAATTCTACAAAAAGAGTGTCTCAAGTCTGCTCTGTGTAAACGATCGTTCAACTCTGTGAGTTGAATACACACAACACAAGGAAGTTTCTGAGAATTCTTCTGTCTAGCAGAATATGAAGAAATCCCGTTTCCAACGAAGGCCACAAGATGTCAGAATATCCACTTACAGACTTTACAAACAGAGTGTTTCCTAACTGCTCTATGAACAGAAAGGTTAAACTCTGTTAGTTGAACGAACACATCACAACGCAGTTTGTGGGAATGATTCTGTCTAGTTTTGAAACGAAGATATTTCCTTTTCTGCCATTGACCTTAAAGCGCTTGAAATCTCCACTTGCAAATTCCACAAAAAGAGTGTTTCAAATCTGCTCTGTGTAAATGAAAGTTCAACTCTGTGAGTTGAACACACACAACACAAGGAAGTTACTGGGAATTCTTCTGTCTAGCCTTACATGAAAAAAATCCGTTTCCAACGAAGGCCTCCAAGTGGTCAAATTATCCACGTGCAGACTTTACAAACAGAGTGTTTCCAAACTGCTGAATGAAAAGAAAAGTTAAACTCTGAGAGTTGAACGCACACATCGCAGAGCAGTTTCTGAGAATGATTCTGTCTAGTTTTTATACGAAGATATTTCCTTTTCTGCCTTTGGCCTCAAAGCGCTTGAAATCTCCATTTGCAAATTCCACAAAAAGAGTGTTTCAAATCTGCTCTGTGTAAATGAAAGTTCAACTTTGTGAGTTGAACACACACAACACAAGGAAGTTACTGGGAATTCTTCTGTCTAGCCTTATATGAAAAAAACCCGTTTCCAACGAAGGCCTCAAAGAGGTCTGAATATCCACTTGCAGACTTTACAAACAGAGTGTTTCCTAACTGCTCTATGAAAAGAAAGGTTAAACTCTGTGAGTTGAACTCACACATCACAAAGGAGTTTCTGAGAATCATTCTGTCTTGTTTTTATAGGAAGATATTTCCTTTTCTACTTTGACTTCAAAGCGGCTGAAATCTCCACTTGCAAATTCCACAAAAAGAGTGTTACAAGTCTGCTCTCTGTAAAGGATCGTTCAACTGTGTGAGTTGAATACACACAACACAAGGAAGTTACTGAGAACTCTTCTGTCTAGCAGACTATGAAGAAATCCCGTTTCCAAAGATGGCCACAAGATGTCAGAATATCCACTTACGGACTTTACAAACAGAGTGTTTCCTAACTGCTCTATGAACAGAAAGGTTAAACTCTGTGAGTTGAACGAACACATCACAACGCAGTTTGTGGGAATGATTCTGTCTAGTTTTGAAACGAAGATATTTCCTTTTCTGCCATTGACCTTAAAGCGCTTGAAATCACCATTTGCCAATTGCACAAAAAGAGTGTTTCAAATCTGCTCTGTCTAAGGGAACGTTCAACTCTGTGAGTTGAATGTACACAACACAAGGAAGTTACTGGGAATTCTTCTGTCTAGCCTAACATGAAAAAAACCCGTTTCCAACGAAGGCCCCTAAGTGGTCAAAATATCCACGTGCAGACTTTACGAACAGAGTGTTTCCAAACCGCTGAATGAAAAGAAAAGTTAAACTCTGAGAGTTGAACGCACACATCACGCAGCAGTTTCTGAGAATGATTCTGTCTAGTTTTTATACGAAGATATTTCCTTTTCTGCCTTTGGCCCCAAAGCGCTTGAAATCTCCACTTGCAAATTCCACAAAAACAGTGTTTCAAATCTGCTCTCTCTAAATGAAAGTTCAAATCTGTCAGTTGAATACACACAACACAAGGGAAGTTACTGAGAATTCTTCTGTCTAGCATAATATGAAGAAATCTCGTTTCCAACGAAGGCCTCAAGGAGGTCTGAATATCCACTTGCAGACTTTACAAACAGAGTGTTTCCTAACTGCTCTATGACAAGAAATGTTAAACTCTGTGAGTTGAACGCACACATCACAAAGGAGTTTCTGAGAATCATTCTGTCTAGTCTTTATACGAAGATATTTACTTTTCTACCATTGACCTCAAAGCGGCTGAAATCTCCACTTGCAAATTCCACAAAAAGAGTGTTTCAAGTCTGCTCTGTGTAAAGGATCATTCAACTCTGTGAGTTGAATACACACAACACAAGGAAGTTACTGGGAATTATTCTGTCTAGCAGAATATGAAGAAATCCCGTTTCCAACGAAGGCCTCAAAGAGGTCTGAATATCCACTTGCAGACTTTACAAACAGAGTGTTTCCTAACTGCTCTATGAGAAGAAAAGTTAAACTCTGTGAGTTGAACGCACACATCACAAATGATTTTCTGAGAATCATTCTGTCTAGTTTTAATAGGAAGATATTTCCTTTTCTACCTTTGACTTCAAAGCGGCTGAAATCTCCACTTGCAAATTCCACAAAAAGAGTGTTACAAGTCTGCTCTGTGTAAAGGATCGTTCAACTCTGTGAGTTGAATACACACAACACAAGGGAAGTTACTGAGAATTCTTCTGTCTAGCCTTACATGAAAAAAACCCGTTTCCAACGAAGGCCTCTAAGTGGTCAAATTATCCACGTGCAGACTTTACAAACAGAGTGTTTCCAAACTGCTGAATGAAAAGAAAAGTTAAACTCTGAGAGTTGAACGCACACATCACAGAGCAGTTTCTGAGAATGATTCTGTCTAGTTTTTATACAAAGATATTTCCTTTTCTGCCTTTGGCCTCAAAGCGCTTGAAATCTCCATTTGCAAATTCCACAAAAAGAGTGTTTCAAATCTGCTCTGTGTAAATGAAAGTTCAACTCTGTGAGTTGAACACAGACAACACAAGGAAGTTACTGGGAATTCTTCTTTCTAGCAGAATATGAAGAAATCCCGTTTCCAACGAAAGCCTCAAGGATGTCTGAATATCCACTTGCAGACTTTACAAACAGAGTGTTTCCTAACTGCCCTATGAAAAGAAAGGTTAAACTCTGTGAGTTGAACGCACACATCACAAAGGAGTTTCTGAGAATCATTCTGTCTGGTTTCTATAGGAAGATATTTCCTATTCTACCATTGACCTCAAAGAGGCTGAAATCTCCACTTGCAAATTCCACAAAAAGAGTGTTTCAAGTCTGCTCTCTGTAAAGGATCGTTCAACTCTGTGAGTTGAATACACACAACACAAGGAAGTTACTGAGAATTCTTCTGTCCAGCAGAATATGAAGAAATCCCGTTTCCAACGAAGGCCACAAGACGTCAGAATATCCACTTACAGACTTTACAAACAGAGTGTTTCCTAACTGCTCTATGAACAGAAAGGTTAAATTCTGTGAGTTGAACGAACACATCACAACGCAGTTTGTGGGAATGATTCTGTCTAGTTTTGAAACGAAGATATTTCCTTTTCTGCCATTGACCTTAAAGCGCTTGAAATCTACACTTGCAAATTCCACAAAAAGAGTGTTTCAAGTCTGCTCTGTGTAAAGGATCGTTCAACTCTGTGAGTTGAGTACACACAACACAAGGAAGTTTCTGAGAATTCTTCTGTCTAGCCTTACATGAAAAAAACCCGTTTCCAACGAAGGCCTCTAAGTGGTCAAATTATCCACGTGCAGACATTACAAACAGAGTGTTTCCAAACTGCTGAATGAAAAGAAAAGTTAAACTCTGAGAGTTCAACGTACACATCGCAGAGCAGTTTCTGAGAATGATTCTGTCTAGTTTCTATACGAAGATATTCCCTTTTCTACCATTGACCTCAAAGCGGCTGAAATCTCCACTTGCAAATTCCACAAAAAGAGTGTTTCAAGTCTGCTCTGTGAAAAGGATCGTTCAACTCTGTGAGTTGAATACACACAACACAAGGAAGTTACTGAGAATTCTTCTGTCTACCATAATATGAAGAAATCCCGTTTCCAACGAAGGCCTCAAAGGGGTCTGAATATCCACTTGCAGACTTTTTAAACAGAGTGTTTACTAACTGCTCTAGGAAAAGAAAAGTTAAACTCTGTGAGTTGAACACACACATCACAAAGGAGTTTCTGAGAATCATTCTGTCTAGTTTTTATAGGAAGATATTTCCTTTTCTACCTTTGACTTCAAAGCTGCTGAAATCTCCACTTGCGAATTCCACAAAAAGAGTGTTACAAGTCTGCTCTGTGTAAAGGATCGTTCAAATCTGTGAGTTGAATACACACAACACAAGGAAAGTTACTGAGAATTCTTCTGTCTAGCAGAATATGAAGAAATCCCGTTTCCAACGAAGGCCACAAGATGTCAGAATATCCACTTACAGAATTTACAAACAGACTGTTTCCTAACTGCTCTAGGAAAAGAAAGGTTAAACTCTGTGAGTTGAACGAACACATCACAACGCAGTTTGTGGGAATGATTCTGTCTAGTTTTTATACGAAGATATTTCCTTTTCTACCATTGACCTCAAAGCGGCTGAAATCACCACTTGCCAATTGCACAAAAAGAGTGTTTCAAATCTGCTCTGTCTAAGGGAACGTTCAACTCTGTGAGTTGAATGTACACAACACAAGGAAGTTACTGGGAATTCTTCTGTCTAGCCTTACAGGAAAAAAACCCGTTTCCAACGAAGGCCTCTAAGTGGTCAAAATATCCACGTGCAGACTTTACAAACAGAGTGTTTCCAAACTGCTGAATGAAAAGAAAAGTTAAACTCTGAGAGTTGAACGCACACATCGCAGAACAGTTTCTGAGAATGATTCTGTCTAGTTTATATACGAAGATATTTCCTTTTCTGCCTTTGGTCCCAAAGCGCTTGAAATCTCCACTTGCAAATTCCACAAAAACAGTGTTTCAAATCTGCTCTCTCTAAATGAAAGTTCAACTCTGTCAGTTGAATACACACAACACAAGGAAGTTACTGAGAATTCTTCTGTCTAGCCTTATATGAAAAAAACCCGTTTCCAACGAAGGCCTCAAAGAGGTCTGAATATCCACTTGCAGACTTTACAAACAGAGTGTTTCCTAACTGCTCTATGAAAAGAAAGGTTAAACTCTGTGAGTTGAACGCACACATCACAAAGGAGTTTCTGAGAATCTTTCTGTCTAGTTTCTATAGGAAGATATTTCCTATTCTACCATTGACCTCAAAGCGGCTGAAATCTCCACTTGCAAATTCCACAAAAAGAGTGTTTCAAGTCTGCTCTGTGTAAAGGATCGTTCAACTGTGTGAGTTGAATACACACAACACAAGGAAGTTACTGAGAATTCTTCTGTCTAGCAGAATATGAAGAAATCCCTTTTCCAACGAAAGCCTCAAGGATGTCTGAATATCCACTTGCAGACTTTACAAACAGAGTGTTTCCCAACTGCTCTATGAAAAGAAAGGTTAAACTCTGTGAGTTGAACGCACACATCACAAAGGAGTTTCTGAGAATCATTCTGTCTAGTTTTGAAACGAAGATATTTCCTTTTCTGCCATTGACCTTAAAGCGCTTGAAATCTCCATTTGCCAATTGCACAAAAAGAGTGTTTCAAATCTGCTCTGTCTAAGGGAACGTTCAACTCCGTGAGTTGAATGTACACAACACAAGGAAGTTACTGGGAATTCTTTCTGTCTAGCCTTACAGGCAAAAAAACCCGTTTCCAACGAAGGCCTCTAAGTGGTCAAAATATCCACGTGCAGACTTTACAAACAGAGTGTTTCCAAACTGCTGAATGAAAAGAAAAGTTAAACTCTGAGAGTTGAACGCACACATCGCAGAGCAGTTTCTGAGAATGATTCTGTCTAGTTTTTATACGAAGATATTTCATTTTCTGCCTTTGGCCCCAAAGCGCTTGAAATCTCCACTTGCAAATTCCACAAAAACAATGTTACAAATCTGCTCTCTCTAAATGAAAGTTCGACTCTGTCAGTTGAATACACACAACACAGGGAAGTTACTGAGAATTCTTCTGTCTAGCCTTATTTGAAAAAAACCCGTTTCCAACGAAGGCCTCAAAGAGGTCTGAATATCCACTTGCAGACTTTACAAACAGAGTGTTTCCTAACTGCTCTATGAAAAGAAAGGTTAAACTCTGTGAGTTGAGCGCACACATCTCAAAGGAGTTTCTGAGAATCATTCTGTCTTGTTTCTATACGAAGATATTTCCTTTTCTACCATTGACCTCAAAGCGGCTGAAATCTCCACTTGCAAATTCCACAAAAAGAGTGTTTCAAGTCTGCTCTGTGTAAAGGATCGTTCAACTCTGTGAGTTGAATACACACAACACAAGGAAGTTACTGAGAATTCTTCTGTCTAGCAGAATATGAAGAAATCCCGTTTCCAACGAAGGCCTCAAAGAGGTCTGAATATCCCCTTGCAGACTTTACAAATAGAGTGTTTCCTAACTGCTCTATGAAAAGAAAAGTTAAACTCTGTGAGTTGAACGCACACATCACAGAGGAGTTTCTGAGAATCATTCTGTCTAGTTTTGAAACGAAGATATTTCCTTTTCTGCCATTGACCTTAAAGCGCTTGAAATCTACACTTGCAAATTGCACAAATAGAGTGTTTCAAATCTGCTCTGTCTAAGGGAACGTTCAACTCTGTGAGTTGAATGCACACAACACAAGGAAGTTATTGGGAATTCTTCTGTCTAGCCTTACATGAAAAAAACCCGTTTCCAACGAAGGCCTCTAAGTGGTCAAATTATCCACGTGCAGACTTTACAAACAGAGTGTTTCCAAACTGCTGAATGAAAAGAAAAGTTAAACTCTGAGAGTTGAAGGCACACATCGCAGAGCAGTTTCTGAGAATGATTCTGTCTAGTTTTTATACGAAGATATATCCTTTTCTGCCTTTGGCCTCAAAGCGCTTGAAATCTCCACTTGCAAATTCCAGAAAAAGAGAGTTTCAAATCTGCTCTGTCTAAATGAAAGTTCAACTCTGTCAGTTGAATACACACAACAAAAGCAAGTTACTGAGAATTCTTCTGTCTAGCCTTATATGAAAAAAACCCGTTTCCAACGAAGGCCTCAAAGAGGTCTGAATATCCACTTGCAGACTTTACAAACACAGTGTTTCCTAACTGCTCTATGAAAAGAAAGGTTAAACTCTGTGAGTTGAACGCACACATCACAAAGGAGTTTCTGAGAATCATTCTGTCTAGTCTTTATACGAAGTTATTTCCTTTTCTACCATTGACATCAAAGCGGCTGAAATCTCCACTTGCAAATTCCACAAAAAGAGTGTTTCAAGTATGCTCTGTGTAAAGGATCGTTCAACTCTGTGAGTTGAATACACACAACACAAGGAAGTTACTGAGAATTCTTCTGTCTAGCAGAATATGAAGAAATCCCGTTTCCAACGAAGGCCACAAGATGTCAGAATATCCACTTACAGACTTTACAAACAGAGTGTTTCCTAACAGCTCTATGAACAGAAAGGTTAAACTACTGTGAGTTGAACGAACACATCACAACGCAGTTTGTGGGAATGATTCTGTCTAGTTTTGAAACGAAGATATTTCCTTTTCTGCCATTGACCTTAAAGCGCTTGAAATCTCCACTTGCCAATTGCACAAAAAGAGTGTTTCAAATCTGCTCTGTCTAAGGGAACGTTCAACTCTGTGAGTTGAATGTACACAACGCAAGGAAGTTACTGGGAATTCTACTGTCTAGCCTTACAGGAAAAAAACCCGTTTCCAACGAAGGCCTCTAAGTGGTCAAAATATCCACGTGCAGACTTTACAAACAGAGTGTTTGCAAACTGCTGAATGAAAAGAAAAGTTAAACTCTGAGAGTTGAACGCACACATCGCAGAGCAGTTTCTGAGAATGATTCTGTCTAGTTTTTATACGAAGATATTTCCTTTTCTGCCTTTGGCCCCAAAGTGCTTGAAATCTCCACTTGCAAATTCCACAAAAACAGTGTTTCAAATCTGCTCTCTCTAAATGAAAGTTCAACTCTGTCAGTTGAATACACACAACACAAGGAAGTTACTGAGAATTCTTCTGTCTAGCAGAATATGAAGAAATCCCGTTTCCAACTATGGCCTCAAAGAGGTCTGAATATCCACTTGCAGACTTTACAAACAGAGTGTTTCCTAACTGCTCTGTGAAAAGAAAGGTCAAACTCTGTGAGTTGAACGCACACATCACAAAGGAGTTTCTGAGAATCATTCTGTCTAGTTTTTCTACGAAGATATTACCTTTTCTACTATTGACCTCAAAGCGGCTGAAATCTCCACTTGCAAATTCCACAAAAAGAGTGTTTCAAGTCTGCTCTGTGTAAAGGATCGTTCAACTCTGCGAGTTCAATACACACAACACAAGGAAGTTACTGAGAATTCTTCTGTCTAGCAGAATATGAAGAAATCCCGTTTCCAACGAAGGCCACAAGATGTCAGAATATCCACTTACAGATTTTACCAACAGAGTGTTTCCTAACTGCTCTATGAAAAGAAAGGTTAAACTTCTGTGAGTTGAACGAACACATCACAACGCAGTTTGTGGGAATGATTTCTGTCTAGTTTTGAAACGAAGATATTTCCTTTTCTGCCATTGACCTCAAAGCGCTTGAAATTTCCACTTGCCAATTGCACAAAAAGAGTGTTTCAAATCTGCTCTGTCTAAGGGAACGTTCAACTCTGTGAGTTGAATGTACACAACACAAGGAAGTTACTGGGAATTCTTCTGTCTAGCCTTACAGGAAAAAAACACGTTTCCAACGAAGGCCTCTAAGTGGTCAAAATATCCACGTGCAGACTTTACAAACAGAGTGTTTCCAAACTGCTGAATGAAAAGAAAAGTTAAACTCTGAGAGTTGAACGCACACATCGCAGAGCAGTTTCTGAGAATGATTCTGTCTAGTTTTTATACGAAGATATTTCCTTTACTGCCTTTGGCCCCAAAGCGCTTGAAATCTCCACTTGCAAATTCCACAAAAACAGTGTTTCAAATCTGCTCTCTCTAAATGAAAGTTCAACTCTGTCAGTTGAATACACACAACACAAGGAAGTTACTGAGAATTCTTCCCGTCTAGCATAATATGAAGAAATCCCGTTTCCAACGAAGGCCTCAAAGAGGTCTGAATATCCACTTGCAGACTTTACAAACAGAGTGTTTCCTAACTGCTCTATGAAAAGAAAGGTTAAACTCTGTGAGTTGAACGCACACATCACAAAGGAGTTTATGAGAATCTTTCTGTCTAGTTTTTATACGAAGATATTTCCTTTTCTACCATTGACTTCAAAGCGGCTGAAATCTCCACTTGCAAATTCCACAAAACGAGTGTTTCAAGTCTGCTCTGTGTAAAGGATCGTTCAACTCTGTGAGTTGAATACACACAACACAAGGAAGTTACTGAGAATTCTTCTGTCTAGGAGAATATGAAGAAATCCCGTTTCCAACGAAGGCCACAAGATGTCAGAATATCCACTTACAGAATTGACAAACAGACTGTTTCCTAACTGCTCTATGAAAAGAAAGGTTAAACTCTGTGAGTTGAACGAACACATCACAACGCAGTTTGTGGGAATGATTCTGTCTAGTTTTGAAACGAAGATATTTCCTTTTCTGCCGTTGACCTTAAAGCGCTTGAAATCTACATTTGCAAATTGCACAAATAGAGTGTTTCAAATCTGCTCTGTCTAAGGGAACGTTCAACTCTGTGAGTTGAATGCACACAACACAAGGAAGTTACTGGGAATTCTTCTGTCTAGCCTTACATGAAAAAAACCCGTTTCCAACGAAGGCCTCAAAGAGGTCTGAATATCCACGTGCAGACTTTACAAACAGAGTGTTTCCAAACCGCCGAATGAAAAGAAAGGTTAAACTCTGTGAGTTGAACGCACACATCACAAAGGAGTTTCTGAGAATCATTCTGTCTAGTTTTTATACGAAGGTATTTCCTTTTCTGCCTTTGGCCTCAAAGCGCTTGAAATCTCCACTTGCAAATTCCACAAAAAGAGTGTTTCAAATCTGCTCTGTGTAAATGAAAGTTCAACTCTGTGAGTTGAACACACACAACACAAGGAAGTTATTGGGAATTCTTCTGTCTAGCCTTATATGAAAAAAACCCGTTTCCAGCGATGGCCTCAAAGAGGTCTGAATATCCACTTGCAGACTTTACAAACAGAGTGATTCCTAACTGCTCTATGAAAAGAAAGGTTAAACTCTGTGAGTTGAACACACACATCTCAAAGGAGTTTCTGAGAATCATTCTGTCTAGTCTTTATATGAAGATAGTTTCCTTTTCTACCATTGACCTCAAAGCGGCTGAAATCTCCACTTGCAAATTCCACAAAAAGAGTGTTTCAAGTCTGCTCTGTGTAAAGGATCGTTCAACTCTGTTAGTTGAATACACACAACACAAGGAAGTTACTGAGAATTCTTCTGTCTAGCAGAATAGGAAGAAATCCCGTTTCCAACGAAGGCCACAAGATGTCAGAATATCCACTTACAGACTTTACAAACAGAGTGTTTCCTAACTGCTCTATGAACAGAAAGGTTAAACTCTGTGAGTTGAACGAACACATCACAACGCAGTTTGTGGGAATGATTCTGTCTAGTTTTGAAACCAAGATATTTCCTTTTCTGTCGTTGACCTTAAAGAGCTTGAAAACTACACTTGCAAATTGCACAAATAGAGTGTTTCAAATCTGCTCTGTCTAAGGGAACGTTCAACTCTGTGAGTTGAATGCACACAACACAAGGAAGTTACTGGGAATTCTTCTGTCTAGCCTTACAGGAAAAAAACCCGTTTCCAACGAAGGCCTCTAAGTGGTCAAAATATCCACGTGCAGACTTTACAAACAGAGTGTTTCCAAACTGCTGAATGAAAAGAAAAGTTAAACTCTGAGAGTTGAACGCACACATCGCAGAGCAGTTTCTGAGAATGATTCTGTCTAGTTTTTATACGAAGATATTTCCTTTTCTGCCTTTGGCCTCAAAGCGCTTGAAATCTCCACTTGCAAATTCCACAAAAAGAGTGTTTCAAATCTGCTCTGTGTAAATCAAAGTTCAACTCTGTGAGTTGAACACACACAACACAAGGAAGTTACCGGGAATTCTTCTGTCTAGCATAATATGAAGAAATCCCGTTTCCAACGAAGGCCTCAAAGAGGTCTGAATATCCACTTGCAGACTTTACAAACAGAGTGTTTCCTAACGGCTCTATGAAAAGAAAAGTTAAACTCTGTGAGTTGAATGCACACATCACAAAGGAGTTTCTGAGAATCATTCTGTCTAGTTTCTATAGGAAGATATTTCCTATTCTACCATTGACCTCAAAGCGGCTGAAATCTCCACTTGCAAATTCCACAAAAAGAGTGTTTCAAGTCTGCTCTCTGTAAAGGATGGTTCAACTCTGTGAGTTGAATACACACAACACAAGGAAGTTACTGAGAATTCTTCTGTCTAGCATATTATGAAGAAATCTCGTTTCCAACGAAGGCCTCAAGGAGGTCTGAATATCCACTTGCAGACTTTACACACAGAGTGTTTCCTAACTGCTCTATGAAAAGAAAGGTTAAACTCTGTGAGTTGAACGCACACATCACAAAGGAGTTTCTGAGAATCATTCTGTCTAGTCTTTATACGAAGATATTTCCTTTTCTACCATTGACCTCAAAGCGGCTGAAATCTCCACTTGCAAATTCCACAAAAAGAGTGTTTCAAGTCTGCTCTGTGTAAAGGATCGTTCAACTCTGTGGGTTGAATACACACAACACAAGGAAGTTACTGAGAATTCTTCTGTCTAGCAGAATATGAAGAAATCCCGTTTCCAACGAAGGCCACATGATGTCAGAATATCCACTTACAGAATTTACAAACAGAGTGTTTCCTAACTGCTCTATGAAAAGAAAGGTTAAACTCTGTGAGATGAACGAACACATCACAACGCAGTTTGTGGGAATGATTCTGTCTAGTTTTTATAGGAAGATATTTCCTTTTCTACTTTGACTTCAAAGCGGCTGAAATCTCCACTTGCAAATTCCACAAAAAGAGTGTTACAAGTCTGCTCTCTATAAAGGATCGTTCAACTGTGTGAGTTGAATACACACAACACAAGGAAGTTACTGAGAACTCTTCTGTCTAGCCTTATAGGAAAGAAACCCGTTTCCAACGAAGGCCTCTAAGTGGTCAAAATATCCACGTGTAGACTTTACAAACAGAGTGTTTCCAAACTGCTGAATGAAAAGCAAAGTTAAACTCTGAGAGTTGAACGCACACATCGCAGAGCAGTTTCTGAGAATGATTCTGTCTAGTTTTTATACGAAGATATTTCCTTTTCTGCCTTTGGCCTCAAAGCGCTTGAAATCTCCATTTGCAAATTCCACAAAAAGAGTGTTTCAAATCTGCTCTGTGTAAATGAAAGTTCAAATCTGTGAGTTGAACACACACAACACAAGGAAGTTACTGGAATTCTTCTGTCTAGCAGAATATGAAGAAATCCTGTTTCCAACGAAAGCCTCAAAGATGTCTGAATATCCACTTGCAGACTTTACAAACAGAGTGTTTCCTAACTGCTCTATGAAAAGAAAGGTTAAACTCTGTGAGTTGAACGCACACATCACAAAGGAGTTTCTGAGAATCATTCTGTCTAGTTTTTATATGAAGATATTTCCTTTTCTACCATTGACCTCAAAGCGGCTGAAATCTCCACTTACAAATTCCACAAAAAGAGTGTCTCAAGTCTGTTCTGTGTAAACGATAGTTCAACTCTGTGAGTTGAATACACACAACACAAGGAAGTTTCTGAGAACTCTTCTGTCTAGCAGAATATGAAGAAATCCCGTTTCCAACGAAGGCCACAAGATGTCAGAATATCCACTTACAGAATTGACAAACAGACTGTTTCCTAACTGCTCTATGAAAAGAAAGGTTAATCCCTGTGAGTTGAACGAACACATCACAACGCAGTTTGTGGGAATGATTCTGTCTAGTTTTGAAACGAAGATATTTCCTTTTCTGCCTTTGACCTTAAAGCGCTTGAAATCTCCACTTGCCAATTGCACAAAAAGAGTGTTTCACATCTGCTCTGTCTAAGGGAACGTTCAACTCTGTGAGTGGAATGTACACAACACAAGGAAGTTACTGGGAATTCTTCTGTCTAGCCTTACATGAAAAAAACCCGTTTCCAACGAAGGCCTCTAAGTGGTCAAGTTATCCACGTGCAGACTTTACAAACAGAGTGTTTCCAAACTGCTGAATGAAAAGAAAAGTTAAACTCTGAGAGTTGAACGCACACATCGCAGAGCAGTTTCTGAGAATGCTTCTGTCTAGTTTTTATACGAAGATATTTCCTTTTCTGCCTTTGGCCTCAAAGCGCTTGAAATCTCCACCTGCAAATTCCACAAAAAGAGTGTTTCAAATCTGCTCTGTGTAAATGAAAGTTCAACTCTGTGAGCTGAACACACACAACACAAGGAAGTTACTGGGAATTCTTCTGTCTAGCCTTATATGAAAAAAACCCGTTTCCAACGAAGGCCTCAAAGAGGTCTGAATATCCACTTGGAGACTTTACAAACAGAGTGTTTCCTAACTGCTCTATGAAAAGAAAGGTTAAACTCTGTGAGTTGAACGCACACATCACAAAGGAGTTACTGAGAATCATTCTGTCTAGTTTCTATATGAAGATATTTCCTATTCTACCATTGACCTCAAAGCGGCTGAAATCTCCACTTGCAAATTCCACAAAAAGAGTGTTTCAAGACTGTTCTGTGTAAAGGATCATTCAACTCTGTGAGTTGAATACACACAACACAAGGAAGTTACTGAGAATTCTTCTTTCTAGCAGAATATGAAGAAATCCCGTTTCCAACGAAAGCCTCAAGGATGTCTGAATATCCACTTGCAGACTTTACAAACAGAGTGTTTCCTAACTGCTCTATGAAAAGAAAGGTTAAACTCTGTCAGTTGAACGCACACATCACAAAGGAGTTTCTCAGAATCATTCTGTCTAGTTTTGAAACGAAGATATTCCCTTTTCTGCCATTGACCTTAAAGCGCTTGAAATCTACACTTGCAAATTGCACAAATAGAGTGTTTCAAATCTGCTCTGTCAAGGGAATGTTCAACTCTGTGAGTTGAATGCACACAACACAAGGAAGTTACTGGGAATTCTTCTGTCTAGCAGAATATGAAGAAATCCCGTTTCCAACGAAGGCCTCAAAGAGGTCTGAATATCCACTTGCAGACTTTACAAACAGAGTGTTTCCTAACTGCTCTATGAAAAGAAAGGATAAACTCTGTGAGTTGAACTCACACATCACAAAGGAGTTTCTGAGAATCATTTCTGTCTAGTTTTTATACGAAGATATTTCCTTTTCTGCCTTTGGCCCTAAAGCGCTTGAAATCTCCACTTGCAAATTCCACAAAAACAGTGTTTCAAATCTGCTCTCTCTAAATGAAAGTTCAACTCTGTCAGTTGAATACACACAACACAAGGAAGTTACTGAGAATTCTTCTGTCTAGCCTTATATGAAAAAAACCTGTTTCCAACGAAGGCCTCAAGGAGGTCTGAATATCCACTTGCAGACTTTACAAACAGAGTGTTTCCTAACTGCTCTATGAAAAGAAAGGTTAAACTCTGTGAGTTGAACGCACACATCACAAAGGAGTTTCTGAGAATCATTCTGTCTAGTTTCTATAAGAAGATATTTCCTATTCTACCATTGACCTCAAAGCGGCTGAAATCTCCACTTGCAAATTCGACAAAAAGAGTGTTTCAAGCCTGCTCTCTGTAAAGGATCCTTCAACTCTGTGAGTTGAATACACCCAACACAAGGAAGTTACTGAGAATTCTTCTGTCTAGCAGAATATGAAGAAATCCCGTTTCCAACGAAGGCCACAAGATGTCAGAATATCCACTTACAGACTTTTGAGAGTGTTTCCTAACTGCTATATGAACAGAAAGGTTAAACTCTGTGAGTTGAACGAACACATCACAACGCAGTTTGTGGGAATGATTCTGTCTAGTTTTGAAACGAAGATATTTCCTTTTCTGCCGTTGACCTTAAAGCGCTTGAAATCTACACTTGCAAATTGCACAAATAGAGTGTTTCAAATCTGCTCTGTCTAAGGGAACGTTCAACTCTGTGAGTTGAATGCACACAACACAAGGGAAGTTACTGGGAATTCTTCTGTCTAGCCTTACATGAAAAAAACCAGTTTCTAACGAAGGCCTCTAAGTGGTCAAAATATCCACGTGCAGACTTTACAAACAGAGTGTTTCCAAACCGCTGAATGAAAAGAAAAGTTAAACTGTGAGAGTTGAACGCACACATCACGCAGCAGTTTCTGAGAATGATTACTCTGTCTAGTTTTTATACGAAGATATTTCCTTTTCTGCCTTTGGCCTCAAAGCGCTTGAAATCTCCACTTGCAAATTCCACAAAAAGAGTGATTCAAATCTGCTCTGTGTAAATCAAAGTTCAACTCTGTGAGTTGAACACACACAAAACAAGGAAGTTACTAGGAATTCTTCTGTCTAGCAGAATATGAAGAAATCCCGTTTCCAACGAAGGCCTCAAAGAGGTCTGAATATCCACTTGCAGACTTTACAAACAGAGTGTTTCCTAACTGCTCTATGAAAAGAAAAGTTGAACTCTGTGAGTTGAACGCACACATCACAAAGGAGTTTCTGAGAATCATTCTGTCTAGTTTTTATAGGAAGATATTTCCTTTTCTACCATTGACTTCAAAGAGGCTGAAATCTCCACTTGCAAATTCCACAAAAAGAGTGTTTCAAGTCTGCTCTGTGTAAAGGATCGTTCAACTCTGTGAGTTGAATACACACAACACGCGGAAGTTACTGAGAATTCTTCTGTCTAGCAGAATATGAAGAAATCCCGTTTCCAACGAAGGCCACAAGATGTCAGAATATCCACTTACAGACTTTACAAACAGTGTGTTTCCTAACTGCTCTATGAACGGAAAGGTTAAACTACTGTGAGTTGAACGAACACATCACAACGCAGTTTGTGGGAATGATTCTGTCTAGTTTTGAAACGAAGATATTTCCTTTTCTGCCATTGACCTTAAAGTGCTTGTAATCTCCACTTGCCAATTGCACAAAAAGAGTGTTTCAAATCTGCTCTGTCTAAGGGAACTTTCAACTCTGTGAGTTGAATGTACACAACACAAGGAAGTTACTGGGAATTCTTCTGTCTAGCCTTATATGAAAAAAACCCGTTTCCAACGAAGGCCTCAAAGAGGTCTGAATATCCACTTGCAGACTTTACAAACAGAGTGTTTCCTAAGTGCTCTATGAAAAGAAAGGTTAAACTCTGTGAGTTGAACGCACACATCACAAAGGAGTTTCTGAGAATCATTCTGTCTGGTTTTGAAACGAAGATATTTCCTTTTCTGCCTTTGGCCTCAAAGCGCTTGAAATCTCCACTTGCAAATTCCACAAAAACAGTGTTTCAAATCTGCTCTGTGTAAATGAAAGTTGAACTCTGTGAGTTGAACACACACAACGCAAGGAAGTTACTGGGAATTCTTCTGTCTAGCACAGTATGAAGATATCCCGTTTCCAACGAAGGCCTCAAAGAGGTCTGAATATCCACTTGCAGAGTTTACAAACAGAGTGTTTCCTAACTGCTCTATGAAAAGAAAGGTTAAACTCTGTGAGTTGAACGCACACATCACAAAGGAGTTTCTGAGAATCATTCTGTCTAGTTTTTATACGAAGATATTTCCTTTTCTACCATTGACCTCAAAGCGGCTGAAATCTCCACTTGCAAATTCCACAAAAAGAGTGTTTCAAATCTGCTCTGTGTAAACCATCGTTCAACTGTGTGAGTTGAATACACACAACACAAGGAAGATTCTAAGAATTCTTCTGTCTAGCAGAATATGAAGAAATCCCGTTTCCAACGAAGGCCACAAGATGTCAGAATATCCACTTACAGACTTTACAAACAGAGGTGTTTCCTAACTGCTCTATGAAAAGAAAAGTTAAACTCTGTGAGTTGAACGACCACATCACAACGCAGTTTGTGGGAATGATTCTGCCTAGTTTTGAAACGAAGATATTTCCTTTTCTGCCGTTGACCTTAAAGCGCTTGAAATCTACACTTGCAAATTGCACAAATAGAGTGTTTCAAATCTGCTCTGTCTAAGGGAACGTTCAACTCTGTGAGTTGAATGCACACAACACAAGGAAGTTACTGGGAATTCTTCTGTCTAGCCTTACATGAAAAAAACCCGTTTCCAACGAAGGCCTCTAAGTGGTCAATATATCCACGTGCAGACTTTACAAACAGAGTGTTTCCAAACCGCTGAATGAAAAGAAAACTTAAATTCTGAGAGTTGAACGCACACATCACGCAGCAGTTTCTGATAATGATTCTGTCTAGTTTTGAAACGAAGATATTTCCTTTTCTGCCTTTGGCCTCAAAGCGCTTGAAATCTCCACTTGCAAATTCCACAAAAAGAGTGTTTCAAATCTGCTCTGGGTAAATGAATGTTCAACTCTGTGAGTTGAACACACACAACACAAGGAAGTTACTGGGAATTCTTCTGTCTAGCATAATATGAAGAATTCCCGTTTCCAACGAAGGCCTCAAAGAGGTCTCAATATCCACTTGCAGACTTTACATACAGAGTGTTTCCTAACTGCTCTATGAAAAGAAAGGTTAAACTCTGTGAGTTGAACGCACACATAACAAAGGAGTTTCTGAGAATCATTCTGTCTAGTTTTTATAGGAAGATATTTCCTTTTCTACCTTTGACTTCAAAGCGGCTGAAATCTCCACTTGCAAATTCCACAAAAAGAGTGTTACAAGTCTGCTCTGTGTAAAGGATCGTTCAACTCTGTGAGTTGAATACACACAACACGCGGAAGTTACTGAGAATTCTTCTGTCTAGCAGAATATGAAGAAATCCCGTTTCCAACGAAGGCCACAAGATGTCAGAATATCCACTTACAGACTTTACAAACAGAATGTTTCCTAACTGCTCTATGAACAGAAAGGTTAAACTCTGTGTGTTGAACGCACACATCACAAAGGAGTTTATGACAATCATTCTGTCTAGTTTTGAAACGAAGATATTTCCTTTTCTGCCGTTGACCTTAAAGCGCTTGAAATCTACAATTGCAAATTGCACAAATAGAGTGTTTCAAATCTGCTCTGTCTAAGGGAACGTTCAACTCTGTGAGTTGAATGCACACAACACAAGGAAGTTACTGGGAATTCTTCTGTCTAGCCTTACATGAAAAAAACCCGTTTCCAACGAAGGCCTCTAAGTGGTCAAAATTTCTACGTGCAGACTTTACAAACAGAGTGTTTCCAAACCGCTGAATGAAAAGAAAAGTTAAACTCTGAGAGTTGAACGCACACATCACGCAGCAGTTTCTGAGAATGATTCTGTCTAGTTTTTATACGAAGATATTTCCTTTTCTGCCTTTGGCCTCAAAGCGCTTGAAATCTCCACTTGCACATTCCACAAAAAGAGTGTTTCAAATCTGCTCTGTGTAAATGAAAGTTCAACTCTGTGAGTTGAACACACACAACACAAGGAAGTTACTGGGAATTCTTCTGTCTAGCCTGATATGAAAAAAACCCGTTTCCAACGAAGGCCTCAAAGAGGTCTGAATATCCACTTGCAGACTTTACAAACAGAGTGTTTCCTAACTGCTCTATGAAAAGAAAGGTTAAACTCTGTGAGTTGAACGCACACATCACAAAGGAGTTTCTGAGAATCATTCTGTCTAGTCTTTATATGAAGATAGTTTCCTTTTCTACCATTGACCTCAAAGCGGCTGAAATCTCCACTTGCAAATTCCACAAAAAGAGTGTTTCAAGTCTGCTCTGTGTAAACGATCGTTCAACTCTGTGAGTTGAATACACACAACACAAGGAAGTTACTGAGAATTCTTCTGTCTAGCAGAATATGAAGAAATCCCGTTTCCAACGAAGGCCACAAGATGTCAGAATATCCACTTACAGAATTTACAAACAGACTGTTTCCTAACTGCTCTATGAAAAGAAAGGTTAAACTGTGTGAGTTGAACGAACACATCACAACGCAGTTTGTGGGAATGATTCTGTCTAGTTTTGAAACAAAGATATTTCCTTTTCTGCCATTGACCTTAAAGCGCTTGAAATCTCCACTTGCCAATTGCACAAAAAGAGTGTTTCACATCTGCTCTGTCTAAGGGAACGTTCAACTCTGTGAGTTGAATGTACACAACACAAGGAAGTTACTGGGAATTCTTCTGTCTAGCCTTACAGGAAAAAAACCCGTTTCCAACGAAGGCCTCTAAGTGGTCAAAATATCCACGTGCAGACTTTACAAACAGAGTGTTTCCAAACTGCTGAATGAAAAGAAAAGTTAAACTCTGAGAGTTGAACGCACACATCGCAGAGCAGTTTGCTGAGAATGATTCTGGCTAGTTTTCATACGAAGATATTTCCTTTTCTGCCTTTGGCCACAAAGCGCTTGAAATCTGCACTTGCAAATTCCACAAAAACAGTGTTTCTAATCTGCTCTCTCTAAATGAAAGTTCAACTCTGTCAGTTGAATACACACAACACAAGGAAGTTACTGAGAATTCTTCTGTCTAGCATAATATGAAGAAATCCCGTTTCCAACGAAGGCCTCAAAGGGGTCGGAATATCCACTTGCAGACTTTATAAACAGAGTGTTTACTAACTGCTCTATGAAAAGAAAGGTTAAACTCTGTGAGGTGAACACACACATCACAAAGGAGTTTCTGAGAATCATTCTGTCTAGTTTCTATAGGAAGATATTTCCTATTCTACCATTGACCTCAAAGCGGCTGAAATCTCCACTTGCAAATTCCACAAAAGGAGTGTTTCAAGTCTGCTCTGTGTAAAGGATCGTTCAACTCTGTGAGTTGAATACACACAACACAAAGAAGTTACTGAGAATTCTTCTTTCTAGCAGAATATGAAGAAATCCCGTTTCCAACGAAAGCCTCAAGGATGTCTGAATATCTACTTGCAGACTTTACAAACAGAGTGTTTCCTAACTGCTCTATGAAAAGAAAGGTTAAACTCTGTGAGTTGAACGCACACATCACAAAGGAGTTTCTGAGAATCATTCTGTCTAGTTTTGAAAGGAAGATATTTCCTTTTCTGCCGTTGACCTTAAAGCGCTTGAAATGTACACTTGCAAATTGCACAAATAGGCTCTTTCAAATCTGCTCTGTCTAAGGGAACGTTCAACTCTGTGAGTTGAATGCGCACAACACAAGGAAGTTACTGGGAATTCTTCTGTCTAGCCTTACAGGAAAAAAACCCGTTTCCAACGAAGGCCTGTAAGTGGTCAAAATATCCCCGTGCAGACTTTACAAACACAGTGTTTCCACACTGCTGAATGAAAAGAAAAGTTAAACTCTGAGAGTTGAACGCACACATCGCAGAGCAGTTTCTGAGAATGATTCTGTCTATTTTCTGTAGGAAGATATTTCCTATTCTACCTTTGACCTCAAAGCGGCTGAAATCTCCACTTCCAAATTCCACAAAAAGAGTGTTTCAAGTCTGCTCTCTGTAAAGGATAGTTCAACTCTGTGAGTTGAATACACACAACACAAGGAAGTTACTGAGAATTATTCTGTCTAGCATAATATGAAGAAATCCCGTTTCCAACGAAGGCTTCAAAGAGGTCTGAATATCCACTTGCAGACTTTACAAACAGAGTGTTTCCTAACTGCTCTATGAAAAGAAAGGTTAAACTCTGTGAGTTGAACGCACACATCACAAAGGAGTTTCTGAGAATCATTCTGTCTAGTTTTTCTACGAAGATATTTCCTTTTCTACTATTGACCTCAAAGTGGATGAAATCTCCACTTGCAAATTCCACAAAAAGAGTGTTTCAAGTCTGCTCTGTGTAAAGGATCGTTCAACTCTGTGAGTTGAATACACACAACACAAGGAAGTTACTGAGAATTCTTCTGTCTAGCAGAATATGAAGAAATCCCGTTTCCAACGAAGGCCACAAGATGTCAGAATATCCACTTACAGAATTTACAAACATAGTGTTTCCTAACTGCTCTATGAAAAGAAAGGTTAAACTCTGTGAGATGAAAGAACACATCACAACGCAGTTTGTGGGAATGATTCTGTCTAGTTTTGAAACGAAGATATTTCCTTTTCTGCCATTGACCATAAAGCGCTTGAAATCTCCACTTGCCAATTGCACAAAAAGAGTGTTTCAAATCTGCTCTGTCTAAGGGAACGTTCAACTCTGTGAGTTGAATGTACACAACACAAGGAAGTTACTGGGAATTCTTCTGTCTATCCTTACATGAAAAAAACCCGTTTCCAACGAAGACCTCTAAGTGGTGAAATTATCCACGTGCAGTCTTTACAAACAGAGTGTTTCCAAACTGCTGAATGAAAAGAAAAGTTAAACTCTGAGAGTTGAACGCACACATCGCAGAGCAGTTTCTGAGAATGATTCTGTCTAGTTTTTATACGAAGATATTTCCTTTTCTGCCTTTGGCCCCAAAGCGCTTGAAATCTCCACTTGCAAATTCCACAAAAACAGTGTTACAAATCTGCTCTCTCTAAATGAAAGTTCAACTCTGTCAGTTGAAAACACACAACACAAGGAAGTTACTGAGAATTCTTCTGTCTAGCCTTATATGAAAAAAACCCGTTTCCAACGAAGGCCTCAAAGAGGTCTGAATATCCACTTGCAGACTTTACAAACACAGTGTTTCCTAACTGCTCTATGAAAAGAAAGGTTAAACTCTGTGAGTTGAACACACACATCACAAAGGAGTTTCTGAGAATCATTCTGTCTAGTTTTTATACGAAGATATTTCCTTTTCTACCATTGACCTCAACGCGGCTGAAATCTCCACTTGCAAATTCTACAAAAAGAGTGTTTCAAGTCCGCTCTGTGTAAAGGATCGTTCAACTCTGTGAGTTGAATACACACAACACAAGGAAGTTACTGAGAATTCTTCTGTCTAGCAGAATATGAAGAAATCCCGTTTCCAACGAAGGCCTCAAGATGTCAGAATATCCAATTACAGACTTTACAAACAGAGTGTTTCCTAACTGCTCTATGAACAGAAAGGTTAAACTCTGTGAGTTGAACGAACACATCACAACGCAGTTTGTGGGAATGATTCTGTCTAGTTTTGAAACGAAGATATTTCCTTTTCTGCCATTGACCTTAAAGCGCTTGAAATCTACACTTGCAAATTGCACAAATAGAGTGTTTCAAATCTGCTCTCTCTAAGGGAACGTTCAACTCTGTGAGTTGAATGCACACAACACAAAGAAGTTACTGGGAATTCTTCTGTCTAGCCTTACATGAAAAAAACCCGTTTCCAACGAAGGCCTCTAAGTGGTCAAGTTATCCACGTGCAGACTTCACAAACAGAGTGTTTCCAAACTGCTGAATGAAAACAAAAGTTAAACTCTGAGAGTTGAACGCACACATCGCAGAGCAGTTTCTGAGAATGATTCTGTCTAGTTTTTCTACGAAGATATTTCCTTTTCTGCCTTTGGCCTCAAAGCGCTTGAAATCTCCACTTGCAAATTCCACAAAAAGAGTGTTTCAAATCTGCTCTGTGTAAATGAAAGTTCAACTCTGTGAGTTGAACACACACAACACAAGGAAGTTACTGGGAATTCTTCTGTCTAGCAGAATATGAAGAAATCCCGTTTCAAACGAAGGCCACAAAGAGGTCTGAATATCCACTTGCAGACTTTACAAACAGAGTGTTTCCTAACTGCTCTATGAAAAGAAAAGTTAAACTCTGTGAGTTGAACGCACACATCACAAAGGAGTTTCTGAGAATCATTCTGTCTAGTTTCTATAGGAAGATATTTCCTATTCTACCATTGACCTCAAAGCGGCTGAAATCTCCACTTGCAAATTCCACAAAAAGAGTCTTTCAAGACTGTTCTGTGTAAAGGATCATTCAAGTCTGTGAGTTGAATACACACAACACAAGGAAGTTACTGAGAATTCTTCCGTCTAGCAGAATATGAAGAAATCCCGTTTCCAACGAAGGCCACAAGATGTCAGAATATCCACTTACAGAATTTACAAACAGACTGTTTCCTAACTGCTCTATGAAAAGAAAGGTTAAACTCTGTGAGTTGAACGAACACATCACAACGCAGTTTGTGGGAATGATTCTGTCTAGTTTTGAAACGAAGATATTTCCTTTTCTGCCATTGACCTTAAAGCGCTTGAAACCTACACTTGCAAATTGCACAAATAGAGTGTTTCAAATCTGCTCTGTCTAAGGAACGTTCAACTCTGTGAGTTGAATGCACACAACACAAGGAAGTTACTGGGAATTCTTCTGTCTAGCCTTACATGAAAAAAAACCCGTTTCCAACGAAGGCCTCTAAGTGGTCAAAATATCCACGTGCAGACTTTACAAACAGAGTGTTTCCAAACTGCTGAATGAAAAGAAAAGTTAAACTCTGAGAGTTGAACGCACACATCACAGAGCAGTTTCTGAGAATGATTCTGTCTAGTTTTTCTACGAAGATATTTCCTTTTCTGCCTTTGGCCCCAAAGCGCTTGAAATCTCCACTTTCAAATTCCACAAAAACAGTGTTTCAAATCTGCTCTCTCCAAATGAAAGTTCAACTCTGTCAGTTGAATACACACAACACAAGGAAGTTACTGAGAATTCTTCTGTCTAGCAGAGCATGAAGAAATCCCTTTTCCAACGAAGGCCTCAAAGAGGTCTGAATATCCACTTGCAGACTTTACAAACAGAGTGTTTCCTAACTGCTCTATGAAAAGAAAGGTTAAACTCTGTGAGTTGAACACACACATCACAAAGGAATTTCTGAGAATCATTCTGTCTAGTTTTTCTACGAAGATATTTCCTTTTCTACTATTGACCTCAAAGCGGCTGAAATCTCCACTTGCAAATTCCACAAAAAGAGTGTTTCAAGTCTGCTCTGTGTAAAGGATCGTTCAACTCTGTGACTTGAATACACACAACACAAGGAAGTTACTGAGAATTCTTCTGTCAAGCAGAATATGAAGAAATCCCGTTTCCAACGAAGGCCTCAAAGAGGTCTGAATATCCACTTGCAGACTTTACAAACAGAGTGTTTCCTAACTGCTCTATGAAAAGGAAAGTTAAACTCTGTGAGTTGAACGCACACATCACAAAGGAGTTTCTGAGAATCATTCTGTCTAGTTTTGAAACGAAGATATTTCCTTTTCTGCCATTGACCTCAAAGCGCTTGAAATCTCCACTTGCCAATTGCACAAAAAGAGTGTTTCAAATCTGCTCTGTCTAAGGGAACGTTCAACTCTGTGAGTTGAATGTACACAACACAAGGAAGTTACTGGGAATTCTTCTATCTAGCCTTACAGGAAAAAAACCCGTTTCCAACGAAGGCCTCTAAGTGGTCAAAATATCCACGTGCAGACATTACAAAGAGAGTGTTTCCAAACTGCTGAATGAAAAGAAAAGTTAAACTCTGAGAGTTGAACGCACACATCGCAGAGAAGTTTCTGAGAATGATTCTGTCTAGTTTTGAAACGAAGATATTTCCTTTTCTGCCTTTGGCCTCAAAGCGCTTGAAATCTCCATTTGCAAATTCCACAAAAAGAGTGTTGCAAATCTGCTCTGTGTAAATGAAAGTTCAACTCTGTGAGTTGAACACACACAACACAAGGAAGTTACTGGGAATTCTTCTGTCTAGCAGAATATGAAGAAATCCCGTTTCCAACGAAGGCCTCAAAGAGGTCTGAATATCCACTTGCAGACTTTACAAACAGAGTGTTTCCTAACTGCTCTATGAAAAGAAAAGTTAAACTCTGTGAGTTGAACGCACACATCACAAAGGAGTTTCTGAGAACCATTCTGTCTTGTTTTTATACGAAGATATTTCCTTTTCTACCATGGACCTCAAAGCGGCTGAAATCTCCACTTGCAAATTCCACAAAAAGAGTGTTTCAAGTCTGCTCTGTGTAAAGGATCGTTCAACTCTGTGAGTTGAATACACACAACACAAGGGAGATTCTGAGAATTCTTCTGTCTAGCAGAATATGAAGAAATCCCGTTTCCAACGAAGGTCTCAACGAGGTCTGAATATCCACTTGCAGACTTTACAAACAGAGCGTTTCCTAACTGCTCTATGAAAAGAAAGGTTAAACTGCTGTGAGTTGAACACACACATCACAAAGGAGTTTCTGAGAATCATTCTGTCTAGTTTCTATAGGAAGATATTTCCTATTCTACCATTGACCTCAAAGCGGCTGAAATCTCCACTTGCAAATTCCACAAAAAGAATGTTTCAAGTCTGCTCTGTGTAAACGATCGTTCAACTCTGTGAGTTGAATACACACAACACAAGGAAGTTACTGAGAATTCTTCTGTCTAGCATAATATGAAGAAATTCCGTTTCCAACGAAGGCCTCAAAGAGGTCTGAATATCCACTTGCAGACTTTACAAACAGAGTGTTTCCTAACTGCTCTATGAAAAGAAAAGTTAAACTCTGTGATTTGAACGCACACATCACAAAGGAGTTTCTGAGAATCATTCTGTCTAGTTTTTATACGAAGATATTTCCTTTTCTACCATTGACCTCAAAGCGGTTGAAATCACCACTTGCCAATTGCACAAAAAGAGTGTTTCAAATCTGCTCTGTCTAAGGGAACGTTCAACTCTGTGAGTAGAATGTACACAACACAAGGAAGTTACTGGGAATTCTTCTGTCTAGCCTTACATGAAAAAAACCCGTTTCCAACGAAGGCCTCTAAGTGGTCAAAATATCCACGTGCAGACTTTACAAACAGAGTGTTTCCAAACCGCTGAATGAAAAGAAAAGTTAAACTCTGAGAGTTGAACGCACACATCACGCAGCAGTTTCTGAGAATCATTCTGTCTAGTTTTGAAACGAAGATATTTCCTTTTCTGCCTCTGGCCTCAAAGCGCTTGAAATCTCCACTTGCAAATTCCACAAAAAGAGTGTTTCAAATCTGCTCTGTGTAAATGAAAGTTCAACTCTGTGAGTTGAACACACACAACACAAGGAAGTTACTGGGAATTCTTCTGTCTAGCATAATATGAATAAATCCCGTTTCCAACGAAGGCCTCAAGGAGGTCTGAATATCCACTTGCAGACTTTACAAACAGAGTGTTTCCTAACTGCTCTATGAAAAGAAAGGTTAAACTGTGTGAGTTGAACGCACACATCACAAAGGAGTTTCTGAGAATCATTCTGTCTAGTTTCTATACGAAGATATTCCCTTTTCTACCATTGACCTCAAAGCGGCTTAAATCTCCACTTGCAAATTCCACAAAAAGAGTGTTTCAAGTCTGCTCTGTGTAAAGGAGCGTTCAACTCTGTGAGTTGAATACACACAACACAAGGAAGATACTGAGAATTCTTCTGTCTAGCCAAATATGAAGAAATCCCGTTTCCAACGAAGGCCACAAGATGTCAGAATATCCACTTACAGAATTGACAAACAGACTGTTTCCTAACTGCTCTATGAAAAGAAAGGTTAAACTCTGTGAGTTGAACGAACACATCACAACGCAGTTTGTGGGAATGATTCTGTCTAGTTTTTATACGAAGATATTTCCTTTTCTACCATTGACCACAAAGCGGCTGAAATCACCACTTGCCAATTGCACAAAAAGAGTGTTTCAAATCTGCTCTGTCTAAGGGAACGTTCAACTCTGTGAGTTGAATGTACACAACACAAGGAAGTTCCTGGGAATTCTTCTGTCTAGCCTTACAAGAATAAAACCCGTTTCCAACGAAGGCCTCTAAGTGGTCAAAATATCCACGTGCAGACTTTACAAAGAGAGTGTTTCCAAACTGCTGAATGAAAAGAAAAATTAAACTACTGAGAGTTGAATGCACACATCGCAGAGCAGTTTCTGAGAATGATTTCTGTCTAGTTTTTATACGAAGATATTTCCTTTTCTGCCTTTGGCCCCAAAGCGCTTGAAATCTCCACTTGCAAATTCCACAAAAACAGTGTTTCAAATCTGCTCTCTCCAAATGAAAGTTCAACTCTGTCAGTTGAATACACACAACACAAGGAAAGTTACTGAGAATTCTTCTGGTCTAGCACAGTATGAAGAAATCCCGTTTCCAACGAAGGCCTCAAGGAGGTCTGAATATCCACTTGCAGAGTTTACAAACAGAGTGTTTCCTAACTGCTCTATGAAAAGAAAGGTTAAACTCTGTGAGTTGAACGCACACATCACAAAGAAGTTTCTGAGAATCATTCTGTCTAGTTTTTATAGGAAGATATTTCCTTTTCTACCTTTGACTTCAAAGCGGCTGAAATCTCCACTTGCAAATTCCACAAAAAGAGTGTTCCAAGTCTGCTCTGTGCAAAGGATCGTTCAACTCTGTGAGTTGAATACACACAACACAAGGAAGTTACTGAGAATTCTGTCTAGGAGAATATGAAGAAATCCCATTTCCAACGAAGGCCAAAAAATGTCAGAATATCCACTTACAGACTTTACAAACAGAGTGTTTCCTAACTGCTCTATGAACAGAAAGGTTAAACTCTGTGAGTTGAACGAACACATCACAACGCAGTTTGTGGGAATGATTCTGTCTAGTTTTTATAGGAAGATATTTCCTTTTCTACCTTTGACTTCAAAGCGGCTGAAATCTCCACTTGCAAATTCCACAAAGAGAGTGTTACAAGTCTGCTCTGTGTAAAGGATCGTTCAACTCTGTGAGTTGAATACACACAACACAAGGAAGTTACTGAGAATTCTTCTGTCTAGCCTTACATGAAAAAAACCGTTTCCAACGAAGGCCTCTAAGTGGTCAAAATATCCACGTGCAGACTTTACAAACAGAGTGTTTCCAAACTGCTGAATGAAAAGAAAAGTTAAACTCTGAGAGTTGAACGCACACATCACAGAGCAGTTTCTGAGAATGATTCTGTCTAGTTTTGAAACGAAGATATTTCCTTTTCTGCCTTTGGCCTCAAAGCGCTTGAAATCTCCACTTGCAAATTCCACAAAAAGAGTGTTTCAAATCTGCTCTGTGTAAAGGAAAGTTCAACTCTGTGAGTTGAACACACACAACACAAGGAAGTTACTGGGAATTCTTCTGTCTAGCATAATATGAAGAAATCCCGTTTCCAACGAAGGCCTCAAGGAGGTCTGAATATCCACTTGCAGACTTTACAATCAGAGTGTTTCCTAACTGCTCTATGAAAAGAAAGGTTAAACTCTGTGAGTTGAACGCACACATCACAAAGGAGTTTCTGAGAATCATTCTGTCTAGTTTCTATAGGAAGATATTTCCTATTCTACCATTGACCTCAAAGCGGCTGAAATCTCCACTTCCAAATTCCACAAAAAGAATGTTTCTAGTCTGCTCTGTGTAAAGGATCCTTCAACTCTGTGAGTTGAATACACACAACACAAGGAAGTTACTGAGAATTCTTCTGTCTAGCATAATATGAAGAAATCCCGTTTCCAACGAAGGCCTCAAGGAGGTCTGAATATCCACTTGCAGACTTTACAAACAGAGTGTTTCCTAACTGCTCTATGAAAAGAAAGGTTATACTCTGTGAGTTAAACGCAGACATCACAAAGGAGTTTCTGAGAATCACTCTGTCTAGTTTTTATACGAAGATATTTCCTTTTCTACCATTGACCTCAAAGCGGCTGAAATCTCCACTTGCAAATTACACAAAAAGAGTGTTTCAAGTCTACTCTGTGTAAAGCATCGTTGAACTCTGTGAGTTGAAAACACACAACACAAGGAAGTTACTGAGAATTCTTCTGTCTAGCATAGTATGAAGAAATCCCGTTTCCAACGAAGGCCTCAAAGAGGTCTGATTATCCACTTGCAGAGTTTACAAACAGAGTGTTTCCTAACTGCTCTATGAAAAAAAAGGTTAAACTCTGTGAGTTCAACGCACACATCACAAAGAAGTTTCTGAGAATCATTCTGTCTAGTTTTTCTACGAAGATATTACCTTTTCTACTATTGACCTCAAAGCGGCTGAAATCTCCAATTGCAAATTCCACAAAAAGAGTGTTTCAAGTCTGCTCTCTGTAAAGGATCGTTCAACTCTGTGAGTTGAATACACACAACACAAGGAAGTTACTGAGAATTCTTCTGTCTAGCAGAATATGAAGAAATCCCGTTTCCAACGAAGGCCACAAGATGTCAGAATATCCACTTACACACTTTACAAACAGAGTGTTTCCTAACTGCTCTATGAACAGAAAGGTTAAACTCTGTGAGTTGAACGAACACATCACAACGCAGTTTGTGGGAATGATTCTGTCTAGTTTTGAAACGAAGATATTTCCTTTTCTGCCATTGACCTTAAAGCGCTTGAAATCTACACTTGCAAATTGCACAAACAGAGTGTTTCAAATCTGCTCTGTCTAAGGGAACGTTCAACTCTGTGAGTTGAATGCACACAACACAAGGAAGTTACTGGGAATTCTTCTGTCTAGCCTTACATGAAAAAAACCCGTTTCCAACGAAGGCCTCTAAGTGGTCAAAATATCCACGTGCAGACTTTACAAACAGAGTGTTTCCAAACCGCTGAATAAAAAGAAAAGTTAAACTCTGAGAGTTGAACGCACACATCACGCAGCAGTTTCTGAGAATGATTCTGTCTAGTTGTTATACGAAGATATTTCCTTTTCTGCCTTTGGCCCCAAAGCGCTTGAAATCTCCACTTGCAAATTCCACAAAAACAGTGTTTCAAATCTGCTCTCTCTAAATGATAGTTCAACTCCGTCAGTTGAATACACACAACACAAGGAAGTTACTGAGAATTCTTCTGTCTAGCATAGTATGAAGAAATCCCGTTTCCAACGAAGGCCTCAAACAGGTCTGAATATCCACTTGCAGAGTTTACAAACAGAGTGTTTCCTAACTGCTCTATGAAAAGAAAGGTTAAACTCTGTGAGTTGAACGCACACATCACAAAGAAGTTTCTGAGAATCATTTCTGTCTAGTCTTTATACGAAGATATTTACCTTTCTACCATTGACCTCAAAGCGGCTGAAATCTCCACTTGCAAATTCCACAAAAAGAGTGTTTCAAGTCTGCTCTCTGTAAAGGATCATTCAACTCTGTGAGTTGAATAAACACAACACAAGGAAGTTACTGAGAATTCTTCTTTCTGGCAGAATATGAAGAAATCCCGTTTCCAACGAAAGCCTCAAGGATGTCTGAATATCCACTGGCAGACTTTACAAACAGAGTGTTTCCTAACTGCTCTATGAAAAGAAAGGGTAAACTCTGTGAGTTGAATGCACACATAACAAAGGAGTTTCTGAGAATCATTCTGTCTTGTTTTGAAACGAAGATATTTTCTTTTCTGCCATTGACCTTAAAGCGCTTGAAATCTACACTTGCAAATTGCACAAAGAGAGTGTTTCAAATCTGCTCTGTCTAAGGGAACGTTCAACTCTGTGAGTTGAATGCACACAACACAAGGAAGTTACTGGGAATTCTTCTGTCGAGCCTTACATGAAAAAAACCCGTTTCCAACGAAGGCCTCTAAGTGGTCAAAATTTCCACGTGCAGACTTTACAAACAGAGTGTTTCCAAACCGCTGAATGAAAAGAAAAGTTAAACTCTGAGAGTTGAACGCACACATCACACAGCAGTTTCTGAGAATGATTCTGTCTAGTTTTGAAACGAAGATATTTCCTTTTCTGCCTTTGGCCTCAAAGCGCTTGACATCTCCACTTGCAAATTCCACAAAAAGAGTGTTTCAAATCTGCTCTGTGTAAATGAAAGTTCAACTCTGTGAGTTGAACACACACAACACAAGGAAGTTACTGGGAATTCTTCTGTCTAGCAGAATATGAAGAAATCCCGTTTCCAACGAAGGCCTCAAAGAGGTCTGAATATCCACTTGCAGACTTTACAAACAGAGTTTTTCCTAACTGCTCTATGAAAAGAAAAGTTAAACTCTGTGAGTTGAACGCACACATCACAAAGGAGTTTCTGAGAATCATTCTGTCTAGTTTTTATACGAAGAGATTTCCTTTTCTACCATTGACCTCAAAGCGGCTGAAATCTCCACTTGCAAATTCCTCAAAACGAGTGTTTCAAGTCTGCTCTGTGTAAAGGATAGTTCAACTCTGTGAGTTGAATACACACAACACAAGGAAGTTACTGAGAATTCTTCTGTCTAGCATAGTATGAAGAAATCCCGTTTCCAACGAAGGCCTCAAAGAGGTCTGTATATCCACTTGCAGACTTTACAAACAGAGTGTTTCCTAACTGCTCTATGAAAAGAAAGGTTAAACTCTGTGAGTTGAACGCACACATCACAAAGAAGTTTCTGAGAATCATTCTGTCTAGTTTTGAAACGAAGATATTTCCTTTTTCTGCCGTTGACCTTAAAGCGCTTGAAATCTACACTTGCAAATTGCACAAATAGAGTGTTTCAAATCTGCTCTGTCTAAGGGAACGTTCAACTCTGTGAGTTGAATGCACACAACACAAGGAAGTTACTGGGAATTCTTCTGTCTAGCCTTACATGAAAAAAACCCGTTTCCAACGAAGACCTCTAAGTGGTAAAAATATCCACGTGCAGACTTTACAAACAGAGTGTTTCCAAACTGCTGAATGAAAAGAAAAGTTAAACTCTGAGAGTTGAACGCACACATGACAGAGCAGTTTCTGAGAATGATTCTGTCTAGTTTTTATACGAAGATATTTCCTTTTCTGCCTTTGGCCCCAAAGCGCTTGAAATCTCCACTTGCAAATTCCACAAAAACAGTGTTTCAAATCTGCTCTCTCTAAATGAAAGTTCAACTCTGTCAGTTGAATACACACAACACAAGGAAGTTGCTGAGAATTCTTCTGTCTAGCCTTACATGAAAAAAACCCGTTTCCAACGAAGGCCTCAAAGCGGTCAAAATATCCACTTGCAGAATTTACAAACAGAGTGTTTCCTAACTGCTGTATGAAAAGAAAGGTTAAACTCTGTGAGTTGAACACACACATCACAAAGGAGTTTCTGAGAATCATTTCTGTCTAGTTTTTCTACGAAGATATTTCCTTTTCTACATATTGACCTCAAAGCGGCTGAAATCTCCACTTGCAAATTCCACAAAAAGAGTGTTTCAAGTCTGCTCTGTGTAAAGGATCGTTCAACCTCTGTGAGTTGAATACACGCAACACAAGGAAGTTACTGAGAATTCTTCTGTCTAGCAGAATATGAAGAAATCCCGTTTCCAACGAAGGCCACAAGATGTCAGAATATCCACTTACAGACTTTACAAACAGAGTGTTTCCTAACTGCTCTATGAACAGAAAGGTTAAACTACTGTGAGTTGAACGAACACATCAGAACGCAGTTTGTGGGAATGATTCTGTCTAGTTTTGAAACGAAGATATTTCCTTTTCTGCCATTGACCTTAAAGCGCTTGAAATCTCCATTTGCCAATTGCACAAAAAGAGTGTTTCAAATCTGCTCTGTCTAAGGGAACGTTCAAATCTGTGAGTTGAATGTACACAACACAAGGAAGTTACTGGGAATTCTTCTATCTAGCCTTACATGAAAAAAACCCGTTTCCAACGAAGGCCTCTAAGTGGTCAAAATTTCCACGTGCAGACTTTACAAACAGAGTGTTTCCAAACCGCTGAATGAAAAGAAAAGTTAAACTCTGAGAGTTGAACGCACACATCACGCAGCAGTTTCTGAGAATGATTCTGTCTACTTTTTATACGAAGATATTTCCTTTTCTGCCTTTGGCCCCAAAGCGCTTGAAATCTCCACTTGCAAATTCCACAAAAACAGTGTTTCAAATCTGATCTCTCTAAATGAAAGTTCAACTCTGTCAGTTGAATACACACAACACAAGGAAGTTACTGAGAATTCTTCTGTCTAGCAGAATATGATGAAATCCCGTTTCCAACGAAAGTCTCAAAGATGTCTGAATATCCACTTGCAGACTTTACAAACAGAGTGTTTCCTAACTGCTCTATGAAAAGAAAGGTTAAACTCTGTGAGTAGAACGCACACATCACAAAGGAGTTTCTGAGAATCATTCTGTCTAGTTTTTATACGAAGATATTTCCTTTTCTACCATTGACCTCAAAGCGGCTGAAATGTCCACTTGCAAATTCCACAAAAAGAGTGTTTCAAATCTGCTCTGTGTAAACCATCGTTCAACTCTGTGA
The DNA here is from genome assembly GCF_000001405.40 of Homo sapiens. Lineage (NCBI taxonomy): Eukaryota > Metazoa > Chordata > Mammalia > Primates > Hominidae > Homo > Homo sapiens. Next base: position 123,181,170 of record NC_000001.11, on the reverse strand, counting down.
GTTGAATACACACAACACAAGGAAGATTCTGAGAATTCTTCTGTCTAGCACAATATGAAGAAATCCCGTTTCCAACGAAGGCCACAAGATGTCAGAATATCCACTTACAGAATTTACAAACAGACTGTTTCCTAACTGCTCTATGAAAAGAAAGGTTAAACTGCTGTGAGTTGAACGAACACATCACAACGCAGTTTGTGGGAATGATTCTCTGTCTAATTTTGAAACGAAGATATTTCCTTTTCTGCCATTGACCTTAAAGCGCTTGAAATCTCCATTTGCCAATTGCACAAAAAGAGTGTTTCAAATCTGCTCTGTCTAAGGGAACGTTCAACTCTGTGAGTTGAATGTACACAACACAAGGAAGTTACTGGGAATTCTTCAGTCTAGCCTTACATGAAAAAAACCCGTTTCCAACGAAGACCTCTAAGTGGTCAAATTATCCACGTGCAGACTTTACAAACAGAGTGTTTCCAAACTGCTGAATGAAAAGAAAAGTTAAACTCTGAGAGTTGAACGCACACATCGCAGAGCAGTTTCTGAGAATGATTCTGTCTAGTTTTGAAACGAAGATATTTCCTTTTCTGCCTTTGGCCTCAAAGCGCTTGAAATCTCCACTTGCAAATTCCACAAAAAGAGTGTTTCAAATCTGCTCTGTGTAAATGAAAGTTCAACTCTGTGAGTTGAACACACACAACACAAGGAAGTTATTGGGAATTCTTCTGTCTAGCAGAATATGAGGAAATCCCGTTTCCAACGATGGCCTCAAAGAGGTCTGATTATCCACTTGCAGAATTTACAAACAGAGTGTTTCCTAACTGCTCTATGAAAAGAAAGGTTAAACTCTGTGAGTTGAACGCACACATCATAAAGGAGTTTCTGACAATCGTTCTGTCTAGTTTTTCTACGAAGATATTTCCTTTTCTACTATTGACCTGAAAGCGGCTGAAATCTCCACTTGCAAATTCCACAAAAAGAGTGTTTCAAGTCTGCTCTGTGTAAAAGATCGTTCAACTCTGTGAGTTGAATACACACAACACAAGGAAGTTACTGAGAATTCTTCTGTCAAGCAGAATATGAAGAAATCCCGTTTCCAACGAAGGCCACAAGATGTCAGAATATCCACTTACAGACTTTACAAACAGAGTGTTTCCTAACTGCTCTATGAACAGAAAGTTTAAACTCTGTGAGTTGAACGAACACATCACAACGCAGTTTGTGGGAATGATTCTGTCTAGTTTTGAAACGAAGATATTTCCTTTTCTGCCATTGACCTTAAAGCTCTTGAAATCTCCACTTGCCAATTGCACAAAAAGAGTATTTCAAATCTGCTCTGTCTAAGGGAACGTTCAACTCTGTGAGTTGAATGTACACAACACAAGGAAGTTACTGGGAATTCTTCTGTCTAGCCTTACATGAAAAAAAACCCGTTTCCAACGAAGGCCTCTAAGTGGTCAAAATATCCACGTGCAGTCTTTACAAACAGAGTGTTTCCAAACCGCTGAATGAAAAGAAAAGTTAAACTCTGAGAGTTGAACGCACACATCATGCAGCAGTTTCTGAGAATGATTCTGTCTAGTTTTGAAACGAAGATATTTCCTTTTCTGCCTTTGGCCTCAAAGCGCTTGAAATCTCCACTTGCAAATTCCACTAAAAGAGTGTTTCAAATCTGCTCTGGGTAAATGAAAGTTCAACTCTGTGAGTTGAACACACACAACACAAGGAAGTTACTGGGAATTCTTCTGTCTAGCAGAATATGATGAAATCCCGTTTCCAACGAAAGTCTCAAAGATGTCTGAATATTCTCTTGCAGACTTTACAAACAGAGTGTTTCCTAACTGCTCTATGAAAAGAAAGGTTAAACTCTGTGAGTAGAACGCACACATCACAAAGGAGTTTCTGAGAATCATTCTGTCTAGTTTTTATAGGAGGGAAGATATTTCCTTTTCTACCATTGACCTCAAAGCGGCTGAAATCTCCACTTGCAAATTCCACAAAAAGAGTGTTTCTAGTCTGCTCTGTGTAAAGGATCGTTCAACACTGTGAGTTGAATACACACAACACAAGGAAGTTACTGAGAATTCTTCTGTCTAGCAGAATATGAAGAAATCCCGTTTCCAACGAAGGCCTCAAGGAGGTCTGAATATCCACTTGCAGACTTTACAAACAGAGTGTTTCCTAACTGCTCTATGAACAGAAAGGTTAACCTCTGTGAGTTGAACGAACACATCACAACGCAGTTTGTGGGAATGATTCTGTCTAGTTTTGAAACGAAGATATTTCCTTTTCTGCCGTTGACCTTAAAGCGCTTGAAATCTATACTTGCAAATTGCACAAATAGAGTGTTTCAAATCTGCTCTGTCTAAGGGAACGTTCAACTCTGTGAGTTGAATGCACACAACACAAGGAAGTTACTGGGAATTCTTCTGTCTAGCCTTACGTGAAAAAAACCCGTTTCCAACAAAGACCTCTAAGTGGTCAAAATATCCACGTGCAGACTTTACAAACAGAGTGTTTCCAAAGTGCTGAATGAAAAGAAAAGTTAAACTCTGAGAGTTGAACGCACACATCACAGAGCATTTTCTGAGAATGATTCTGTCTAGTTTTTATACGAAGATATTTCCTTTTCGGCCTTTGGCCCCAAAGCGGCTGAAATCTCCACTTGCAAATTCCACAAAAACAGTGTTATAAATCTGCTCTCTCTAAATGAAAGTTCAACTCTGTCAGTTGAATACACACAACACAAGGAAGTTACTGAGAATTCTTCTTTCTAGCAGAATATGAAGAAATCCCGTTTCCAACGAAAGCCTCAAGGATGTCTGAATATCCACTTGCAGACTTTACAAACAGAGTGTTTCCCAACTGCTCTATGAAAAGAGAGGTTAAACTCTGTGAGTTGAACGCACACATCACAAAGGAGTTTCTGAGAATCATTCTGTCTAGTTTTTATACGAAGATATTTCCTTTTCTACCATGGACCTCAAAGCGGCTGAAATCTCCAATTGCAAATTCCACAAAAAGAGTGTTTCAAGTCTGCTCTGTGTAAAGGATCGTTCAACTCTGTGAGTTGAATACACACAACACAAGGAAGATTCTGAGAATTCTTCTGTCTAGCAGAATATGAAGAAATCCCGTTTCCAACGAAGGCCACAAGATGTCAGAATATCCACTTACAGAATTTACAAACAGACTGTTTCCTAACTGCTCTATGAAAAGAAAGGTTAAACTCTGTGAGTTGAACGAGCACATCACAACGCAGTTTGTGGGAATGATTCTGTCTAGTTTTGAAACGAAGATATTTCCTTTTCTGCCGTTGACCTTAAAGCGCTTGAAATCTACACTTGGAAATTGCACAAATAGAGTGTTTCAAATCTGCTCTGTCTAAGGGAACGTTCAACTCTGTGAGTTGAATGCACACAACACAAGGAAGTTACTGGGAATTCTTCTGTCTAGCCTTACATGAAAAAAACCCGTTTCCAACGAAGGCCTCAAAGAGGTCTGAATATCCACGTGCAGACTTTACAAACAGAGTGTTTCCAAACCGCTGAATGAAAACAAAGGTTAAACTCTGTGAGTTGAACGCACACATCACAAAGGAGTTTCTGAGAATCATTCTGTCTAGTTTTGAAACGAAGATATTTCCTTTTCTGCCTTTGGCCTCAAAGCGCTTGAAATCTCCATTTGCAAATTCCACAAAAAGAGTGTTTCAAATCTGCTCTGGGTAAATGAAAGTTCAACTCTGTGAGTTGAACACACACAACACAAGGAAGTTACTGGGAATTCTTCTGTCTAGCCTTATATGAAAAAAACCCGTTTCCAACGAAGGCCTCAAAGAGGTCTGAATATCCACTTGCAGACTTTACAAACAGAGTGTTTCCTAACTACTCTATGAAAAGAAAGGTTAAACTCTGTGACTTGAACGCACACATCACAAAGGAGTTTCTGAGAATCATTCTGTCTAGTTTCTATAGGAAGATATTTCCTATTCTACCATTGACCTCAAAGCGGCTGAAATCTCCACTTGCAAATTCCACAACAAGAGTGTTTCAAGTATGCTCTGTGTAAAGGATCGTTCAACTCTGTGAGTTGAATACACACAACACAAGGAAGTTACTGAGAATTCTTCTGTCTAGCATAAAATGAAGAAATCCCGTTTCCAACGAAGGCCTCAAGGAGGTCTGAATATCCACTTGCAGACTTTACAAACAGAGTGTTTCCTAACTGCTCTATGAAAAGAAAGGTTAAACTCTGTGAGTTGAACGCACACATCACAAAGGAGTTTCTGAGAATCATTCTGTCTAGTTTTTATACGAAGATATTTCCTTTTCTACCATTGACCTCAAATCGGCTGAAATCTCCACTTGCAAATTCCACAAAAAGATTGTTTCAAGTCTGCTCTGTGTAAAGGATCGTTCAACTCTGTGAGTTGAATACACACAACACAAGGAAGTTACTGAGAATTCTTCTGTCTAGCCTTACATGAAAAAAACCCGTTTCCAACGAAGGCCTCTAACTGGTCAAAATATCCACGTGCAGACTTTACAAACAGAGTGTTTCCAAACCGCTGAATGAAAAGAAAAGTTAAACTCTGAGAGTTGAACGCACACATCACGCAGCAGTTTCTGAGAATGATTCTGTCTAGTTTTTATACGAAGATATTTCCTTTTCTGCCTTTGGCCTCAAAGCGCTTGAAATCTCCATTTGCAAATTCCACAAAAAGAGTGTTTCAAATCTGCTCTGTGTAAATGAAAGTTCAACTCTGTGAGTTGAATACACACAACACAAGGAAGTTCCTGAGAATTCTTCTGTCTAGCATAATATGAAGAAATCCCGTTTCCAACGAAGGCCTCAAAGAGATCTGAATATCCACTTGCAGACTTTAGAAACAGAGTGTTTCCTAACTGCTCTATGAAAAGAAAAGTTAAACTCTGTGATTTGAACTCACACATCACAAAGGAGTTTATGAGAATCATTCTGTCTAGTTTCTATAGGAAGATATTTCCTATTCTACCATTGACCTCAAAGCGGCTGAAATCTCCACTTGCAAATTCCACAAAAGGAGTGTTTCAAGTCTGCTCTGTGTAAAGGATCGTTCAACTCTGTGAGTTGAATACACACAACACAAGGAAGTTACTGAGAATTCTTCTGTCTAGCATAATATGAAGAAATCCCGTTTCCAACGAAAGCCTCAAGGATGTCTGAATATCCACTTGCAGACTTTACAAACAGAGTGTTTCCTAACTGCTCTATGAAAAGAAAGGTTAAACTCTGTGAGTTGAACGCACACATCACAAAAGAGTTTCTGAGAATCATTCTGTCTAGTTTTGAAACGAAGATATTTCCTTTTCTGCCATTGACCTTAAAGCGCTTGAAATCTCCACTTGCCAATTGCACAAAGAGTGTTTCAAATCTGCTCTGTCTAAGGGAACGTTCAACTCTGTGAGTTGAATGTACACAACACAAGGAAGTTACTGGGAATTCTTCTGTCTAGCCTTACATGCAAAAAACCCGTTTCCAACGAAGGCCTCTAAGTGGTCAAAATATCCACGTGCAGACTTCACAAACAGAGTGTTTCCAAACCGCTGAATGAAAAGAAAAGTTAAACTCTGAGAGTTGAACGCACACATCACGCAGCAGCTTCGGAGAATGATTCTGTCTAGTTTTGAAACGAAGATATTTCCTTTTCTGCCTTTGGCCTCAAATCGCTTGAAATCTCCACTTGCAAATTCCACAAAAAGAGTGTTTCAAATCTGCTCTGGGTAAATGAAAGTTCAACTCTGTGAGTTGAACACACACAACACAAGGAAGTTACTGGGAATTCTTCTGTCTAGCAGAACATGAAGAAATCCCGTTTCCAACGAACGCCTCAAAGATGTCTGAATATCCACTTGCAGACTTTACAAACAGAGTGTTTCCTAACTGCTCTATGAAAAGAAAGGTTAAACTCTGTGAGTTGAACGCACACATCACAAAGGAGTTTCTGAGAATCATTCTGTCTAGTTTCTATAGGAAGATATTTCCTATTCTACCATTGAGCTCAAAGCGGCTGAAATCTCCACTTGCAAATTCCACAAAAAGAGTGTTTCAAGTCTGCTCTCTGTAAAGGATCGTTCAACTCTGTGAGTTGAATACACACAACACAAGGAAGTTACTGAGAAGTATTCTGTCTAGCAGAATATGAAGAAATCCCGTTTCCAACGAAGGCCACAAGATGTCAGAATATCCACTTACAGACTTTACAAACAGAGTGTTTCCTAACTGCTCTATGAACAGAAAGGTTAAACTGCTGTGAGTTGAACGAACACATCACAACGCAGTTTGTGGGAATGATTCTGTCTAGTTTTTATACGAAGATATTTCCTTTTCTACCATTGACCTCAAAGCGGCTGAAATCACCACTTGCCAATTGCACAAAAAGAGTGTTTCAAATCTGCTCTGTCTAAGGGAACGTTCAACTCTGTGAGTTGAATGTACACAACACAAGGAAGTTACTGGGAATTCTTCTGTCTAGCCTTACATGAAAAAAACCCGTTTCCAACGAAGGCCTCAAAGAGGTCTGAATATCCACGTGCAGACTTTACAAACAGAGTGTTTCCAAACCGCTGAATGAAAAGAAAAGTTAAACTCTGTGAGTTGAACGCACACATCACAAAGGAGTTTCTGAGAATCATTCTGTCTAGTTTTGAAACGAAGATATTTCCTTTTCTGCCTTTGGCCTCAAAGCGCTTGAAATCTCCACTTGCAAATTCCACAAAAAGAGTGTTTCAAATCTGCTCTGCGTAAATGAAAGTTCAACTCTGTGAGTTGAACACACACAACACAAGGAAGTTACTGGGAATTCTTCTGTCTAGCCTTATATGAAAAAATCCCGTTTCCAACGAAGGCCTCAAGGAGGTCTGAATATCCACTTGCAGACTTTACAAACAGAGTGTTTCCTAACTGCTCTATGAAAAGAAAGGTTAAACACTGTGAGTTGAACGCACACATCACAAAGGAGTTTCTGAGAATCATTCTGTCTAGTTTTTATAGGAAGATATTTCCTTTTCTACCTTTGACTTCAAAGCGGGTGAAATCTCCACTTGCAAATTCCACAAAAAGAGTGTTACAAGTCTGCTCTGTGTAAAGGATCGTTCAACTCTGTGAGTTGAATACACACAACACAAGGAAGTTACTGAGAATTCTTCTGTCTAGCAGAATATGAAGAAATCCCGTTTCCAACGAAGGCCACAAGATGTCAGAATATCCACTTACAGAATTTACAAACAGATTGTTTCCTAACTGCTCTATGAAAAGAAAGGTTAAACTCTGTGAGTTGAACGAACACATCACAACGCAGTTTGTGGGAATGATTCTGTCTAGTTTTGAAACGAAGATATTTCCTTTTCTGCCATTGACCGTAAAGCGCTTGAAATCTACACTTGCAAATTGCACAGAGTGTTTCAAATCTGCTCTGTCTAAGGGAACGTTCAACTCTGTGAGTTGAATGCACACAACACAAGGAAGTTACTGGGAATTCTTCTGTCTAGCCTTACATGAAAAAAACCCGTTTCCAACGAAGGCCTCTAAGTGGTCAAATTATCCACGTGCAGACTTTACAAACAGAGTGTTTCCAAACTGCTGAATGAAAAGCAAAGTTAAACTCTGAGAGTTGAACGCACACATCGCAGAGCAGTTTCTGAGAATGATTCTGTCTAGTTTTTATACGAAGATATTTCCTTTTCTGCCTTTGGCCTCAAAGCGCTTGAAATCTCCATTTGCAAATTCCACGAAAAGAGTGTTTCAAATCTGCTCTGTGTAAATGAAAGTTCAACTCTGTGAGTTGAACACACACAACACAAGGAAGTTACTGGGAATTCTTCTGTCTAGCATAATATGAAGAAATCCCGTTTCCAACGAAGGCCTCAAAGGGGTCTGAATATCCACTTGCAGACTTTATAAACAGAGTGTTTACTAAATGCTCTATGAAAAGAAAGGTTAAACTCTGTGAGTTGAACACACACATCACAAAGGAGTTTCTGAGAATCATTCTGTCTAGTCTTTATACGAAGATATTTCCTTTTCTACCATTGACCTCAAAGCGGCTGAAATCTCCACTTGCAAATTCCACAAAAAGAGTGTTTCAAGTCTGCTCTGTGTAAAGCATCGTTCAACTCTGTGAGTTGAATACACACAACACAAGGAAGTTACTGAGAATTCTTCTGTCTAGCAGAATATGAAGAAATCCGGTTTCCAACGAAGGCCTCAAGGAGGTCTGAATATCCACTTGCAGACTTTACAAACAGAGTGTTTCCTAACTGCTCTATGAACAGAAAGGTTAAACTCTGTGAGTTGAACGAACACATCACAACGCAGTTTGTGGGAATGATTCTGTCTAGTTTTGAAACGAAGATATTTCCTTTTCTGCCATTGACCTTAAAGCGCTTGAAATCTACACTTGCAAATTGCACAAATAGAGTGTTTCAAATCTGCTCTGTCTAAGGGAACATTCATCTCTGTGAGTTGAATGCACACAACACAAGGAAGTTACTGGGAATGCTACCGTCTAGCCTTACATGAAAAAAAACCCGTTTCCAACGAAGGCCTCTAAGTGGTCAAAATATCCACGTGCAGACTTTACAAACAGAGTGTTTCCAAACTGCTGAATGAAAAGAAAAGTTAAACTCTGCGAGTTGAACGCACACATCACAGAGCGGTTTCTGAGAATGATTCTGTCTAGTTTTTATACGAAGATATTTCCTTTTCTGCCTTTGGCCCCAAAGCGCTTGAAATCTCCACTTGCAAATTCCACAAAAACAGTGTTCCAAATCTGCTCTCTCTAAATGAAAGTTCAACTCTGTCAGTTGAATACACACAACACAAAGAAGTTACTGAGAATTCTTCTGTCTAGCATAGTATGAAGAAATCCCGTTTCCAACGAAGGCCTCAAAGAGGTCTGAATATCCACTTGCAGAGTTTACAAACAGAGTGTTTCCTAACTGCTCTATGAAAAGAAAGGTTAAACTCTGTGAGTTGAACGCACGCATCACAAAGAAGTTTCTGAGAATCATTCTGTCTAGTCTTTATACGAAGATATTTACTTTTCTACCATTAACCTCAAAGCGGCTGAAATCTCCACTTGCAAATTCCACAAAAAGAGTGTTTCAAGTCTGCTCTGTGTAAAGGATCATTCAACTCTGTGAGTTGAATAAACACAACACAAGGAAGTTACTGAGAATTCTTCTGTCAAGCAGAATATGAAGAAATCCCGTTTCCAACGAAGGCCTCAAGGAGGTCTGAATATCCACTTGCAGACTTTACAAACAGAGTGTTTCCTAACTGCTCTATGAACAGAAAGGTTAAACTCTGTGAGTTGAACGCACACATCACAAAGGAGTTTCTGAGAATCATTCTGTCTAGTTTTGAAACGAAGATATTTCCTTTTCTGCCCTTGACCTTAAAGCGCTTGAAATCTACACTTGCAAATTGCACAAATAGAGTGTTTCAAATCTGCTCTGTCTAAGGGAACGTTCAACTCTGTGAGTTGAATGCGCACAACACAAGGAAGTTACTGGGAATTCTTCTGTCTAGCCTTACATACAAAAAAACCCGTTTCCAACGAAGGCCTCTAAGTGGTCAAAATATCCACGTGCAGACTTTACAAACAGAGTGTTTCCAAACCGCTGAATGAAAAGGAAAGTTAAACTCTGAGAGTTGAACACACACATCACGCAGCAGTTTCTGAGAATGATTCTGTCTAGTTTTTATACGAAGATATTTCCTTTTCTGCCTTTGGCCTCAAAGCGCTTGAAATCTCCATTAGCAAATTCCACAAAAAGAGTGTTTCAAATCTGCTCTGTGTAAATGAAAGTTCAACTCTGTGAGTTGAACACACACAACACAAGGAAGTTACTGGGAATTCTTCTGTCTAGCATAATATGAAGAAATCCCGTTTCCAACGAAGGCCTCAAAGGGGTTGGAATATCCACTTGCAGACTTTATAAACAGAGTGTTTACTAACTGCTCTATGAAAAGAAAGGTTAAACTCTGTGAGTTGAACACACACATCACAAAGGAGTTTCTGAGAATCATTCTGTCTAGTTTTTCTACGAAGATATTTCCTTTTCTACTATTGACCTCAAAGCGGTTGAAATCTCCACTTGCAAATTCCACAGAAAGAGTGTTTCAAGTCTGCTCTGTGTAAAGGATCGTTCAACTCTGTGAGTTGAATACACACAACACAAGGAAGTTACTGAGAATTCTTCTGTCTAGCAGAATATGAAGAAATCCCGTTTCCAACGAAGGCCACAAGATGTCAGAATATCCACTTACAGAATTTACAAACAGACTGTTTCCTAACTGCTCTATGAAAAGAAAGGTTAAAGTCTGTGTGTTGAACGAACACATCACAACGCAGTTTGTGGGAATGATTCTGTCTAGTTTTGAAACGAAGATATTTCCTTTTCTACCATTGACCTCAAAGCGCTTGAAATCTCCACTTGCCAATTGCACAAAAAGAGTGTTTCAAATCTGCTCTGTCTAAGGGAACGTTCAACTCCGTGAGTTGAATGTACACAACGCAAGGAAGTTACTGGGAATTCTTCTGTCTAGCCTTACAGGAAAAAAACCCGTTTGCAACGAAGGCCTCTAAGTGGTCAAAATATCCACGTGCAGACTTTACAAACAGAGTGTTTCCAAACTGCTGAATGAAAAGAAAAGTTAAACTCTGTGAGTTGAAGGCACACATCGCAGAGCAGTTTCTGAGAATGATTCTGTCTAGTTTTTATACGAAGATATTTCCTTTTCTGCCTTTGGCCTCAAAGCGCTTGAAATCTCCATTTGCAAATTCCACAAAAAGAGTGTTTCAAATCTGCTCTGTGTAAATGAAAGTTCAAATCTGTGAGTTGAACACACACAACACAAGGAAGTTACTGGGAATTCTTCTGTCTAGCAGAATATGAAGAAATCCCGTTTCCAACGAAGGCCTCAAAGAGGTCTGAATATCCACTTGCAGACTTTACAACCAGAGTGTTTCCTAACTGCTCTATGAAAAGAAAGGTTAAACTCTGTGATTTGAAAGCAAACATCACAAAGGAGTTTCTGAGAATCATTCTGTCTAGTTTTTATAGGAAGATATTTCCTTTTCTACCATTGACCTCAACGCGGCTGAAATCTCCACTTGCAAATTCCACAAAAAGAGTGTTCCAAGTCTGCTCTGTGTAAAGGATCGTTCAACTCTGTGAGTTGAATACACACAACACAAGGAAGTTACTGAGAATTCTTCTGTCTAGCAGAACATGAAGAAATTCCGCTTCCAACGAAGGCCTCAAAGAAGTCTGAATATCCACTTGCAGACTTTACAAACAGAGTGTTTCCCAACTGCTCTATGAAAAGAAAGGTTGAACTCTGTGAGTTGAACGCACACATCACAAAGGAGTTTCTGAGAATCATTCTGTCTAGTTTCTATAGGAAGATATTTCCTATTCTACCATTGACCTCAAAGCGGCAGAAATCTCCACTTGCAAATTCCACAAAAAGAGTGTTTCAAGACTGCTCTGTGTAAAGGATCGTTCAACTCTGTGAGTTGAATACACACAACACAAAGAAGTTACTGAGAATTCTTCTGTCTAGCAGAATATGAAGAAATCCCGTTTCCAACGAAGGCCTCAAGGAGGTCTGAATATCCACTTGCAGACTTTACAAACAGAGTGTTTCCTAACTGCTCTATGAACAGAAACGTTAAACTCTGTGAGTTGAACGAACACATCACAACGCAGTTTGTGGGAATGATTCTGTCTAGTTTTTATACGAAGATATTTCCTTTTCTGCCATTGACCCTAAATCGCTTGAAATCTCCACTTGCAAATTGCACAAAAAGAGTGTTTCAAATCTGCTCTGTCTAAGGGAACGTTCAACTCTGTGAGTTGAATGCACACAAGACAAGGAAGTTACTCGGAATTCTTCTGTCTAGCCTTACATGAAAAAAACCCGTTTCCAACGAAGGCCTCTGAGTGGTCAAAATATCCACGTGCAGACTTTACAAACTGAGTGTTTACAAACTGCTGAATGAAAAGAAAAGTTAAACTCTGAGAGTTGAACGCACACATCACAGAGCAGTTTCTGAGAATGATTCTGTCTAGTTTTTATACGAAGATATTTCCTTTTCTGCCTTTGGCCTCAAAGCGCTTGAAATCTCCACCTGCAAATTCCACAAAAAGAGTATTTCAAATCTGCTCTGTGTAAATGAAAGTTCAACTCTGTGAGTTGAACACACACAACACAAGGGAAGTTACTGGGAATTCTTCTGTCAAGCAGAATATGAAGAAATCCCGCTTCCAACGAAGGCCTCAAAGAAGTCTGAATATCCACTTGCAGACTTTACAAATAGAGTGTTTCCCAACTGCTCTATGAAAAGAAAGGTTGAACTCTGTGAGTTGAACGCACACATCACAAAGGAGTTTCTGAGAATCATTCTGTCTAGTTTCTATAGGAAGATATTTCCTATTCTACCATTGACCTCAAAGCGGCTGAAATCTCCACTTGCAAATTCCACAAAAAGAGTGTTTCAAGTCTGCTCTCTGTAAAGGATCGTTCAACTGCTGTGAGTTGAATACACACAACACAAGGAAGTTACTGAGAATTCTTTCTGTCTAGCAGAATATGAAGAAATCCCGTTTCCAACGAAGGCCACAAGATGTCAGAATATCCACTTACAGACTTTACAAACAGTGTGTTTCCTAACTGCTCTATGAACGGAAAGGTTAAACTCTGTGAGTTGAACGAACACATCACAACGCAGTTTGTGGGAATGATTATCTGTCTAGTTTTGAAACGAAGATATTTCCTTTTCTGCCATTGACCTTAAATCGCTTGAAATCTACACTTGCAAATTGCACAAATAGAGTGTTTCAAATCTGCTCTGTCTAAGGGAACGTTCAACTCTGTGAGTTGAATGCACACAACACAAGGAAGTTACTGGGAATTCTTCTGTCTAGCCTTACATGAAAAAAACCCGTTTCCAACGAAGGCCTCTAAGTGGTCAAAATATCCACGTGCCGACTTTACAAACAGAGTGTTTCCAAACCGCTGAATGAAAAGAAAAGTTAAACTCTGAGAGTTGAACGCACACATCACGCAGCAGTTTCTGAGAATGATTTTGTCTAGTTTTTATACGAAGATATTTCCTTTTCTGCCTTTGGCCTCAAAGCGCTTGAAATCTCCACTTGCAAATTCCACAAAAAGAGTGTTTCAAATCTGCTCTGTGTAAATGAGAGTTCATCTCTGTGAGTTGAACACACACAACACAAGGTAAGTTACTGGGAATTCTTCTGTCTAGCAGAATATGAAGAAATCCCGCTTCCAACGAAGGCCTCAAAGAAGTCTGAATATCCACTTGCAGACTTTACAAACAGAGTGTTTCCCAACTGCTCTATGAAAAGAAAGGTTGAACTCTGTGAGTTGAACGCACACATCACAAAGCAGTTTCTGAGAAACATTCTGTCTAGTCTGTATACGAAGATAGTTTCCTTTTCTACCATTGACCTCAAAGCGGCTGAAATCTCCACTTGCAAATTCCACAAAAAGAGTGTTTCAAGTCTGCTCTGTGTAAAGGATCGTTCAACTCTGTCAGTTGAATACACAGAACACAAGGAAGTTACTGAGAATTCCTCTGTCTAGCATAATATGAAGAAATCCCGTTTCCAACGAAGGCCTCAAGGAGGTCTGAATATCCACTTGCAGACTTTACAAACAGAGTGTTTCCTAACTGCTCTATGAACAGAAAGGTTAAACTCTGTGAGTTGAACGAACACGTCACAACGCAGTTTGTGGGAATGATTCTGTCTAGTTTTGAAACGAAGATATTTCCTTTCCTGCCATTGACCTTAAAGCCCTTGAAATCTCCATTTGCCAATTGCACAAAAAGAGTGTTTCAAATCTGCTCTGTCTAAGGGAACGTTCAACTCTGTGAGTTGAATGTACACAACACAAGGAAGTTACTGGGAATTCTACTGTCTAGCCTTACAGGAAAAAAACCCGTTTCCAACGAAGGCCTCTAAGTGGTCAAAATATCCACGTGCAGACTTTACAAACAGAGTGTTTCCAAACTGCTGAATGAAAAGAAAAGTTAAACTCTGAGAGTTGAACGCACACATCGCAGAGCAGTTTCTGAGAATGATTCTGTCTAGTTTTTATACGAAGATATTTCCTTTTCTGCCTTTGGCCTCAAAGCGCTTGAAATTTCCACTTGCAAATTCCACAAAAAGAGTGTTTCAAATCTGCTCTGTGTAAATCAAAGTTCAACTCTGTGAGTTGAACACACACAACACAAGGGAAGTTACTGGGAATTCTTCTGTCTAGCAGAATATGAAGAAATCCCGTTTCCAACGAAGGCCTCAAGGAGGTCTGAATATCCACCTGCAGACTTTACAAACAGAGTGTTTCCTAACTGCTCTATGAAAAGAAAGGTTAAACTCTGTGAGTTGAACGCACACATCACAAAGGAGTTCATGAGAATCATTCTGTCTAGTTTTTATAGGAAGATATTTCCTTTTCTACCTTTGACTTCAAAGCGGCTGAAATCTCCACTTGCAAATTCCACAAAAAGAGTGTTACAAGTCTGCTCTGTGTAAACGATCGTTCAACTCTGTGAGTTGAATACACACAACACAAGGAAGTTACTGAGAATTCTTCTGTCTAGCAGAATATGACGAAATCCCGTTTCCAACGAAGGCCACAAGATGTCAGAATATCCACTTACAGACTTTACAAACAGAGTGTTTCCTAACTGCTCTATGAGCAGAAAGGTTAAACTCTGTGAGTTGAACGAGCACATCACAACGCAGTTTGTGGGAATGATTCTGTCTAGTTTTGAAACGAAGATATTTCCTTTTCTGCCATTGACCTTAAAGCGCTTGAAATCTACACTTGCAAATTGCACAAATAGAGTGTTTCAAATCTGCTCTGTCTAAGGGAAGGTTCAACTCTGTGAGTTGAATGCACACAACACAAGGAAGTTACTGGGAATTCTTCTGTCTAGCCTTACAGGAAAAAATCTCGTTTCCAACGAAGGCCTCTAAGTGGTCAAAATATCCACGTGCAGACTTTACAAACAGAGTGTTTCCAAACTGCTGAATGAAAAGAAAAGTTAAACTCTGAGAGTTGAACGCACACATCGCAGAGCAGTTTCTGAGAATGATTCTTTCTAGTTTTTATACGAAGATATTTCCTTTTCTGCCTTTGGCCCCAAAGCGCTTGAAATCTCCATTTGCAAATTCCACAAAAACAGTGTTTCAAATCTGCTCTCTCTAAATGAAAGTTCAACTCTGTCAGTTGAATACACACAACACAAGGAAGTTACTGAGAATTCTTCTGTCTAGCATAATATGAAGAAATCCCGTTTCCAACAAAGGCCACAAAGAGGTCTGAATATCCACTTGCAGACTTTACAAACAGAGTGTTTCCTAACTGCTCTATGAAAAGAAAAGTTAAACTCTGTGAGTTGAACGCACACATCACAAAGGAGTTTCTGAGAATCATTCTGTCTAGTCTTTATACGAAGATATTTCCTTTTCTACCATTGACCTCAAAGCGGCTGAAATCTCCACTTGCCAATTCTACAAAAAGAGTGTTTCAAGTCTGCTCTGTGTAAAGGATCGTTCAACTCTGTGAGTTGAATACACACAACACAAGGAAGTTAGTGAGAATTCTTCTGTCTAGCAGAATATGAAGAAATCCCGTTTCCAACGAAGGCCTCAAGGAGGTCTGAATATCCACTTACAGACTTTACAAACACAGTGTTTCCTAACTGCTCTATGAACAGAAAGGTTAAACTCTGTGAGTTGAACGAACACATCACAACGCAGTTTGTGGGAATGATTCTGTCTAGTTTTGAAACGAAGATATTTCCTTTTCTGCCATTGACCTTAAAGCGCTTGAAATCTCCACTTGCCAATTGCACAAAAAGAGTGTTTCAAATCTGCTCTGTCTAAGGGAACGTTCAACTCTGTGAGTTGAATGTACACAACACAAGGAAGTTACTGGGAAATCTTCTGTCTAGCCTTACAAGAAAAAAACCCGTTTCCAACGAAGGCCTCTAAATGGTCAAAATATCCACGTGCAGACTTTACAAACAGAGTGTTTCCAAACTGCTGAATGAAAAGAAAAGTTAAACTCTGAGAGTTGAACGCACACATCGCAGAGCAGTTTCTGAGAATGATTCTGTCTAGTTTTTATACGAAGATATTTCCTTTTCTGCCTTTGGCCTCAAAGCGCTTGAAATCTCCACTTGCAAATTCCACAAAAAGAGTGTTTCAAATCTGCTCTGTGTAAATGAAAGTTCTACTCTGTGAGTTGAACACACACAACACAAGGAAGTTACTGGGAATTCTTCTGTCTAGCATCATATGAAGAAATCCCGTTTCCAACGAAGGCCTCAAGGAGGTCTGAATATCCACTTGCAGACTTTACAAACAGAGTGTTTCCTAACTGCTCTATGAAAAGAAAGGTTAAACTCTGTGAGTTGAACGCACACATCACAAAGGAGTTTCTGAGAATCATTCTGTCTAGTTTTTCTACGAAGATATTTCCTTTTCTACTATTGACCCCAAAGCGACTGAAATCTCCACTTGCAAATTCCACAAAAAGAGTGTTTCAAGTCTGCTCTGTGTAAAGGATCGTTCAACTCTGTGAGTTGAATACACACAACACAAGGAAGTTAGTGAGAATTCTTCTGTCCAGCAGAATATGAAGAAATCCCGTTTCCAACGAAGGCCACAAGATGTCAGAATATCCACTTACAGACTTTACAAACAGAGTGTTTCCTAACTGCTCTATGAACAGAAAGGTTAAACTCTGTGAGTTGAACGAACACATCACAACGCAGTTTGTCGGAATGATTCTGTCTAGTTTTGAAAGTAAGATATTTCCTTTTCTGCCATTGACCTTAAAGCGCTTGAAATCTCCACTTGCTAATTGCACAAAAAGAGTGTTTCAAATCTGCTCTGTCTAAGGGAACGTTCAACTCTGTGAGTTGAATGTACACAACACAAGGAAGTTACTGGGAATTCTTCTGTCTAGCCTTACAGGAAAAAAACCCGTTTCCAACGAAGGCCTCTAAGTGGTCAAAATATCCACGTGCAGACTTTACAAACAGAGTGTTTCCAAACTGCTGAATGAAAAGAAAAGTTAAACTCTGAGGGTTGAACGCACACATCGCAGAGCAGTTTCTGAGAATGATTCTGTCTAGTTTTTATACGAAGATATTTCCTTTTCTGCATTTGGCCTCAAAGCGCTTGAAATCTCCATTTGCAAATTCCACAAAAAGAGTGTTTCAAATCTGCTCTGTGTAAATGAAAGTTCAACTCTGTGAGTTGAACACACACAACACAAGGAAGTTACTGGGAATTCTTCTGTCTAGCAGAATATGAAGAAATCCCGCTTCCAACGAAGGCCTCAAAGAAGTCTGAATATCCACTTGCAGACTTTACAAACAGAGTGTTTCCCAACTGCTCTATGAAAAGAAAGGTTGAACTCTGTGAGTTGAACGAACACATCACAAAGGAGTTTCTGAGAATCATTCTGTCTAGTTTTTATACGAAGATATTTCCTTTTCTACCATTTACCTCAACACGGCTGAAATCTCCACTTGCAAATTCCACAAAACGAGTGTTTCAAGTCCGCTCTGTGTAAAGGATCGTTCAACTCTGTGAGTTGAATACACACAACACAAGGAAGTTACTGAGAATTCTTCTGTCTAGCATAATATGAAGAAATCCCGTTTCCAACGAAGGCCTCAAGGAGGTCTGAATATCCACTTGCAGACTTTACAAACAGAGTGTTTCCTAACTGCTCTATGAAAAGGAAGGTTAAACTCTGTGAGTTGAACGCACACATCACAAAGGAGTTTCTGAGAATCATTCTGTCTAGTTTTTATAGGAAGATATTTCCTTTTCTATCTTTGACTTCAAAGCGGCTGAAATCTCCACTTGCAAATTCCACAAAAAGAGTGTTACAAGTCTGCTCTTTGTAAAGGATCGTTCAACTCTGTGAGTTGAATACACACAACACAAGGAAGTTACTGAGAATTCTTCTGTCTAGCATAGTATGAAGAAATCCCGTTTCCAACGAAGGCCTCTAAGTGGTCAAAATATCCACGTGCAGACTTTACAAACAGAGTGTTTGCAAACTGCTGAATGAAAAGAAAAGTTAAACTCTGAGAGTTGGACGCACACATCGCAGAGCAGTTTCTGAGAATGATTCTGTCTAGTTTTTCTACGAAGATATTTCCTTTTCTGGCTTTGGCCCCAAAGCGCTTGGAATCTCCACTTGCAAATTCCACAAAAACAGTGTTTCAAATCTGCTCTCTCTAAATGAAAGTTCAACTCTGTCAGTTGAATACACACAACACAAGGAAGTTCCTGAGAATTCTTCTGTCTAGCATAATATGAAGAAATCCCGTTTCCAACGAAGGCCTCAAAGAGGTCTGAATATCCACTTGCAGACTTTACAAACAGAGTGTTTCCTAACTGCTCTATGAGAAGAAAAGTTAAACTCTGTGTGTTGAACGCACACATCACAAAAGATTTTCTGAGAATCATTCTGTGTAGTTTTTCTACGAAGATATTTCCTTTTCTACTATTGACCTCAAAGCGGCTGAAATCTCCACTTGCAAATTCCACAAAAAGAGTGTTTCAAGTCTGCTCTGTGTAAAGGGTCGTGCAACTCTGTGAGTTGAATACACACAACACAAGGAAGTTACTGAGAATTCTTCTGTCTAGCAGAATATGAAGAAATCCCGTTTCCAACGAAGGCCTCAAAGAGGTCTGAATATCCACTTGCAGACTTTACAAACAGAGTGTTTCCTAACTGCTCTATGAAAAGAAAGGTTAAACTCTGTGAGTTGAACGCACACATCAGAAAGGAGTTTCTGAGAATCGTTCTGTCTAGTTTCTATAGGAAGATATTTCCTATTCTACCATTGACCTCAAAGCGGTTGAAATCTCCACTTGCAAATTCCACAAAAAGAATGTTTCAAGTCTGCTCTGTGTAAAGGATCGTTCAACTCTGTGAGTTGAATACACACAACACAAGGAAGTTACTGAGAATTCTTCTGTCTAGCCTTACATGAAAAAAACCCGTTTCCAACGAAGGCCTCTAAGTGGTCAAAATATCCACGTGCAGACTTTACAAACAGAGTGTTTCGAAACCGCTGAATGAAAAGAAAAGTTAAACTCTGAGAGTTGAACGCACACATCACGCAGCAGTTTCTGAGAATGATTCTGTCTAGTTTTTATACGAAGATATTTCCTTTTCTGCCCTTGGCCCCAAAGCGCTTGAAATCTCCACTTGCAAATTCCACAAAAACAGTGTTTCAAATCTGCTCTCTCTAAATGAAAGTTCAACTCTGTCAGTTGAATACACACAACACAAGGAAGTTACTGAGAATTCTTCTGTCTAGCCTTACATGAAAAAAACCCGTTTCCAACGAAGGCCTCAAAGAGGTCTGAATATCCACTTGCAGACTTTAAAAACAGAGTGTTTCCCAACTGCTCTATGAAAAGAAAGGTTAAACTCTGTGAGTTGAACGCACACATCACAAAGAAGTTTCTGAGAATCATTCTGTCTAGTTTCTATAGGAAGATATTTCCTATTCTACCATTGACCTCAAAGCGGCTGAAATCTCCACTTGCAAATTCCACAAAAAGAGTGTTTCAAGTCTGCTCTTTGTAAAGGATCGTTGAAATCTGTGAGTTGAATACACACAACACTATGAAGTTACTGAGAATTCTTCTGTCTAGCAGAATATGAAGAAATCCCGTTTCCAACGAAGGCCACAAGATGTCAGAATATCCACTTACAGAATTGACAAACAGACTGTTTCCTAACTGCTCTAGGAAAAGAAAGGTTAAACTCTGTGAGTTGAACGAACACATCACAACGCAGTTTGTGGGAATGATTCTGTCTAGTTTTGAAACGAAGATATTTCCTTTTCTGCCATTGACCTTAAAGCGCTTGAAATCTCCACTTGCCAATTGCACAAAAAGAGTGTTTCAAATCTGCTCTGTCTAAGGGAACGTTCAACTCTGTGAGTTGAATGTACACAACACAAGGTAAGTTACTGGGAATTCTTCTGTCTAGCCTTACATGAAAAAAACCCGTTTCCAATGAAGGCCTCTAAGTGGTCAAATTATCCACGTGCAGACTTTACAAACAGAGTGTTTCCAAACTGCTGAATGAAAAGAAAAGTCAAACTCTGAGAGTTGAACGCACACATCGCAGAGCAGTTTCTGAGAATGATTCTGGCTAGTTTTGAAACGAAGATATTACCTTTTCTGCCTTTGGCCTCAAAGCGCTTGAAATCTCTACTTGCAAATTCCACAAAAAGAGTGCTTCAAATCTGCTCTGTCTAAATGAAAGTTCAACTCTGTGAGTTGAACACACACAACACAAGGAAGTTACTGGGAATTCTTCTGTATAGCAGAATATGAAGAAATCCCGTTTCCAACGAAGGCCTCAAGGAGGTCTGAATATCCACTTGCAGACTTTACAAACAGAGTGTTTCCTAACTGCTCTATGAAAAGAAAGTTTAAACTCTGTGAGTTGAACGCAGACATCACAAAGGAGTTTCTGAGAATCACTCTGTCTAGTTTTTATACGAAGATATTTCCTTTTCTACCATTGACCTCAAAGCGGCTGAAATCTCCACCCTGCCAATTCCACAAAAAGAGTGTTTCAAGTATACTCTGTGTAAAGGATCGTTGAACTCTGTGAGTTGAAAACACACAACACAACGAAGTTTCTGAGAATTCTTCTGTCTAGCAGAATATGAAGAAATCCCGTTTCCAACGAAGGCCACAAGATGTCAGAATATCCACTTACAGACTTTACAAACAGAGTGTTTCCTAACTGCTCTGTGAACAGAAAGGTTAAACTCTGTGAGTTGAACGAACACATCACAACGCAGTTTGTGGGAATGATTCTGTCTAGTTTTGAAACGAAGATATTTCCTTTTCTGCCGTTGACCTTAAAGAGCTTGAAAACTACACTTGCAAATTGCACAAATAGAGTGTTTCAAATCTGCTCTGTCTAAGGGAACGTTCAACTCTGTGAGTTGAATACACACAACACAAGGAAGTTACTGAGAATTCTTCTGTCTAGCCTTACATGAAAAAAACCCTTTTCCAATGAAGGCCTCTAAGTGGTCAAATTATCCACGTGCAGACTTTACAAACAGAGTGTTTCCAAACTGCTGAATGAAAAGAAAAGTTAAACTCTGAGAGTTGAACGCACACATCACAGAGCAGTTTCTGAGAATGATTCTGTCTAGTTTTTATACGAAGATATTTCCTTTTCTGCCTTTGGCCTCAAAGCGCTTGAAATCTCCACTTGCAAATTCCACAAAAAGAGTGTTTGAAATCTGCTCTGTGTAAATGAAAGTTCAACTCTGTGAGTTGAACACACACAACACAAGGGAAGTTACTGGGAATTCTTCTGTCTAGCAGAAATATGAAGAAATCCTGTTTCCAACGAAGGCCTCAAGGAAGTCTGAATATCCACTTGCAGACTTTACAAACAGAGTGTTTCCTAACTGCTCTATGAAAAGAAAGGTTAAACTCTGTGAGTTGAACGCACACATCACAAAGGAGTTTCTGAGAATCATTCTGTCTAGTTTTTCTACGAAGATATTTCCTTTTCTACTATTGACCTCAAAGCGGCTGAAATCTCCACTTGCAAATTCCACAAAAAGAGTGTTTCAAGTCTGCTCTGTGTAAAGGATCGTTCAACTCTGTCAGTTGAATACACACAACACAAGGAAGTTACTGAGAATTATTCTGTCTAGCATAATATGAAGAAATCCCGTTTCCAACGAAGGCCTCAAAGAGGTCTGAATATCCACTTGCAGACTTTACAAACAGAGTGTTTCCTAACTGGTCTATGAAAAGAAAAGTTAAACTCTGTGAGTTGAACGCACACATCACAAAGGAGTTTCTGAGAATCATTCTGTCTAGTTTTGAAACGAAGATATTTCCTTTTCTGCCGTTGACCTTAAAGCGCTTGAAATCTACACTTGCAAATTGCACAAATAGAGTTTTTCAAATCTGCTCTGTCTAAGGGAACGTTCAACTCTGTGAGTTGAATGCACACAACACAAGGAAGTTACTGGGAATTCTTCTGTCTAGCCTTACATGAAAAAAACCCGTTTCCAACGAAGGCCTCTAAGTGGTCAAATTATCCACGTGCAGACTTTACAAACAGAGTGTTTCCAAACTGCTGAATGAAAAGCAAAGTTAAACTCTGAGAGTTGAACGCACACATCGCAGAGCAGTTTCTGAGAATGATTCTGTCTAGTTTTTATAGGAAGATATTTCCTTTTCTACCATTGACCTCAAAGCGGCTGAAATCTCCACTTGCAAATTCCACAAAAAGAGTGTTACAAGTCTGCTCTGTGTAAAGGATCGTTCAACTCTGTGAGTTGAATACACACAACACAAGGAAGTTACTGAGAATTCTTCTGTCTAGCACAGTATGAAGAAATCCGGTTTCCAACGAAGGCCTCAAAGAGGTCTGAATATCCACTTGCAGAGTTTACAAACAGAGTGTTTCCTAACTGCTCTATGAAAAGAAAGGTTAAACTCTGTGAGTTGAACGCACACATCACAAAGAAGTTTCTGAGAATCATTCTGTCTAGTTTCTATAGGAAGATATTTCCTATTCTACCATTGACCACAA
The DNA here is from genome assembly GCF_000001405.40 of Homo sapiens. NCBI lineage: Eukaryota > Metazoa > Chordata > Mammalia > Primates > Hominidae > Homo > Homo sapiens. The sequence continues at coordinate 123,158,466 of NC_000001.11, read as the reverse complement.
ATCGGCTGAAATCTCCACTTGCAAATTTCACAAAAAGAGTGTTTCAAGTCTGCTCTGTGTAAAGGATCGTTCAACTCTGTGAGTTGAATACACACAACACAAGGAAGTTACTGAGAATTCTTCTGTCTAGGAGAATATGAAGAAATCCCGTTTCCAACGAAGGCCACAAGATGTCAGAATATCCACTTACAGAATTGACAAACAGACTGTTTCCTAACTGCTCTATGAAAAGAAAGGTTAAACTCTGTGAGTTGAACCGAACACATCACAACGCAGTTTGTGGGAATGATTCTGTCTAGTTTTGAAACGAAGATATTTCCTTTTCTGCCATTGACCTTAAAGCGCTTGAAATCTACACTTGCAAATTGCACAAATAGAGTGTTTCAAATCTGCTCTGTCTAAGGGAACGTTCAACTCTGTGAGTTGAATGCACAGAACACAAGGAAGTTACTGGGAATTCTTCTGTCTAGCCTTACATGAAAAAAACCCGTTTCCAACGAAGGCCTCTAAGTGGTCAAAATATCCACGTGCAGACTTTACAAACACAGTATTACCAAACCGCTGAATGAAAAGAAAAGTTAAACTCTGAGAGTTGAACGCACACATCACGCAGCAGTTTCTGAGAATGATTCTGTCTAGTTTTTATACGAAGATATTTCCTTTTCTGCCTTTGGCCTCAAAGCGCTTGAAATCTCCACTTGCAAATTCCACAAAAAGAGTGTTTCAAATCTGCTCTTTGTAAATGAAAGTTCAACTCTGTGAGTTGAACACACACAACACAAGGGAAGTTACTGGGAATCCTTCTGTCTAGCCTTATATGAAAAAAACCCGTTTCCAACGAAGGCCTCAAAGAGGTCTGAATATCCACTTGCAGACTTTACAAACAGAGTGTTTCCTAACTGCTCTATGAAAAGAAAGGTTAAACTCTGTGAGTTGAACGCACACATCACAAAGGAGTTTCTGAGAATCATTCTGTCTAGTTTATCTACGAAGATATTTCCTTTTCTACTATTGACCTCAAAGCGGCTGAAATCTCCACTTGCAAATTCCACAAAAAGAGTGTTTCAAGTCTGCTCTGTGTAAAGGATCGTTCAACTCTGTGAGTTGAATACACACAACACAAGGAAGTTACTGAGAATTCTTCTGTCTAGCAGAATATGAAGAAATCCCGTTTCCAACGAAGGCCACAAGATGTCAGAATATCCACTTACAGACTTTACAAACAGAGTGTTTCCTAACTGCTCTATGAACAGAAAGGTTAAACTCTGTGAGTTGAACGTACACATCACAACGCAGTTTGTGGGAATGATTCTGTCTGGTTTTGAAACGAAGATATTTCCTTTTCTGCCGTTGACCTTAAAGCGCTTGAAATCTACACTTGCAAATTGCACAAATAGAGTGTTTCAAATCTGCTCTGTCTAAGGGAATGTTCAACTCTGTGAGTTGAATGCACACAACACAAGGGAAGTTACTGGGAATTCTTCTGTCTAGCCTTATATGAAAAAAACCCGTTTCCAACGAAGGCCTCAAAGAGGTCTGAATATCCACTTGCAGACTTTACAAACAGAGTGTTTCCTAACTGCTCTATGAAAAGAAAGGTTAAACTCTGTGAGTTGAACGCACACATCACAAAGGAGTTTCTAAGAATCATTCTGTCTAGTTTTTATACGAAGATATTTCCTTTTCTACCATGGACCTCAAAGCGGCTGAAATCTCCACTTGCAAATTCCACAAAAAGAGTGTTTCAAGTCTCCTCTGTGTAAAGGATCGTTCAACTCTGTGAGTTGAATACACACAACACAAGGAAGACTCTGAGAATTCTTCTGTCTAGCAGAATATGAAGAAATCCCGTTTCCAACGAAGGCCTCAAAGAGGTCTGAATATCCACTTGCAGACTTTACAAACAGAGTGTTTCCTAACTGCTCTATGAAAAGAAAGGTTAAACTCTGTGAGTTGAACGCACACATCACAAAGGAGTTTCTGATAATCATTCTGTCTAGTCTTTATACGAAGATGTTTCCTTTTCTACCATTGACCTCAAAGCGGCTGAAATCTCCACTTGCAAATTCCACAAAAAGAGTGTTTCAAGTCTGCTCTGTGTAAAGGATCGTTCAACTCTGTGAGTTGAATACACACAACACAAGGAAGTTACTGAGAATTCTTCTGTCTAGCAGAATATGAAGAAATCCCGTTTCCAACGAAGGCCACAAGATGTCAGAATATCCACTTACAGACTTTACAAACAGAGTGTTTCCTAACTGCTCTAAGAACAGAAAGGTTAAACTCTGTGAGTTGAACGAACACATCACAACGCAGTTTGTGGGAATGATTGTGTCTAGTTTTGAAACTAAGATATTTCCTTTTCTGCCATTGACCTTAAAGCGCTTGAATTCTCCACTTGCAAATTGCACAAAAAGAATGTTTCAAATCTGCTCTGACTAAGGGAACGTTCAACTCTGTGAGTTGAATGCACACAACACAAGGAAGTTACCGGGAATTCTTCTGTCTAGCCTTACATGAAAAAAACCCGTTTCCAACGAAGGCCTCTAAGTGGTCAAATTATCCACGTGCAGACTTTACAAACAGAGTGTTTCCAAACTGCTGAATGAAAAGAAAAGTTAAACTCTGAGAGTTGAACGGACACATCACAGAGCAGTTTCTGAGAATGATTCTGTCTAGTTTTTATACGAAGATATTTCCTTTTCTGCCTTTGGCCTCAAAGCGCTTGAAATCTCCAATTGCAAATTCCACAAAAAGAGTGTTTCAAATCTGCTCTGTGTAAATGAAAGTTCAACTCTGTGAGTTGAACACACACAACACAAGGAAGTTACTGGGAATTCTTCTGTCTAGCATAATATGAAGAAATCCCGTTTCCAACGAAGGCCTCAAGGAGGTCTGAATATCCACTTGCAGACTTTACAAACACAGTGTTTCCTAACTGCTCTATGAAAAGTAAGGTTAAACTCTGTGAGTTGAACGCACACATCACAAAGGAGTTTCTGAGAATCATTCTGTCTAGTTTTTATAGGAAGATATTTCCTTTTCTATCTTTGACTTCAAAGCGGCTGAAATCTCCACTTGCAAATTCCACAAAAAGAGTGTTACAAGTCTGCTCTGTGTAAAGGATCGTTCAACTCTGTGAGTTGAATACACACAACACAAGGAAG